>NC_000016.10:65774621-66077651 GCF_000001405.40 Homo sapiens
GTCTCCTCTGTACCAGTTCCCATGCTGGGGGTGACCACATTAGCTTTCTGGAATTGTCACAATGTCCTTCTGAAGTAGGTGGTGGGGCTCCCATTTCAGAGCTGGAGAAACTGAGAGTGAGCCTGTCAAAAATGGGAAAAAGAAATGAATCCTTGTGAGTCCTTGTTGAGTGCCTTGTGCTGGGGGTGTTACATAGATATAAAGACCACATGACATAGAAACAGGTAGCAGAGAGAGGGGTGGCCTGGGAGTTCCATGTGCTAAAAGACCCTTTGAGGAGATTTGCTGTTCTTCCTCCTTAGATGAAAAAAGCAAGAAGAAGGAAAGACCGATAATGACCTTCCCGCCAAAGGAAAACACTCCGCATTCGCATACTCCCCCTGCCCCAGGGCCAGCATTGCTGGGAGCAACAAGCTGAGTGCTAAGCTGTGCACAGATGGGAGAGGTGGACACAGAAGTCCAATCCCACGGCCCGCCACACCTGGGGAGGAAGGGAAGAAAACCACACCTGCTCAGTGCGAATGGAATGGGTTTTGAAGCTTAATGGTGCACGGAATTTCTGTGTCTTTTTGCTGTCTCTGCATCTGATGATCGGTATCTGTCTTGGATTTGTTTTGTTTTGTTTTGTTTTTTACCATTCAATAAACCTCTTAACATAAACTTGCTTTCAGAGTGGTTGCCTTGGGATTCTTTAAATTATGTAATATTTTATATACAATGAAGTATATATTAGGTATATACAAGTTATAAAGCAAAATCATAAAACTCATACCCATGTGCAGAACACTTGGCCTGAGAAGTAGAATGTCACTAAAGTGCTAAGGTCACCTGAAGGCTTCTCTCTCAGAATTTGGCCCCTAGAAATATATTCTATGTAACTAATTTTAACAAGAGCTCATGAAAAAATTCTCTTGCAGTGGGTGCTATAGATCCTGTTGGTTCATTTAATCCTGTCCCCATTTTACAAATAGCAATGTCAAATGTAGAGGGATTCAGTAACTTAGTCACTCAACTGGTGCCCCATGGAGCCAGGATGTATCCCTGAAACTGCCTAATGCCCCCTAGATGCAGTACATTGCACAAATCCAGGAGGCGCCTTTTGCAGGCAGTCTATGGGACTGGTGCCTTCTCTTGGGGGCTGTGTGATGTTGGGGTCCTGCCAAATCTCATGCTTTTACGTCTTCACTTTACATCCAGAGTGGGGCTGATATTTAAACCTCCCAGGACATACTATCTGGTTTTTAAGAAATTTGACACTGCTGGTGTACTGCCTGAGTCTCATTTGTTTTATTTCCCGTTATTCTATTTGTGACAGTGAACCAACTAAAAATTCCTTTCAACTCAGATGGCCTCCCCATGCAATATGATCCTGGAAAAATCACATTTTGAATTACTGTGAAAACGTCTTGCCTGCTTTATTGTCCCCAGCAACCGGAAAGAAATGTAAGCAATGAGTGATATGACAGTTTGGAAGATGATGATGAGAAACTCTAAATGAGATTTTGGCTGTTAACAGGGTTACTGCACAGCTGTATTAATCGGAATAGGAGTTAAAATGCAGCAAGAGTGGGGGAAGAAAAGAAAGGAACTGTGTCTCTTGAGCAAGGACAACATGCCAGGTACTGACAGGAAGGTTTTTCATACACATTACCATGTTCAATTGTCACAGTAGCCCTGGAGGCAAAACGTTTTTAATCCCCATTTTACAGGTGAGCAAACTGAGGCTAAGTGTCCCACCAAAGGGCAGCAGCCGGTCAGCTTGTTGACCTGCAATTAAACTATTTTCTTCTGATCCAAACTCCTGGTTCTTTCAGCATTATAACTTGATGACTTATGCTTGCTTGGAGCCAAAACTCATTAAGCATCTACTGAGTGTAAAATTCACAGATGCACAAGAAATTTTGAGTCAGAGGACTTTCTAATAGGGCAAATAACTCTACCTCCAAAATGTGGAAGGAGCTTCAGAGATCATCTTGTACTTGTTCCTCTGTTTTGTGAAGCAAGAACCAAATTGGTGAGGAGACTTGGTGAAGTCACACACTTCAAACGGCCCCTCTCTTCTGGGACATATTCACTGTTGTCCCAGAGGAACTCATAATTGCATATTCTTTGTAACATTAACTTTGCATGTTAATTTTTTGAGTTTAAATAAACTTTTTATCCCTAAGTAATGTTAGATTAACTGAAATTTCCAAAAATAGTATGAGGAGTTCCCATAGGTTCTTTATCCAGCTTCCCCCAATGTTAACACCTTCCATAGTCATGAAACTGTCCCTATAAACTATACAATTAATAAATTAATCAGGGCAGAAGGGAGAGAGAGAAATGAAAATAAGCCAGGCTTGCAGCTTACTCAGCATTAATCCTAAACCTGCTCCCTGACCTGCTTCCTAATAGTTGTTTGGTGTCTATTGTCCTAGAATCACATAGACCCTGCAACAAGGTTATCGTCCCCCTTAACTGCTCTATAGATAACTTGAACATTATAAAACATTGTTTTCCCTTTTAGACATTCTTTCAGGTCCTGTGTACCAGTGAAACTACTGATGTCAGCTGGTCTGAAGGACCCACAGGAGCTTATTCACCAAATAACTCAATTTCTGCATCCTGATGATTTCATCCCCCTTGCTCCAACAAATCAACAATCCCAGTTTTCCAGTCCCTCATCCTCCACTATCCCTCAAAAATTCCATCTCAGAACTCCTCTGGGAGAAGGATTTGAGGATCTCCTCCCATCTCCTCACTCAGCACCTTGCAATCATTAAACTCTTTCTCTGCTGTAGACTCTGCTGTCTCAGTATAATTGGTATGTTACTGTACAGAAGGCATACAAACTTACTGGTCCTATAATAGTCATGGTAGATTTGTCAAAACTAAGACTGTAACATTGGTACAATACCATTAAGTAAACTACAGGCTGTATTTGGATATCATCAGTTTTCTTACTAATGTCTTTTTCTCTTCCAGGATCCAATCCAGGATTTTAGATGCTGATTCAATTATTTCTAAGTCTCTTAAATTTAAAACCTACCCATGTGTGCCTATTCACTAGGCAATGAGACTTCCCAAAAGGCAAAGACTCCAGGTAACAACCACAAGATACGCATTTATTAAATATGCACAAGCAATATAGACTTAGCAAAGGCTTGTTATGCTGCTGATGAATGCAAAGACCTCAAAAGTGGCACCAAAGCCACAGCCTTTTCCATCTATCCATATTTCCACTAAAATTATGTGCAGATAATCTGTATAGACAGATATTACACATATCTGTGTGTGTAATGCATATCTACACATACACACTTTAAAAACACATATAGGTACATGTTCCATGACTAAGAAATCATTTCAAATCAATTTGGAAATGTTGGGCAATTCAATAAATGGTGTGAGAACAACTGGCTATTCATTTGACATAAGTAACTAAATAGATGCCTATCTACTCCCGACCTAATATCATTTCCAAAAATAAGTCTCAGAATTATTAAAGTGTCAAATATTGAACAAGTAAAAATATCAAATGATTAAAAGAAAACCCAAATAAATATACTTATAATATTGTGGTAAATCAGGGCTTTTCAAACACAAATGCTGTGAAAAGAGTAAAACATTGGATTACAAAATTGGGTGAAAAATATTTTCAAAATATATAGCAGACAAAAGATTAATGATGAGAACGCATAAAAATGTCTACAAATAAATAAGTAAAAGACTAAATAAACCAACAGAATAATGACCTAAGGATTTATATTGGCAATCCACAGAAACAGAAGTACACACAGCTCATGCATATTAAAGAATATTTGCCCTCACGGTAATCAGGAAACAAAAATTGAAGCAATGACAAGATGTCATTTTCACCCACAGGGTTGCCACTGGTTAAACAAATGTGTGCAAATGTGGAGTTTGGGTGAGGGTGAGGGTGAGGGGACTCCAGCCTTGAATGACTTGAATGAGTTGAGCTGCTGGAAGAACTGCCAGCAGGAGCAAGCTGACCTGAGGGTGATTTGTCTTGAACCATCAAAGACAAATCCCACATCTGCAGATAACAATTGCTGAATTTTCAGCCTCTAATCTGGGCCTAGGTGGCACCTGAAAGATGGGCATGGCCCAGATGTCACTGCAGACTCAAACCAGAGTACCAGGGCCTAGAGTCCAGGTAGGAACTTAGACTTTAGTTCAGGAGAAACATAGAAAATGTTTCTGGTGGGTGCTGAGTCACTGCATCCAGTTGCCCCTGGCCTATCCTCACTCCACTGACATCTCTACCCCCAAATCAACACACTAAAATCTTCTTATGAGGGTTTAGGAAGAAAGGCAGGAGACCCTCAGCTGCAAGGATGGCTGAGGATGCTACTAGATGCTCCCTTAGACTCCCCTGCTCTCCTGCAATTTACAACCAGGCCTTAGAGCCCTGTCAGAGGAGAGCCTCAACCCTGCCTTCCTCAGGGCCGGCTGTCGGGTTCTGCTTTCTCAGGAAGTACCCTAAAAATGCTTTCTAGAAGAACCACCCTCATTTACTCCCCTGGACTCCCTCCCTTCTCTATGAAGTTTTATTTAGAGCCTTGATACCGAGAGGCCCTTGACGCGACACCCACCAGGGGTGATATTTACTATGTTCCTCGTGAACCATTTTTGCTGCCCTAGAGAAAGACCAAACATTTTGGGCTCTTTCTGGGAGCATTTGCATGACTTACGAGGTTTATTTAGGGCCTAGGAATGCCTCCCTTGAGATGGAGAGAGGCTGGGCCTCCTCCTGGCCAGAGGCCAGGTCAATAATATGCCTGAAAATGTGCTAGTGAGAAGCTGTTATGCTCTCCCCGCTTGGCAAGGCAATTTGTTCTGGAGTCTAAAGATCTGGGGCAGGTGTGGGGTGGGAGAGGGCTGTACAAGTGAGGAGTGAAGATCTAAAAAATATTCTTGAGGAAATAGCGTAAAAGCCCTCAAATCCAGACTTTGTAGCCTGCTAAACGGGGGTGTTTCCAGGGCTTCGACTAGTAAAGTACGAGACTTTCTAAATGGCATTAGCTTAAAATAGTCAGTAAGCTTGGTAGCTGGATATTCAAACCCAAAAACCAAGGACATTTTGGCAGAGAGTGCATTCTGTTGTGTTACTGGGTTTAAATGCTCTGCAGACACAACTCTCCGTTATGGTCTACACCCAGTGTGCACTATCCTCACCACCCTGCCTGTGTTATGCTGCCGTTTGAGACCTGGTATTTAAAAATATGACTGCCTATTTTATTTTATTTTATTTTATTTTATTTTATTTTAATTTTAATTTTATTTTATTTTTTGAGATGGAGTCTTGCTCTTATCACCCAGGCTGGAGTGCAGCAGCATCATCTCGGCTCACTGCAACCTCCACGTCCTGGGTTCAAGAGATTCTCCTTCCTCAGCCTCCCAGGTAGCTGGGATTTCTGGTACCTGCCACCATGCCTGGCTAATTTTTGTATTTTTAGTAGAGATGGGTTTTCACCATGTTGAGCAGGCTGGTCTTCAACTCCTGACCTCAGGCGATTCACCTGCCTTGGCCTTCCAAAGTGCTGGGATTACAGGTGTGAGCCACCGTACCCAGCCTGACTGCTTATTTAAGGTATGGAAAAAGACTTTCAAAGATGTAGCTATCAAATCATTTTTAGTTGTGCATTTAGTGGCTCATTCTTGGTGGAAAGAAGAAAATTATGTGAAATTGAGACCATGGTCTGCGTTCTGCAGCCAAGCAGGCTGGAGACACTAAAGTTGACCTCGGCCTTCCCTACAATACTCCCCGTATCTGGCCACACCCTCTCTCACTTCTACCCCTCAGGTGCATGGCCCTTTCCACAACAGTCTCAGTTCTGCTCTGTCACTGTCCCAGGCATCCCCTGGTCTAGGGCAGGGATCTTCTGTCTGGTTCTCCCTCATTCCCTTGGTGGGGGGGGGCCTCCAATCCATCCTCCTACACTGCAGAGGCAGAGGATTTTCTGCACGTGCATTTATTCACACCCTTCTTTCAATATCTGACCCCTTCCCACCACTCAGGATGCATCTACTGCCTCTGCTCCAAAACCAGCCCATTCCCCCAGATCCAAGCTACTATTGGGCCCCAGATGTGCTGTTTGACCCTTCTACCCCTTTAGCTAAGCTGTTTCCACTGAAAGCCTAGCCTCTTGTCTTCCTCAAATTAACCTGCTTCACCCTTCAAAATCCATCCCATTGTTCCTTTCCTGGAGGGTCCTACTGAGCCTTCCAGTACCTCCAATTTTGCACTGTCAGTGGCCCTACCTCACTGAGCGGTTTATACACCCGTCCCCAACTAGATGTTATATTGCTTTTGGATTTCTATGTCTAGATGCTTCCTGGCTTCTAGATCATGCTCAGTGGAAGAGGGGAAAACAAATTGGTGAATTCATGGCTGTGGGATCTCTAATCCCTGCAGGCAGCTAAAAGAGTTGGGAATTCAAAGATATTGATCAGTGATGGTTTATAGATGGGATTTCATAGAAGATGGGGATGGATTCTGGGGCCTGGGCCTCTCAAAAATGCAGGCCCTCTCCAGAGGGTTAAAGAGATGGGATTATCTACCCCTTGAATCATGGAGCAGAATGAGGGCAGGAGCCCCTCACCCTGAGCACAGCACACAGGATGCCCCAGGACAAGCCAGTCTCTGCTGTGACCCAACTTGATGTGCCATGGGGAAAAGTGTGGGCTAGTAGAAACTGAGCAGAAGCAGCCCCATCCATCCTCCAGGTCCAGAAATAATTTCTACTATGTGACAAAAAGCAAAACCAGCCAGCCAGATTGGTGTATTTTTGCTGCTGAACATTAGAGTTCATGATCTGATTCTGCTGAAGACCTACACATGCCAGAGCCAGTGAGAGATCCTAGCCAGGCCAGCCAGGCGCCACCTCATGTCAGAATGTCACCTGAGCCTTTGGCCTGAGCAGGAAGCTGCATCTGGTAGGAACCCCAGGTCCTGCTCATGAGGCTTGGGTTCAAATTCCAGTCTTATCTTTTACTTCTTCTGTTATGCTGGGTGAGTCACTCTCATTTCTCTTCCTTAGTTTCCTTCTCTATTAAAAAGAAAAGAAAACAAAAGAAGAGAAGAGAAAAGAAAAGAAAGAAAAGAAAAGGAAAGAAAAGAAAAGAAACAGCCAATAAGATTCCCACAGTTCCTCCTAGCAGTGACTTTCTGGAGGGCACTTCTCCCTTGCCCCTGACCATGGAACCCCTACCTGCCCACAAAGGCTTCAGAGACTCAAGTGGAAGGAAGGATGAGATTGGATGGTCATGGGCAAGAGGTACCATGCACTTTTCAAAATGAGTTTGGCAGGATGTAGGTAGGTTAATAGGAATTGGAGGTAGTGAGGGTTTTTTCTTTTTTTTTTTTTCATGTAAGTTTGCAGGACTTCTCATAGCCTTCAGTAAGCAAATAAATACTGCAAGCAAACTGTGAATTGTCAATTATAAGACATGGATCTCACCATATTCCAGTCTTATCTGAGCATGCATCTTTTTATTCCCTCTAACAGAAATTTTCCTAGGACCAAGTATTATGTAGAAAACATCTTCAGAAACCCTGGTGGGGCAGAAATCACTATAAAATCTGAGCCAAATCCTAGCTCACCATTTATCTATGTTAACATGGGTACATTTCAGACTTAGTTTACTGGATGAAAATGGAAATGTTTATCATCTCTAACTAGTGGTATTTTTTTTTCTTTTTCACCTTTATTTTCCAAAATTTCTATAATAAGCATTTTCAGTAACCACTCCTTAGAATTATGAATGATATGTTTAGAGTGTAGAGTAAAATTTCAAAGCCTCCTCCCAAGCTCCATGTCTTAAGAAAATCGTAACATTTGTTTTGCATAAACTTTTAGTACTTCCACATGAGCATTTTCTTTTTTTTTTTTTTTGAATAACTAAGTTTTGTTTTAAAATCAGTTTCAATGACCTCCAGCTCTGGTGGTTGCTGTAAAGAAGGAGAGCCTGGCTATGCACATTGACAAGCCCAGCACAGAGCTTGGCACATGACAGACACCTATAAATATGGGTTAGAAGCAGACTCCTGCTCTGGGATTGGTGCACTCATTAAGGGAGCCCTGCGCCAGTTGCTTCCAGAGTTGATGACTTCCAGAAGTTGCTGCCCTGTGCAAATTCAGAAAGAAATTTACACCTTCCTGGATGGAGCCTCTGGAGCCTCTGAAAGCAAACAACTGGAAAGAGACCTGTCTTGCCCCTCAGAAGGACCATGGGGCTCCACAGGAGGCCCCTTGTCTGCCAGGGGCACTTAACACTTTCCCAATGGTGACGCCAAGAAATTTCTTTCTGTCCAGGGGAGCGTGTGGTGGGGCAGGGAGAAGGAAGGGGATGGGGTGTCTGCTCCACCAGCAAAGAGCTCGCTCTCCTCTCTCTTGAGTTCTCTCCAAGCCCTTCACTGGCCAAGCTGAGGAAAGCTCCTTGTGGATTTTTATCACGGTCAAATTACTCATTTACAAAAAATGCTGCTGCAGATGGGCAAGTCCCCACAAAACCGTGCCAGGGACTCTTTAGGGCTGATCCTGCTGCTTGGCATAATGAAGCCCTGATTACCGCAGCACTGAGGGGTGTCGGGCTTGCCAGAGGCCCGCTTTTAATGAACTTTCCCATCCAAAGTTGGCCGAGACAATGCCAATCAATTGGAATTGATTACTTCTCGAAATCCATGCCTCAGCTTGCAGGAAACACGCGCAAACACACCCAACATGTGAGGGTTCATTTGATTTCTTGGGAGAAAAAGGAGTTCTTTGCAGCCTGAGATAATGATGGATTAGCATTTTCCAGATTCCCAGGACACTGGAAAGAACTGGTGTGTCCTGAAGGAACCTGGGAAAGATGGGATAAGCTTTGGTGGCCTCAGAGTTCAGATTGTGCCTGGAGCTCCTTTATTTTATTTATTTATTTATTTATTTATTTTTATTCATCCACTCATCCTTCCACCCATGCATCTCTATCTATCAGAACTTACTGACTGAGAGTTGATTATGTTCCAGGTTTGGTGTCAGGTTCTGGGATATCAGAGATGAGATGGCTCCTGTTCCTTGAAGGGACTAGACCCTAGACCCACTGAGAGGCAGTGATGGAGGCTCTTTCTGGAGGACTAGGAAAAGGAGCTATAGGGACTTGAAGGACCGAGGTTCAAGGCTGGGCTGAGTCTGGAAGGATAAAGGTATATTCTCCTGGGGAACAAGGAGAAATGTTCTCCTTGACCTCTAAAGTTTCACAGCAACTGTTCCTTTTGCTTGGACAATTTCCAACTCTCCTTCCTCTCTCCGGGCCTCCACAATAAATACACCACTCCTTTACCAGGAAAATCTAATAGTATACATCCTCCAGCATCACAGCTTGAGAGAGCATGTACCCAGGGCAGGCTTTCCTAAGCTGTGCTGACTTGGCTGTGCCTCCCACTGACCCAGGCCCTCAGGGGTCTCGTGCACTCTCCCCAGAGCCTGCACCCCTTATACTTTCCTGGCAGGGAGATGCCATGATCACAGAGTCTGCACCCCGACATCATCAGCTATCATCTGTCTGTCTGATTTTGCCCATAGAACAGGAGTCCTGTGATGAGAGGAGACATCCCGGCTTGTTCCCCACTTTATAGGGGTTGGATGGTACCTGGCATGATGCCAGGCACTTCATGGGTGCTCCATGGATGCTCGCTGAATGCAGACTGAGTGAACAGATGAGACCATAAAAGGCTGCCCCCAGGACAGAAGATGAGGACACAGAAGAATGGCATTTGTGGAGGACCCATTGTGTGGATGGCAGGTCCCCCAAGGCTCCTCACACACACTATGCAGGAGGTAGGTGGATTCGGGTGGAGTCCTCTGGAAGGGAGGCCTATAGATGGCCAAGGGCAGAGGCAAGGTCAAGCTCACACAGCTTGGCTTCTTGCTCCTTGACTCCCTCCACTCTCAGAGTGAGAGCCCCCCATCTTGTGGGGTGAGGGGACTTCTTCAGCATGTCCAGGCTGAGATTTCCTCCTAGAGGGGTCAGGGGCAAATGGCCCGGCTGAGAGAGGGAGGGAGAGGCCCTCACTGGGGCCAGGGACTGAGCCATCAGGCAGCAGCACCCAGGGATTTAGACATCCAAGGCAAGACAGACCCGAGCTAGGGAGGGTGGTGGCTTCTGACAGAGGCTGAGTGGACCCAGCCAAGCCTGTAAAGGCAGAAGCAGAGTGGAAAGGGGCCAATGAGGGCAACAGGGAGAATCAGGGAGAGACAGCCAGGATGGAGAGAGGCATGGCCAGAGAGGGGAGCAAGGAAGGGGAGTCAGGTGGGATGGGCAATGTGTAGAGCGGAGGGAAGAGAACAAGAAACTCAAAAGCAAATGGAATCACAAGGGAAAAATGGACCAAAGGAAAAAATGTCAGAGGGGCCGGCATAGAATAGGGGAGAAATGGAGACAAAAGCAGGAGAAAATGACCTGCAGTCATGAAGGGCAGTCTGGGAAAGCCAGGCAATGCCTCCAGCCCCTATGGGAACATGGCCCAGCCCTCCCCTGGGGTCTTAGCTTGTCAGTCCTCCTGCTCTCCTCCAGGCTATCAATAGCTGCCTATCTAGTATTGAACTCGATTCCGTTCTAATTCTGAGACATCTAGCTCCCCTGTGACATCCCAGGTCCTCTGCGGGGTATGTTGGAAGATAGGACGATGAAAAGAAGGTGAGATGTAGGAAGGAGGGGTGAGACCCCAGGGCTGTGTGCAGCCGCACATCAGGTGCCATAAGGATGGGCTACTGACCCCTCGGCTTGTTCCCGCCTGACCTTTGAATGTCAAGCAGCCTGACTGACCCATGACTGGCCCAAGGAGAGCAAGTGGCAGGTACCACTCAGACCTTTCCATGGGGCCTGAGGAAGGGATCCTGTGGGCTTTTTAACCCCAGCCCTGGCTGGGTGTCAGGGCCAAGCTCCTTCATTATTCTGAACCTCTGCTTCCTCAATTACACAATGGAATACTAAGTAATCATCTAACAAATGGTGTTTAATGGTAAAAGCAGTCACGAATGTGTAGGTGTAGTAAGTCCACTGCCCAAAGCACACAGTGAGTCAATACTCTGAGACACTGGGATGCAGCAGAGTCAGAGGTTTAATCAGAGGGTCACTGAACAAGGAGATGGGAGGGAACCTCAAATATATCTCCCCAAGGAGTTTGGGGCTAGGGTTTTTAAGGGTTTTGGAGTGGGCCAAAGTGTGGCGATTATCGATTGGTTGAAGAGCGCAGGGTGAAGCGTGAAGTCATGAAATGGAGAGGAAGAAGCCGTGATCTCATACTCATCCTGTTCCTCTATGGGGGTCTTCAAACTGGTTGCTGGAATTTGGGGTCTGTAAAACATCCCAAGCAATCCTTAAACAGAAGATTTATGATTTCAATGTCAGAAATTCTGCCTCTAGAAACGAGGATGGAAATGGTCAGTATCTGGTGCTGCCTGAATTTTAGCAACAAGGAAGCGGGCCAGAGAGTAGTCTGATGAATGCTTAATTATAACTATATATCTGTCCAGAACCCGGCATGCAATTCTTGTCAACCCTGTGGGGATGGTTTCCCCACCTACCCCCATCCACATGGCCCCAGCTCGTCCTTCCTGCCGGACAAGCTGACCCTTGGTGGGCAGCTTGCAGAATGTTCATTCCTGTCTGTAGTCTTCCCTGAAGAAAGCACAGCACTGACCCAAGTAGGGCAACCAGTCTTACTTTTCATTTTCCCTTAGCCAGGGACAGCCTGCCACTACCCTCCCTTCTGTTTAACCTATAGATATCTATATGGTTTCTCCAGAGCCTGCCGAAAGAGCCCTGTTTCAATTAACTTAAAATTCTCTCTTAATGAGCAGTAGCATGAGATAATAGACATGTAAAGTTGGAATGGGACCTTGGAGATCTTCTAATCCAACCAGAAAATTCTATATCCCGGGACACCAGGCCCAGAGAGGCAAGGTGACAAGAACAAAGTAACCCAACTGAATAGAGACATTGCGACTTGAACTTAGTTCTCCTAATTCACAAGCCAAGGCTCTTTGCATAAAACCACTATCTTTCATTTGTTTGCTGATTCATTTATTTATTAATAAGTGTCTGGACTTGAAATACACATCTCTTGGTTTTGACTTCTCACAGATCCTCCCTTTTCTCCTGGTGCCAACAGTCCCTTTCCGTCGGATAACTGTCCCTGCCCCATCTCATGTGGTCCTGGGAGAATAAGCACCTCTACTGTCCACCCTCACTCCAGAAAGCTAGGATGAGAGGCAATGGAAGTTGATGCTCTGGCATGTATTAATACTATACCATCTCCCTTACATGATCCATAGGTAGAAATGTGACCCAGGCATGCCAACGAGCCTCCCTGGAGACTAAGGCTCAAGGAAGCCTTAGCAGGGGAGAAATAATCCTCAGTCCCCTTCCAGCTGCTCCCACCGGAATGCTAAGCTATGAGGATGTGATTCTGCTTTTGAATTGCCAACTTCTATCTTTCTAACCACTGACAGAGAGCCTGCCTGAAGCAGAAAGCCAGCACACAGGGGCCGGCAGAGCCAGGAGTCCAGAAGAAAGACAGAGTCCTGGCAGCAACACTGGAGCTGTGGATCCAGCTGGCTCCTCAAGGAGCCCCATCTTCGAGGGAAGAAAGCCACCAAAAATTGCATACGGCAAAGCTGCAAAAAGAAAAACAGCACCTGTCTTTCATTCTGATGCTGACATTACCTCATTTAACCCACAACACAATTCCATGAAGCGAGTATGGTTAAGTCCACTTGACAGGTGAAATAATTAAGCCTTTGAGAATTGAAATGTCTTGTCCTAAATCATAAGTCATGTACTCAAGACGAACGCCCAGACCAACTTCAAAGCCAGGATGTTGCCCACTTTTCCACACTTACTTTTCTGTGATAGAGAGAAGTACAGGATGGGTGGCAGTGGAAACCCAAAGGAGGTAAACTTCCCCAGCCCAGGGCTGGAAGGATGAGGGGAAAGTTTGCCCTCATTAGGAATATAGGCAGCAAGCTCTTCAACTGTGTCTTCAAGAATGAGCCAAAGTGAATGGGGCTAGGGAACGGGAAGAGAATGCTTTTGAGAGAGGCCTACAGATTGTGTCTGACATACATATTCTGGTTTATCATTTCCATTTCCAAAGCAAAGAGGCTTCTCTGTGTTCAGATAGTGGCAGCCATCAAAACCATGCAGAAGTTACTTCTTAAAAGAGACCCCTCTCTCCCTCTCTTTTACCCCCTCTCTCTCTTTATCTCTGCTCAATTTCTGCTAAAGCCATTGGGAGTTTGGAGTCTACGTTCCCGGGTGATCCGAGGTGACAGGAAGACTCAGGCAGGCATCCCATCTGTATTCCAGAGAGCCTCGCTGCGGCATTACTTAAAAGGCATTCCGCAACCTTTTGCCGCTGCTTTCTTTAAAGGCTTCAGCAATCTCGATATTTTGGTTCAGTGTCACTATAAAAAAGCTTTATAATGCCAGCTCGGGAATTAGAAGATATATTTGTAATAAGAATTGCTAACCACTGTCAGCTGGTAGGCCCATGTCCATGCATGAAAATGATGCCATTAGCTTTCACGACTGTGGGCAAAATGTAAAGATCACGGATCATATAAGAGATTGAGGAGAGGAAGAGGGAAACATTAAAGAAAAAGAAAAACCAAACCCACACTCAGGGGATTTCTGGCAGTCAGAGTGATACAGCTAACACGTATGCATCTAGCCCTTTGATGAGGTAGAAAGCTCAATACTACTTGTCTTTGCAAATACTAATTTCTCCCCCTTTATTTTATCTAACAGCTTTCTCCAATAGTGTTGATGAATCACACAATTGCATTTTAATGAGGCGATGGAAAAGTCTGAGAGAGAGAGGAGGAGGAAGGAGAACAGAAGAGCAAAGGAAGAGAAGGGTGGTCCCTCAGCACCCAGGTCCATGTGCATTCAGGGCATTGAGTGACACCCAGCCTGCCCCTGATTGGAGAGCTGGGCCAGTCACATGGATAAGTGTGTACAAATCAGGTTGCAGAACCAGGTAAGCTGGAGCTGGGCTCCTGCTCTGCCATTTCCAGGCTATGCAAGCTTTGGCAGGTTGCAGGTATTATCAGGGCCTTCATTTCCAGCAGAATTAATTCCCTTCCAATGAGAGAAAACATGGCTGCCTATCTGCTAGGTTGTAGGTGTTGGGGATACTCTAGTGAATGCAATGGCCAAACATTCCTGCATTCATGATGCTTCCAGTTTGGGACAAGGACTTTCATAAACCCACTGGCAGGCACTTGGATGAGGATCACGTGGGACAACAGCCAAATGGTCAGGAGTGCAGCTGTCTGATTTCAGAGCACACACTCTTGAGCCCTAGACTAGGAAAGTCTTTTGTCTCCATCTAAGCTCACGAAACAAGCAGGCCCCAAATACCAAACTCATGGGCTTGGTGTCTTCTGGAAGTGTGTGTAGCTCATTAACGGTTTCCCATAAAGAGACAATGTTAATACCTATAACCTAATACAACAATGTAGTAATCATTATAACAGCAATCAACATCACCAGAACACTTTAATGAATTACTGATAACTTTCCATCACCTTAAAGAAAAACACATTTGAGCAGCCAATCCCATGAGAAAACAAAAGAGACACATAATGATTAATAACTAATCTATGGTAAATGGGTTATTGTGCTTGCGGGGAGGCCTCACACACTGAATGTTCAGATTTCTATCAAAACACCTGGTGCAAGTCAGCTGAGCCCTTAACTGGCTGGCAGCTGAATTTCAGAAATGAATATCAGACATGGATTTAGAAGATCAACTATGTCAGTCCTCCCTTCTAATTCACTCCTTCCTCTCTTACATCCATTCTCCTTTCATTCCTTAATCAGTCAGGGTTCACTCAGAAGACAGAAACCAACCCAGTTATTTGAACAGGGAGAATTTAATATAAAGAATTGTTCACTAGGAATAAAGTTGATAACTAGATAGTTGGAAAAGGGTAAAAAGAGAACCCTGCAGTATCATAGTTCAATCAACTGCAAGAAAAAGCTATCGCTCCTAGGGTTGGGAAAACAAAGAGAACAGGTTGGAATTATGACACTCTCAGGGAATGGCCCCATGGAGCCAGGACTCAGACTTCTGAGGAAAAAATGCCCACCAGCTCCAGCAGGCATCTGGAGAGGGGGGATGGGACCAGTTCTGCAAGTGTTGGAAAAACTGCAAAGTGCAATCAATTGTGTATGAAGAAACTGCTCCTGCCAGGGAGAAGCAAGGCCAGGGTGCCACCCACAGGTCCTCCCACAGGACTGAGAACTGACAAGAAGCCCAGAGAAAGCAATCATGTAGGAAGAAGGCTGCCACTATATATGTGCATTTATTTATTAGTTTTGTTTGTTTGTTTGTTGTTTTGTTTTTTGTTTTTTTAAGAGAAACAGGGTTTTGCTCTGTCACTGGGGCTAAAGCACAGTGGCTATTTACATGTGTAATCATTGTTCACTACAGCCTTAAACTCCTGGGCTCATGTGATCCTCCGACCTCAGCCTCTAGAGTAGCTGGGACTTCAGGTGTGAGCTGCCATGCCGACTAAATGGAAGAGAGCCGTTGTATTTCTTCCACCAAAAATATTCCCATCTCAAGTCTTACCTATCTCCCTAACAAATGAATGAATTTGAGCATCAGAAAACACAGGAAGTTTTGGTTTTCTCAGATACTTTACACTGTACCAAGACTCAAACCATAAATTAATATTGTTTTAAAATTGCAGGCATCTTATCTATGCTAGCACATCCATTATCTCATTCAGTTTTCCTCAAAGTTCCTGAAAATCAGGTATTATTATTTCCACTGTAGAGTGGGCAGTCCACTACCACCTACGGAGGATGAGTAGGTTGGTCGTCCAGAGTCACACCCAGACCCATCAGACCCAGGCCTGAAATCTTACAAACAGCACTCTCCTGGGAGGCTGCACCACTTTCCCACATTTATTCTGTTAGTATTCGCCATTTAGCAGTTATCATGGAGCTTCTACCACTTGCAATGCCCTAATGCCCTATATGTGGGGGATATGCCCAGAGCATAAGGGAAATAAGACACAGAGTGGTCCCCCAAAAAATCCCATTCCAGGGAGAGCATGAGACAGCTGACAAACTGCATCCCTGTTGCATGCACCATCTTCCATGGTGTGGTGGTCTAAAGAGATGCTCTAGGGAAAAAGTCTTGTCTCATCAAATGTGTTTGGAAATATGCTGCTAACTCAATCCTGTCTTGGAAGGTCACCATGCAGGGTGGCATAACAAAATCTCTGAAATAAAAAGAAATAAGCTGTAATGAGAAAAGATTTGGTTCAACCAAGTGTCTGGCTAGCTGACGTCATGAGTCTGGTTTGCACACAAAATTTATTAATATTCCATGGAAACAGTGTTTTGTATTGAACACTTGGGGATGCTGCTGTGAGGAATGAGGGGCTTTTATGGGGCAATAGGAATATGAGGAAATAGGGCACCGTTGTACTTCTCTTGAGCAGCCATAGGCCATGGCCTCTGAGCCTAGAGGCAGGGAGGAGGAGGAGGCCTGTGTGAAATGCTGGAGACCCAGGAGTTTACAGGAAGACAACTTCAGCTAATGTCAAAAGTGTAATTGGGAGTAGATGCCCAGCTCTCTAATGGGGAAAGCAGAGACAAGGAGACAGGAAGTACAGCTTGGAAAAGCTCACTAATTATCTCAGACAGCAGCTTTTTAACCTGATGCCCTTTGAAATGCTTACTATGTGGCATCTTCAAGTCTCTTCTTATGCAATGTGTAAAACTGGCACAGAATTAATATGCAGAACATATTTAAAAATCATACAAATCAATAAGGGGAAGACAAACGCCCAATACAGGAACAGGTATAAGAAAGGAACTAGCAAATCTCAAAAGAAAATTAAAGAAGGTCAATAAATATAAGAAAATATACTCATCTTGACAGTTCAGTAGAATGCAAATTAAAGCAAGATATCTGGTTTTTGTGGTTTTTTTTGCTTTTCATCAGATTGCAAGAAATTTTAAATTTGATGTTACTGAATTTTGTAGTAATGTAAAATGTTCTGGCCACATTGGAGAGCAACCTGGTATTTTCTGCTAAAATTTAAAATGTGCATACCCTCTGTTCCAGCAATTTCATTTCTTACTATCTATTGCAGATAAATGCACAGTGAGATGTAAAGCTGTTCACTGCAATACTGTTTGCAATAACCCCAACTTTGAAATAACCAAAGTCCTCATACTGCGCAATGCCAAGTAGCCATTAAAAATATTGATCTGACCCCGTCTCTACTAAAAATACAAAAAATTAGCCGGGCATAGTGGCAGGCGCCTGTAGTCCCAGCTACTCGAGAGGCTGAGGCAGGAGAATGGCGTGAACCTGGGAGGCTGAGCTTGCAGTGAGCCGAGATCACGCCACTGCACTCTAGCCTGGGCAACAGAGCAAGACTCCGTCTCAAAAAAAAAAAAAAAAATTGATCTGGCAGGGTGCAGTGGCTCACACCTGTAATCTCAGCACTTTGGGAGGCCAAGACAGGTGGAACACCTAAGGTCAGGAGTTCGAGACCAGCCTGACCAACATGATGAAACCCCATCTCTACTAAAAATACAAAAACTAGCCGGGTATGGTGGTGGGCACCTGTAATCCCAGCTACTCAGGAGGCTGAGGCAGGAGAATTGCTTGAACCCGGAAGGCAGAAGTTGCAGTGAGCCGAGACCGAGCCATTGCACTCCTGCCTGGGCAACAAAAGTGAAACTTCATCTCAAAAACAAAAACAAAAACAAAAAAACAATGATCTAGGTCTGTATGCACTAACAGTATATGCCATAAAAAGGTAACACATCATCATGTATAAAACCAAAACATGTATGTTTATCCACACAAAATGATAATTACATAAAAACAAGAGGAAAGATCTGAGAGGAAATACCTCAAACTGATGTCAGCAGGTGCCTCTGGGGATAGGGGCAGACTTGGGTTAGAAGGTCAATGTATTAGTCCATTTTCACACTCCTATAAAGTAGTACTTGAGACTGGGTAATTTATAACGGAAAGATGTTTAATTGACTCACAGTTCTGCATGGCTGGGGAAGCCTCAGGAAACTTACAATCATGACAGAAGCTGAAGAAGGAGCAAGTACCTTCTTCACAAGCCATAAGTGGCAGGGAAGACAGAGCAAGCAAGGGGAACTGCCAGTTATAAAATCATCAGATCTCACTCACTATCATGAGAACAGCATGGAGGAAACTGCCCCCATGATTCATTCACCTCCCACCAGGTCCCTTCCTTGACACATGGGGATTTATGGGAATTACAATTCGAGATGAGATTTGGGTAGGGACACAGAGCCAAACCATGTCAGTCAAGGCAGATCCAAGATTTATCTGTAGTGTTTGAAGTTTTACAATGAGACTGTGTTTATATGTTTCTTACATACTTAATTTTTTCTTTTCTTTTCTTTTCTTTTTTTTTTCTTTTTTTTTTTTTGGAGACAAGAGTTTTGCTCTTGTCCCCCAGGCTGGAGTGCAATGGCGCGATCTCAGCTCACTGCAACTTCCACCTCCCGGGTTCAAGCAATTCTCCTGCCTCAGCCTCCTGAGTATCTGGTATTACAGGCACCTGCCACCATGCCTGGCTAATTTTTGTATTTTTAGTAGAGATGGGGTTTCACCATGTTGTCCAGGCTGGTCTCGAACTCCTGACCTCAGGTGATCCACATGCCTCAGCCTCCCAAAGTGCTGGGATTACAGGCGTGAACTGCCAGGCCTGGCCCCTTAATTTTTAAATAAAAGCAATTTTATGTGAAATGATGAACAAGTACATGGTATGAAACAAAGACAGACATCACTTTCAGCTGACACAGAGCAAAGAGGGTAGAAACATCTATCAATGTATGGAATAACTTTTTTTTTTTTTTTTTTTTTGCAATGGAGTCTCACTCTGTCACCCAGGCTGGAGTGCTGCAGCATGATCTCAGCTCACTGCAACCTCTGTCTCCCAGGTTCAAGTGATTCTCCTGCCTCAGCCTCCCATGTAGCTAGGAGGGCACCCACCACCACACCTGGCTAATTTTTTATATTTTTGATACAGACGGGGTTTCACCATGTTGTCCAGGCTGGTCTCAAACTCCTGACCTCAGATGATCCACGATTTACACAAACCTCTTACAGACGGCAAAACTGACTTTTATTTATAGTGTCACTATCAGTCTATCTATTTAGCACTAACAGCTTCTGCATGTGGAAAGAAAATGGCTTTCCTAGAGCACCTGCTCTGCACCAAGCTCAGTGGAGAGCCCTTTGCAAGCAGTTGCTCATCAAGTCTTCACCACAATCTTATGAGGTCAACATTGCTAGGCTCTGTAGATAAGGAAGTATCCCAGAGCTTGTTTTGGACAGAGCCCGGTCTGAAATCCAGATGTGCTTGACGGTACATCACATGGTCTTTCCAAAACCACAACCCTCATATTGTTGAGCTATGCATAGGTGCCCATGTATATTTATCTACAACTTATCTACCTACTTACCATACCTACCTATTTATCATCTATCCATCTATCTAATTTCATAATCATAAGCAGTTGTGTTTATACTACTGGTTCCTAGTTAATGGTGATTTTGCCCCCCAAGGGACATTTAGCAAAATCTGGAGACATTTTTAAACATCAGAACTGAAGAGAGAGGGGTACTACTGGCATCTAGTGGGTAGAGGCCAGGGATGCTGTTAAACATTCTGCAATGCACCAGACAGCTCCTCACAACAAAGAGTTATTCAGTCCCAAATGTTAAAACTGCCAAGGTTGAGGAGTCCTGGTCAATACTTATAAGAATTGCTTAAAATTAGACACTTTCGAGATGGGCTGGCAAGGTCAGTGTAAAATGCCCAACTTCTGTTTTGTCTCTGAACCCAGATTTAGCTAGCTCCCACAACCAGATAATATATGACAAAGAAAAATTATTGCTTACTGCCCTTTGGACAAAAGTCGGTCAAGCTTTTTCTGTAGCTTCTTGGAAAACCAAATAGGAGAGCCCAACTAGCAGAGTCCAACAGAGTAAAAGATAATGCAGCTGATGCCAATGTGAAGGTTAAGGAACAGCTGAAAACAGCCTCTTTGATTTTTCTCATCCAGGGAAAAGCTTATGGAAGTCCCAGCCCATTACATCAGGAAAGTATGAAGAATATTAAGAAGTAAACAGAAATAGCCAATTTTGCATTTGGATCCTATCTTTTTTTTTTTTCTGATCAGATAGCATTTTGACTTGAAGATGTGTTTGGCTAAGTCATCTTTCTGAGTATTTATCAACTCTCAGTATAAATTCTTCCCATTTTGTGTCTTTTCAAGTCTATATCTATTAGTGAAAAGGTGACAGTGATAATTAAAATCTAATTCTATCCCTGCATACATAAAAAAAACAGAATATGATCTCCTGTAAAGCTCTCAGAAATAATAAAGTCTCCATATCTGCCAAGAATAACAGTGATTTTAAATAGATAAGGCGTGGAGAAGACACACCCAGAAATGCAGGGAAATTGTTGTTTTTCAAGAAGCTGCTTTAAAATGCAGTAATTGATTGACCTACTGTTGGAGACAGTTTCCCCATAGTTAATAGCCACTGTTCCCAGACAAGGGAAAGACAGAATCCTTCCATTTGAAAACAGTCTCCACTAAAACAAAATGATGGAAGAGATAACCATGTTGTCTGGTATGTGCACCATAACCAGATGGGGTTTCACAAGTTGCTGTTACTCTTTTACCCCAGTGAGGGGAACATGCTATCAGTGGTCCTGTAAAAAGTGCATCTGTGCTTTACTGAGTCTGCCACATCTGTTAGTCAGTGGATTGGTGTGTACCCAGAGAGTACTTCCTCTTGGGGATTGGTGTCTTGTCCCAGGGCAGGCTGCATGGTACTGGGGCCAACCCTTGTTTTCCCTCTTTGGCTAATGGGTAAAATAGGAAAGGGAATTCTCTGTGCCCCGCTCTTTCCCCTTACCATCCCTGTAACTTGTAGGCACAATGATGCAAGAGAGATAGCAGTTGGGTCAAAGTCAGGGCTTCTCCAGACTTTCATAGTCCTCTTCCTTAGAGCTGTTCATCACTTCTTGCCCCTGCCCAAGTCCACCCCTTGCTCTCCTCTCTCCTGCCTCTATTCTGGAAGCTTGACCTGCATGGACTGCATCAAAGGACTCCCTTGGCTCATCATATCTCTTTGCATGTGGCCAATGCAGAGCCCCAGCCAGAGACTCTAGAGAGGAAGAAGAATGAGATCAGGGTACTTAGCCTTCAACTTCTTCCCTACAGGTTTCTGTGACAGGACTAAACCTGCTAAAACCTGACAGGACTCCTGCCATGGCATCCCTCTCCTTCCAGCACCATTCTCTCCTTCCAGGTGCTTGTGACCTGCTTCTCTCTGCCCTTATTGGCCTAGACATAATAATGCCTCCTCCACTGTTCCTAGTATCTGGGTGCGGCACTGTCCCTTGTGAGTGCCCTACACCCTACTCGCTGTTTTATAAACATTCCTCCAGGTGTGCAATTTGAGTGTGCCATCCACTTCCCACTAGGTCCAGACTGGTTTTCCCATGTCTTTCTCAACTTGATGTTATCAAGTGGGTTTGCTTGGCCTTAGTCTTGGAGCACCTTGCAAGCAATTTCACTTCAAAAGCCTTTCCACTCCCAAAGTGCACTCAGGACCGATGCATTATCTAAAGTCATTGTCCCAGCCTTCTCTCTGCAGTGGGAAAGAGAACTACAAACGAGGGGAAAGAGAAGCTAGAACATAACCCACGTTGTTCATGTGGCAGGTGAGAGAGTGGAGAAAAACAAAGTAGACCTGAGTGAGGCAGTGAATTTTGACTCCCTGCTCTGCATCAGATTGAGACAAATTCGTGCAAAGAGTGAGTTATTTGTCAAAGGGTTTCTTCAATGTGTCTTTCTCATGGAGTTGGGAGTTGAATGCAAAGCTCTCCAAACTCCCCACTAATTTAAAATCCAAACTCTGTGCACGATATCCCTTGAGCCAGGATTCATGGCTCAGAGTTAAGTTGACTTTCCATCTCCCAGTCCCCAGAGAGACAAACTAACTAGTTATGTTTATGTGTCTGTCTGTTTTGTTTTATTTTCTCTTCAGTCTTTGGCCGAGGCATGAAAACAAAAGCTTTTTCTCTTTTACTTAGGGCAGATGCTGAATCATGGTGGATCCTTATATCCAAATTTCTCTCAAGAAAGAAGTAATGCATGTATTTTGGTTCTTTTTATTTTCCCCCATCTCCCTCCCTCACCTCCTCCTCCTGCTCCCTCTCCTCCTCCTCCTGCTCCCTCTCCTCCTCCTTATCCCTCTCCTATTCCTCTTCCCACTTCTCCACCCCTTCCCTTTCCTCCTCCTCTTGCACT
Organism: Homo sapiens; assembly: GCF_000001405.40. NCBI lineage: Eukaryota > Metazoa > Chordata > Mammalia > Primates > Hominidae > Homo > Homo sapiens. Next base: position 65,797,023 of record NC_000016.10, read on the forward strand.
GTCTCCCCTCCTTCTCATCGTCTTTCTTTTTCTCCTCTCTTTCCTCCTCCTCCTCCTTCTCCTCTTTCTTCATTGTGCGAAGAAAGTCAATGATATGACCCCAATGATACCCTACTACCCAATAAGCCACTAAATCAAAGCAATAAAATGCATGAGTCCAGGAGCAACTTCAGTCTCTCCTGCTATTCAATAGATCAGGCTATTTTATTTAAAAGGTATAACTCTCATGCATCTGAATTTGAGCTACAAAAAAAAACTGTCCATAAAGGGACATGCCAATTCTTGGGTTGTCAGAGAGCAAGTGATCGTCCCACAAGCAGATCCTCAGCCCACACTGTGCAGTTTTAGAGAGCAAGCCGATTGAAACACAGTTGGGAAGTCCCCCACATAAACAGAATCAAGCAGCCTGGCTTCAGGAGGCTGTTCCACTGCAGTAACCGACATGTCCTCTGCAGAAGTCCTCCTACTCCTCCTCCCACTGTGGCTATTCTGTATAAACTACATTTCAAGGCATGGTAACAACTGAAGAGTGATGTGCCACCAGCATCCCTAAAACTGCTTTTAGCTGAAGGAAAGGAAGCTTGGAAGGCAGTAAGCCCAGGTTTTCCCCGGATTCAAGAACAATTAGGACTTGGGTTGGAGGGGTCATTTCAGCTTCCAGGAATGTTTTTTTAAAATGTCCTACTGATATGGGAGGGGGGCAGGGAAGTGCTGGGTAGAGAAGGGTGGGGTCCTTGGTGAGGGCTCCACCCTCAGGCCTGTGCCCACAGACCTACATGAGGATGAGCATTTCTGTTTTTGCACCCAAAAAGTTGCCTTTTGACCCACCACACCCCCCATCCTGTGCCCATATAAGCCCAAGACCTTAAGTAGACACACACAAGTGGCTGGGCATCGGGAGGAACACACCAGCAGAAGAACACACAGACATGCCAGCTGGCCATCGATGATGGAACAACATGAATGCCAAGTAAATTCGGCTGGGGATGGTCAGAGGAGAGTCTGGCTGCTGAGACACCTGACTCCAGGGGAAGGCCACCTTCCCATTCCATCCCCCTTCTGGCTCCCCATCCATCTGCTGAGAGCTACTTCCACCATTCAATGAAACACTGCACTTATTCTCCATGCCCACATGTGATCCGGTTTTTCCAGTACACCAGGGCAAGCACCCCAGGTACAGAAAGCTCTCTGTCCTTGCGATAAGGCAGAGGGTCTAATTTAACTGATTTACACAAACCACTTACAGACAGCAAAACTGAAAGAGCACATTGTAACACACGCCCAGTGGGGCTTTGGGAACTGTAAACACTTAACTGTAGACACTGCTGTGGGGTTGTAGCCCACATTCCCCATGATCTGCCCATCTGCATGCTCCCCCTAGGAGTTTGAGCAGCGGCGCACCCAATAATCCAGCCACACCCCTGTCCCAAGCCCTGTGAGGAGGATAAGGGAAAACTCCTCCCACGTCACTACTTTAATATCTAGTCCTTCCAACTATTGCTACAAACTGAGACATTAGTTACTAGGGCTGTTACAACAGTCACCCCTATCTTTGTGAACTATTTCAAAAGAAACCCAATGGCCTTACCATATTGGTATTCCACAGAACACCTGCAAAGCTCTCAAGCAAACATGTGCCTCAGTCAATACTCATTAAGATGATTTTACACACAGGAACACCTAAATAACTAAATCAATCTATTGTGTAGAAGGAGAGGGCATCATGATGGAGAAACCAAGAAAAATCAGGGGAGGAGTTAAAATGAGGATCATAATGTCTCTTAACTGACTCTCAAAGAAAAATTCTTCATGGCCTTATGCAGCATCATTTTAAAGATTCAGTGTCTGTTGGCAATTATTTTTCACATACATCAAATAAAATTAGTTGGTTGCTTTTCTAGTGCATAGCTGACTAGAAGATGTACATTTAGTGGGTAAAGCTTGAAGGGAAAAAAAGAGGGGCAGACCTAGCTCAGAAAGAAATTATGGGGGTTAGGAGAGTAGGTGAGAGTAGGTAAGATAATTTTTAAGAATGACTCAAAAACTGTGCAGCAGGCTGGAGCACTTATGCAAAGAAGCAAAAGTCTACATATATTCAGAAGTTTCTAAAGAAATATATTCCTTTCCTGTATATTGGAGCAGGGTAAAAAATGGGAAATTAAAACAAGAATCCTAAATTATCAAAAATAAAATAAAATAAATATGTTCCAAATTTCCAAAGAAACATATTGCTTTCCTATACATTGGAGAAGAGTGAAAAAATGGAAATTAAAAGGAGAATCCCAAATTACCACAAAAAAAGAATAAAATAAATATGTTCCAGATCCTCTAGTAAGAAAGTATAGAAGACTACAATATGTCTTTATCATATTCCTCCCCTCCATATCAATTCCAGTTTCTGTGATATTGGTTCTATTCTTTGTTACCTCTAATGCAAATCTGAAATTTCACCATGACTTTTTGAAAACTCTTATCTTCTGTTCTTATCCCAACAGGCTCTCTTTGTATCTCTGCATCCACCTTAGTTTCTTGCCTCTCCTGTACCACCCATGATTTTGTTTCAAACTGGCTGTTTTTGACATGCAAGTGGGAAGTCTTATATTTGGAAAATATAATTTCCAGAACTTTAATTTTTTCTTTAAATCTCCAGAGCAATGGTTTGTTTTGTTTTGTTTTTCTATTAAGTACAGATTCCCATTTTGGTGCTATTGATTTATGTATTTAACTCATTCAAAATTACAAGGAATAAAACTAAGCTCTGTGCTTTGTAAGAGCCAGGATAAATAGTGTCCCTAGTCATCACCCAGTTTCCCTGGAATACTGGTCACAGTTTTTCACCTGATGGGCTTGGGTTTAAGCTTCTCCTGCTCCAATGAATGGATTCTCTGCCATTTCTTTTCATGCAAGAAAATAATCCAGAATAAAACACCTTTTGCCATTACTTTTATTTCCGCATCTCTCTGGGTTATTATTTGCATGCCTTTGGAAGTAAGTAGTAATAAGGAAGTTAACTGAAACCCAAGCAATGAGCAGGGCTCTGGAACTGTTGGGTTTCTCATGAATTTCTCACAGTGTTTGTGGATGGTTACCTGTTATTCTCATCAGCTGAAACTACGGGGACTTCGAGTTAAGGTTAGACGGTGAACTTCTCAAAGTTGTGTGTGTGTGTGTGTGTGTGTGTGTGTGTGTGTGTGTGCACACGAGAGAAAGATGGAGAGAGAGAGAATATGAAAATGTATATATTCATGCACACGAACATATGCATGAGCACATGAAGCCCTATGCGGAAAAGAGAAAGAAACAGGGTGCTTGTTAAATGCAGAGACTGTTTTTCCTCTAGGTTTGCTAAGCTATATGGCCTGTCTGGTTTTGAGAACATGCTTCTCAATCCATTCCATCAACCTGGCAGCATAAGATCCTACACGCTTCTCTTAACTTTATGCTGTTTTCCTAGTTTGTCTTTTTGCATCTTCAAAGGCATATCAGTCATAAATAGTCTGTGGCATTACTAACTTATTCATATTTCACGTACCTGGAAGAATGTATTAATTATAGAAAGTATCTGATTTTCAATAGCTTAAGAGAAACTTTCAATGAAATTGCCTGCCATATGAGACAGTACATTTTAATTTTCTTCTGTGGTTACTGGTCTGTTCAATTAATTAGTTGTTTTGCTTTGCATTGTTTTGAGTCCATTTCAATTATTTCTATTTCTCCCTTAGATAATTAACTTTATCAATGATTTTGTCAATGTATTAACCTAGAGTTGGCCATTTTAAGTATATTATCTTCTTTATAAATTATCTGTATATCTGTAATTATTTGGTCTCTCTTATTTCTCATTTTTCTTAAGGGTAAATGGTGATTCTGTATTTTTTTTTTCATTAGATTACCAGAAGTTGATCTAGTTGATCTACTTTATTTACTTTTGAGACATGGGGAGGGTATTAGTTTGGACATAACTTCCTGGAATAATTTATCTATTCCATTTTCTAATTATTTTCTATTTCAATTTATTTCTGTTCTTATCTTCATAATTTGCATTTACCTAGTTCCCCACATTTGGAGTCTCAGTCTAGTATCTTAAATGGATTGAATAATTTAATGTTATTATTATTTCTTGTTTAATTAAGAATTGACTTACTGTTATGGGCTTGCCTAGGAATATAGCTTTGTCAGTATAACATGAGTTTATGATGAAATTTTCTTAGTTTATTTCTAAATAATCAGTAATTTAGAGCCTATTATTCTAATTATTTAGAAATTTTAATTTTCATTATTATTTGTTTTTACTTGGATTTTTAATTTGTATTTAATTGACATTAAATTTGAAGAGTTTGTCTTATAGTCTTTATTTTAAAAGATTTAAAACTTTATTGTGCTAATTTGCAATTGCAAAAATATGAAACCAACCTAAATGCCCATCAATCAATGAATGGATAAAGAAAATGTGGTATATATACACCATGGAATACTACTCAGCCATAAAAAGGAATGAAATAATGGTATTTGCAGCAACTTAGGTGGAGTTGGAGACCATTCTTTTTTTTTTTTTTTTTTAACTGGAGATCATTATTCTACATGAAGTGACTCAGGAATGGAAAACCAAATGTTGTACATTCTCAATTATAAATAGAAGCTAAGCTATGAGAATGCAAACACATAAAAATTATGTACTGGATTTTGGGTACTAAGAGGGGAAGGGTAGGAGGGTCTGAGGGATAGAAGACTACACGTTGGGTACAGTATACACTGCTCGGGTGACCTGTATGCCAAAATCTCAGAAATCACCACTAAAGAACTTATCTATGTAACCAAAAACTACCTGTTCCCCAAAAGCTATTTGAAATAAAATAAAATAAAATAAAAATTTAAAAATAAAGTATATACTTAAAAGAAGAAAAAAATAAAACTTTATTGGGCTTATTTTTGTGGCCTAGAATAAGGGAAAAATTTTTATATCTTTCATGAAAGCTTAAAGAACATATTTTAAAATATTCATATTTTTATTAATTATTTTATTTAAATGTATGTATGATACATTTATGTATTTTGGTCTATTTTAACTGCCAAGGGTAAGAGAGGTGTGTTACTTTCTCCCAAAGCAAACGTGTTTCTATAAATTTCCCACTTTATTTCTAACATTTTTAGTTTTATATATTTTGATGTTATGTTATTCAGCAAATAAATTTTCATGGCATTTTATCTTCACTGTGGATCGTAAAGTGGCACTCTTTGTCTCCTTTAATAGTATTTGGTCTGGAGTAAAATTTGTCTGAACTAACATTGCCAGCCCTGCTTTCATTTCCCCGTTAATATTTTTAACTAGTTTTTCAACTTTGTCTTTTCATTTTGTGTGGCATTTATGACATTGAGGTAGAGATGTAGTGTTGAACAGAATAAGAAAAGTTTGGCCTTTTTGATTGTTGGGAAATATCATTAATTATACAGAATCTTTAAAAATTATCTGAAAAGTGCCCAGTGGAAACCTTTTGTTGGCAGACACTACAACATCTCTGTGTGGCTTCCTCGGGGAGGCAGAGGTGTGAATTGTCAGCCCCTGGCCTCATCTCACTCCTGGCTATGTGCCTTGGCTAAATCAAGCCTCTAGGCTAGAGAGTCAGTTTTGGTACTCAGAATACAAGTAAAACAAGACAGGTAAGTATACTATGCAGCCATAAAAAATGATGAGTTCATGTCCTTTGTAGGGACATGGATGAAATAGGAAATCATCATTCTCAGTAAACTATCGCAAGAACAAAAAACCAAACACTGCATATTCTCACTCATAGGTGGGAATTGAACAACGAGATCACATGGACACAGGAAGGGGAATATCACACTCTGGGGACTGTTGTGGGGTGGGGGGAGGGGGGAGGGATAGCATTGGGAGATATACCTAATGCTAGATGACGAGTTAGTGGGTGCAGCGCACCAGCATGGCACATATATACATATGTAACTAATATGTAACTAATCTGCACATTGTGCACATGTACCCTAAAACTTAAAGTATAATAAAAAAAAAGATGTAACTACTAGGTAAAATCTAGATGTTTACAGTAGCGATATTATCAGGTACTTTTCCATGTGTACCTGATAGATACCCACTGCCATTTTCTCCTGTACTCTCAAAATAACAGTAGAGTGATATCAGAGTTGTGTTGTACGGGGAATAAAATTGCAGAAAACTGGAGAAACTCATATTATAGATTTTAGGTGTTATCCTCTCTGCCAAGGCAGGCTTAGACAGGGACCTTGTCTACAGTGCCATGGGAGGTGTCAGGCATCAATGTTATACGTGAAGAGATCTGCTCTAAGCTCTTTGCATGTACTTAAAATCTCTGCACCTCAATGTCTTCATCTGTAAAATAAGACTACATGAAGCAATAAAGTGCTTAGAGCAAATCTCTTGGTATGCAGTAGCTGCAGGCAGGGGTTAGCTAACATTATTACTGACTTGACCATCTTGTTTCATATCTGCTTTGTATACTGATTTGCTATTTCTTCTCTTATTTTGTTTATTTATTATTTGTATTTATTATTTTGGTCTGCATTTTGCTTTTGCTTATTTTTTCCCAGTAGTTGGGAAGGAATCTTTTCAAAATTTTACTTTGGCTTCATTTTACATCTTTGAATCGTTTTTTCTCTGGTTTTCAAGATTTGATGTCAACTCTCCTCCCCTTTATAAGATGAGCAATTTATTGTGTTTATGTTTTTCATGCCTCTCTCTAAACCCATTCTCTATTCTATTAGCACTGCATAATTGAGAACTATCTCTTGAGAATTATATTGACATTTGCATTCAAATTGGAAGGGTATTTACAGTTTTTGACTTAAGATCAATTGTTTTCTCAAAATCACTTTTAATACCATGGTTTCCCCCATTCTTGAGTCATTCATCCCAGTCACTCCTAGTAGTATGTAGACCACATTCAAGTTCTTTCTCCCACAAATAAGAGTTTAAGTATTTTTTTGTTTTATTTTGTTTTCGTGTCCTTTATTTGCTTTTTTTTTTTTTAACCTTTACCCACAAGTGGCCATTTTGCTGATGACAATGTTCTTGGGTTGCACACTTTTCCCTGAAAATACTGTACAAGTTGCCCCATTTTCTGGCATTTACTACTTTCTTCTAGGTGTGAATCCTTTTTTCCTTATCTTTTCTTAAAATACGGTAGGAATTTTTGATCTCCATATTTAGATCTTTTCAGCTTCAGAAAATTGTATCTAATTATACCCTTGATGATTGTTTTCTTTCACTCGCTGTCTTTTAATCTTTAGAAACATCTACAATTTATGTGTATTGTATCAGTTCTCCATCTCCCTGTTCCTTTTATCATCTTTTATTTTGTATTCCTCTGATGTCTGATGCTCAATAAATATTTCTTTTAGTACGACAGAAAAGAATGAAGGAGAGAAAGAAGAAAGGAAGGAAGGAAGGAAGGAAGGAAGGAAGGCAGGAATCTGGGGACATGTTTTCAAGTTTATCCTACTCAGCTTTGATTTAACTTTCTGATCATTTCTGTCTTAACTATGGACAGTTAGCGTTTTGCCTCCTATGGCCGAATGGTAAGTTTCGTGCAACCTTTTCTTGTACCAGGCAGCTCCATTTATTTTTTTATATCCATCTGTGCTGTGGTTGTTGTTTTCAAAATGGTTTTTAAACAGTGCTTTAGGGCCTCAACTTTTGGTATCTTACCAAGCATTCTACATGCTCTTCCCACACCCAATGTATACAATAAATCATTTTCAGTGTAATGTTCTTTTTATTTTTGTTCTATAGTATTTCCCAGTCACCCCCATTGACTTCTATTTTTTGATAGACACTCCCAGGTGATAACACATGAAATTGTTGTAACAGATGCCTCTACTCAGGCACTGCTAGAGCAAGGTGGGAATCATCTCCTAATCTATCTGTTTGGTTCTCTGACACTTTAAACCAATGACTCAATGTTAACATAGAAATAGCCTTTGTTGCATGCACTGTTTCCAGGGACCTTCCTGTCCCATCCCCAACACAGCCCTCTCCCTGTTATGAGTTCTGGCCTTGGAGATACAGGGGGTTCTCCCCACCCTCACTGCATGCTTTTATTTCCTATCAGTGGATGTCAGTGAGATAGAACAAGACGCAGGAGTCAACTGCCCTTTCAAGAACAAGAGATGCTTTAAATAAATAACTAACTACTTTTATGATTGGTATAAAACCCAAGTCTCTGGGACAGATGGAGACAGTGTGACAGTGTATGTGTGTGCATGTATGGGTATGAGATGAAGAGAGGAACACATTTTCATCCTACATTCTCTCATGGGTGAAAAATATTGTTCTGTCGTCTATTGTTTTTCTTTTTTCTTTCTTTCTTCCTTTTTTTTTGAGATGGGATTTCACTCTAACTCAGACTGGAGTGCAGTAGCACAATCACAACTCACTGCAGCCTCAACCTCCCAGGTTCAAGCCTCTTCCCAAGTAGCTGGGACTACAGGTGCACACCACCACACACAGCTATTTTTTTAAATTATTTTTCTAGAGATGGGGTTCTCACCATGCTGTCCAGGCTGGTCTCAAACTCCTGTGCTCTTCCTCCTGCCTTGGCCTCCCAAAGTGCTGGGATTATAGGCATAAGCCACCTCGCCTAGACACCACTGCCTCTTCCTCCTCCTCTTCCTCCTCCTTTTTCTCCTCCTCCTCTTCCTGCTGCTCTTCTTCTTCTCCTCCTCCTCCTCTTCTTCTTCTTCCTTCTCTTCTTCTTCTTCTCCTCCTCCTCCTCTTCTTCCTTCTCTTCTTCTTCTCCTCCTCCTCCTCTTCTTCCTTCTCTTCTTCTTCTTCTCCTCCTCCTCTTCTTCTTCTTCCTTCTCTTCTTCTCCTCCTCTTCTTCTTCCTTCTCTTCTTCTTCTCCTCCTCCTCCTCTTCTTCTTCTTCCTTCTCTTCTTCTCCTCCTCCTCTTCTTCTTCTTCCTTCTCTTCTTCTTCTTCTCCTCCTCCTCTTCTTCTTCCTTCTCTTCTTCTTCTCCTCTTCTTCTTCCTTCTCTTCTTCTTCTCCTCCTCCTCCTCTTCTTCTTCTTCCTTCTCTTCTTCTTCTCCTCCTCCTCTTCTTCTTCTTCCTTCTCTTCTTTTTCTTCTCCTCCTCCTCCTCTTCTTCTTCCTTCTCTTCTTCTTCTCCTCCTCCTCCTCTTCTTCTTCTTCCTTCTCTTCTTCTTCTTCTCCTCCTCCTCTTCTTCTTCTTCCTTCTCTTCTTCTTCTCCTCCTCCTCCTCTTCTTCTTCTTCCTTCTCTTCTTCTTCTCCTCCTCCTCCTCCTCCTCTTCTTCTTTCTTTCTTCTTCCTCTTCCTCTTCTTTGGAAAAGGAGTGGAATTTGTAGTTCTGCTGCTAAGACATTACTTTTTACTTTTATTCTTTGTTAACTTCCCATTTTGAAAAATAATCACTTCTTCCTAAAAACCCTTCACAGCACCACACCCAAAGGCAATCAAAGAAACATTCCAACAATTCAAGGGGACAGAAATAAGAATGAACAGCTCACAGCAAACCAGAGAGGTGCGGTGGAACATGTTGGGGGAAAGCAGAATGCCCTTTAAACATGCCTTATAACAACTCAATCATTCACATTTTTAAAATTAAACAATTTCTAGGAACAGAAACCTAGAAAATCCTGCAGCTCACAATCATGGGCCTGACTCATGGAATTGTTATCTTGGGCAAATCTATATGCATCCAGAATTGTATAGAAAGAACTTGGTTGACAAAAAAAAAAAAAAAAACACCCATCTAAGTAAAAACAAACAAACAATCCTCTATAAGCTGAACATTTTACTATGTCCAAGTTAGTAAAAAGTGGAGGCTCTCATTATAGTTCTGCTTTGTAATATTCAAAGGTTACATAAATTATGGGTAAGCCAACTGTTTAAAAAAATCTCTATAAAGTTGTCATTTAAGATTACGTTCAACCATACTAACCCCATCTTTTGATTACCTTCATTAAATCCCAAATTAGATCCTACCTTTCACTCACAGCTCACACGCCACCTGTTCTGTAATTACAGATAACCGAATCAAGCCTAAACCAATGGGATTCTGAGACCCAACAAGGCCAGAGTAGATAAAAGACCTACCACCCACCTCACAGAAGAGGCCTCTTTGCGTACGCATTCTGGGATGAGAGTGCTAAATTTTAAACATTATTAGACATAATTAGGAGTGCCTTTTTATTTTTTAAACATATTAATATGAGCTTTATAACATACAACATTTTGCATCTGTTTTTTCACTTAATGTGATATAACTTGCAAATATCTCCATATTACATGGCCATGATAAGCCATCATTTAAATAGCTGTATGATACCTCACACAATGCATACACCATCATCTATTTCTTCCATCACCGGAGATCTAGAATGAGAAAGTTACTTTGCAAAATCCCAAGGTGAAATATTTCTCTGGAAAAGTTTAATGATTCAGGCCCAGGGTTTAGACTTTTTGATAACGCATAAAGACAGATGTTTCCCATTGAGAAAGGAAATGTGCCATTCAGAGTTCTGTTTCTTGTTGCTCTTCTTGTTTTTGTTTTTAGCACAACTAACCAACTTTCTGTTCTTCTGTTTATATAAAGTAGTTACTTATAAACTATAGCTACTTAGTTATATAGGCAGCTACTTTATATAAAGATGCCAGGGATTGAGTACCACTTCAGAAAGGAGTGGGGAATAATAAAAACTATGAGCCCAGTCAAGCATGCTTTTCCTGTTACTAGTTGTTGCACGTTTTGATTCCTAACTCATAGTAAGAATGCTTTTTGGTCCTAGGAGTTGGCTGGAGAGATTGAGGACATTTGGGATAGAAGAGGAAGGCTCTAACCAGAGACCACTAGGTCTCCTCTTTCCAAAACAACAATAAATGATGATTATTCTCAATCATATATGATTTATGTGAAGTTTGGCAATTTCTGGGAAAAAATCAATAAAGAAAAAAGATGTGCAGCCATGTGAAATACCTCTGGTTAGGCTTTTTTAGAATGACTAAATTCAAGATACAGATGTGAGTATGTGTGACTGTGTGTGCACGACAGAGATGGAGGGGAAGAAAGGAGACAGGAAGAGAAAGAGAGTGGAGAAGAGAGGAAGAAAGAGAGAAAGAGAGAGACAGACAGAGGTAGAAAGAGAGACAGGGAAACAGAAAGAAAGAGAGAAAGAGAGAACACAATATGGTGTGTTCTGTAGTTCCATGCAAGGGAGGAGGTGCTGGCAGTGAGAACCACCTGCTCTGACAAGGAGTATTTCAATCACTGACATCGTTGTAAAAAATCACTGTGCTCTGACAAGGAGTATTTCATCACTGACATCATTGTAAAAGTCAGTTGTGTTATTACTTTCACCTTCTCTGTAGACAACACACCCACTATGGCCTTCATTCAGGACAGACCACTTCCATTTATCCAACTCTCGTATGCCACTGGCTCCCACATATAGTACCTGATCCCTACAAAACAAAATCAGCTGGGGTAGTTGTTACTAACGCCATTGTAAGAAGGAGGAACATGAGACAGAATTTAAATGACTTGCCCTTAGCCATACAGCTAATGAGAGGTCAAGTCAGGATTTGAACTCAGAACATACTAATTCAAAAGCGTATATTCTGCCAAATATGCTAGCTCCATAAAGATGGCAATAGAGCTTTTATTCGAAGAGAAAAAGAGGAGAAGCAAGAAGAATCAGAGGTTATATATATATAGGGAAAACTACAGAGCGGCTGCTTTTACGTTTTTTGTTCTGAGATCTTTCCCTTCATATCTCATTATGCATTTATTTTATATTATGTTATTTTGGCTACCATCTGTTATGAGCTGAGTTGTGTCCTCCCAAAATTCCTATGCTGAAGCCCTAACCCCCAGTACCTCAGAGGATAACTGTATTTGGAGATAAGGCCTTTAAAGAGGTAATTAAGGTAAAATGAGGCCATATGGCTGGGCCCTAATCCAATGTGACTGATGTTTCTATAAGAAGAGGAAATTTGGACACGGATAGTGCAGAAGGAAGACCATGTGAGGACACAGGGAGAAGGAAGCCATCTACACGCCAAGGGGAGAGGCCTCAGAAGAAACAGCGCTGCCGATGCCTTGATCTCAAACTTCCTGCCTCCAGTACTTTGAGAAAATAAATCTGTTGTTTAAGCCACCCAGTCTGTGGTATTTTGTTGTTGCAGCCCTAAGAAACTCATCCACCAACATTAGACTTACACAGGGCTGCACTTCTTGGGGTCTGCCCCACACTGAGACCCTTCAAAATCACTCATCCAGGGTAACCCATTAGTTGTTTGTTTGTCTGTTTGTTTGTTTGTTTGTTTGTTTTTTGAGGCAGAGTTTCGCTCTTGTTGCTCAGGCTGGACTGCAATGGCATGATCTCAGCTCAATGCAACCTCTGCCTCCCCAGTTCAAGTGATTCTCCTGCCTCAGCCTCCTGAGTAGCTGGGGTTACAGGAATGCACCACCACGCCTGGCTAATTTTTGTATTTTCAGTGCAGATTGGGTTTCGTCATGTTGGCCAGGCTGGTCTCAAACTCCTGACCTCAGGTGATCTGCCCACCTCGGCCTCCCAAAGTGCTGGGATTACAGGCATGAGCCACCTCGCCTAGCCTAGCTGTTCTTTTAGTGCCGCAAGAGCAGGTCAACAGGGCCAAGCCCAGGATGTTATCTGTACCCAAGGCAGACATGGGGCTGGCCCCAAATCGACACTCCTCTAAGGGCTCCACCCCACCTTTCTCTTTTGTCTTTGTCAAGTGGATATTCGCCATAAATTTGTAGTAAAACATACACTGGCTGCCGTTGGCAGAGATGAGCTCTCAGTTTGGGAGCTACTGAATCAGGTCCTTAACCAAATATGAAATGACAGAACTGTTTCCAGCGGAGGATTAATTGAGCCAACTCAAGGCAAACATGACGTATTTTGGCATTGCTTTTGACAGATGGAAATAAAACAAACATTAGCAACCGGATTGCAGCTAACAATATGCAAAATTAAAGAAGGTACCTTTTTAACTTTGTCTGGGAGCCCACTGGCTTTTCTTATAAAATCTGCAGCAGGAAAAAAAGACAGAGCTGTTAATCTCGTTATCCAACCAGTTAGCACATGCAAACAAGGGGAATTAAAAGTCTTTGCATTCAGGGGAGGAAACAGATATTTGACACATGTATTTATTAAGGAGACTGGACTGGAAAATAGCACTGCTGTATTAATCAGAAATGGTCTAGAAAATACTTAAATAATACAACAGAATGTGCACAGACAGCATAAGCTGCTTACAAATGGAAGCCTGAGGTCTGAGTATTTTTATTTAAAGGTTAAATTTTCAATTAATTTTGTTTTCAGCTTGCTGCCATCCTTTCAAAGCATCACTGTTAATTGCTATAAAACAGTGTCTCCCCCGTTTGAATTCTGGACATGAAGACCTGAAGCTGTCAGCCATCTAATGGACATCAGGGTATTGGAGCAGAAATCAAAATTACTGTGTAAAAGCTGAACCAAAATGTCAGACTCTGAGAAGCCAGCGGATCAGTTAAATGTCCCTTTTTTCATGTGTTGAGTGTCTTAATCTGGATGTGCCACTGTAACAAAATACCCCAAGACTGGGTAATTTATAATAATTTAAAAGGACTGATTTCTAACACAATAATAATAGAAAAAAATGGAATAATAGAAATGTCTTATTTATTTCTATGACTAAGTTGAAGATCAAGGTGCTGGCAGGTTCCATGTCTGGTGAGGACCAGGACTCTGCTTCCAAGATGGGGCCTTAAGCACCATGTCCTCATGTGACAGAGGAAATAGAAGAAGATGAACCCACTCCTTCAGTCTCCTTTATAAGGGCCCTAATCCTATCTCGGAGTTCTGCTCTCATGATTTCACTGCCTCCTAAAGGCCCCCCTCTCAATGCTACCACACTGGCAGTTGAGTTTCCACATACAAAATTTTGGGGACACACTCAGACCATAGTGCTCGGTTTCTCAGAAGTAAGTTCCAGCCCATCATGGGAAAGTGCAAATAGATACATTCTATTATTAGAGTTTCCAGATAACCCAACTTCAGCGGGCTTGTGGCAGGCCAGCGTCTATATGCATACTTACTCAGTGGGTCGGCAGAGGAGAAGAAACCCATCGCCTCCTTTACAATAGAACTGTATACCTGGGAAACCATGTCCCTGGCTGTGAGTGAGCTTATCAACTTCTGCTGGGTTAACTGGCATTTCAGGACTCCCTCTTCTCAGCTAACATCCTCATTGTCTGGGATCATAGGAAACAAAATTGAGAAAGAATTGTGTCACTAAGAATTGGGATTGGAAATAGGGTTAAGTCTTGAGTGGATGATAGAATTTTATAAAATAGTCACTATTTGAGTGATGAGTACTTAAAGCTCAAACTCCACCATTGTGCAATATATCCATGTAACCTGCATGTGTGCTTCTGAATCTAAAATAAATTGTTTTACAAAGAAGGTTTGGGGTTTAAATACATTTACATATGTTTTGGCTGGAAGACATATGTTTTTTGAGAGTCAGAATTAAGTGTGAGGATGATTTTAAATTGAGAATAAAGGAGAATGATGGCATTGAGGATAAAATATAGCATTATTTAAAATAGCCCAGTATCATAGAAAGAACATGGATTTTTTTTAATAAGGCAAATCTACTTTTGCAATTCTGTGCCATCTCTTAATACTTATGTAACCATGTGCCAGTCACCAAAACTCTCAGTCTCAGTTTCTTCATCTGCAAGATGGGAATAATAGTGTCTACTCTGTGCTTTCTGAACATTTTTACATTTATCCAGGAAAAATAGACAGATGATAAATTAGATCAGTCCCTCCCCACCTCACAGGGACATTTGGCATTGTTTGGAGATATTTGTGATTGTCACAACTTGGAAGGGGGGAATATTGCTCCCAAAATCTAGTAGATAGAGGCCCAGGATGCTGCTGTATACCCTAAAATACACAGGACGGTATCCCCCACCCCTAGAATTATTCAGTTCAAAATGCCAGTAGTACTGACACCTGACACTGATACTGAAAAACTCTAGATTAGATCTAGGTAGGTAGATGATACAAGATACATAAATAGCAAATGGAGAAGTTGATGATTTATGTCTTATATCTCCATCATATTTATGCTTCCATCATATATATGTGTGTGTGTGTGTGTGTGTGTGTGTGTATTTATCATGGACATTAGTTGATGGCTAGATAGATGAGAGACAATTCTTACATGAGACACGCTAGGCATCAATAAATGGAAGTGATTTTAAAATTAAACCTAAAAACAGGATTAATACCATGAGGGTTGGGATAAAATAAAGGAAGTTGCTAAAGGTGAAATAATAATCTTAGAAGTGAAACTGTGCCAGCCATCATGCTAAGTGCTGTGTATTCTTATAGCATTGTAGATTGGTGTTCATTCAAGTCTAAGACTAGGATTCATGATAGATCTATGGTTCGGGCTAAGGTGGGGATTAAGGGTAGAGCTGTGAGACAACCCTGTCAGTAGACATTTTTTCCAAAGAGCAACCAAAGCCCAGCAATTGTATGGACAGAGGCAAACAGCCCAGCTACCATCCAGTCCGAGTTCCTGCAGTTCAAGGAGGGGACAGAATTCATGTGACATTTACAAGTCAGGAAGGCCCACTCTACAATTTCCCACTTACCCAGGCGTTTGCAACTGAGACATCTGGAGCACGTCGATGACCAAGGTCCATCCCATGTTTGTATCCATTTCCTGGAGGAAGAAGCAGAAGTAAACTGGAATGATTTGAGTTTCATGTGAAGGGAGAATGCCGTGCATTCCAGTACTGAACAAATTTTGAGAAACGACGCCGTTTGTTCACTTTGTATTGAAGAGGATAGGAAGTTTATGAGGTTCAAGATAATGCCTCTACCCTGCATCAATCCACAGGAGTGACGAGCATCTTCAGAATGCAAGAGAACAGGGTATTTGAACCAGTATTGGGAGTGTCAGCTGTCTGGTCGCATCTTACTCTCAGAAGGTAGGTCAGCAAAATCACACCAAAATTTCAAGACAGTTCTGTAATGTCATAGTACATAAGAATAAAGAAACTTAAAACATTGCGTGGTATCCTGGCTGGAGAAAGACTGCTTGTAGGGAGACCCCCTGAAACTATTGCTACGGAATAAAAGATGAACTGCTCCTGATTACTGTAAATAAAAAGTTGCATGCAGGATTGTGTAAAGACAATGCCAGGTTGGACTGCCAGAATGAGCCAACAGCGTGTGATGTGCTTCCCCCTGCAGAAAGCCTATGAATGGACGTGCAGTCAGGGAGGTTTCACATCACCAAGATTCCTATCCCAGAAAAGCAGATGTTCATAGCTCTGGGAATGGAATGCGACCCTTGTGGAAAGCCTATAAACGGATGCATGGGGAGCGCCTGTCCATATGGATAAGATAGGGCTATAAACACCCTCATCTTGCCGCGGCTCTTCTAGGCCTCTTTAGGGTTAAAGCATACTCCCTTCTGAGAATTTCTGGTCTAACCAGTTGTCTAGCTTCATGTCCTGTTTCCATGGATTGTTTGTAACCAGCTTTTGTTACAATTGTTACTGCTGATTAATATCTTGCTAATCATAGGTTACGGAAAGACTGTGCTTCTGTTCTAAGGCTCTGTTAGAAATTACTGACGCACACACTATATTGTAAATTGTTATCTCTGTATACTGTACTTCTACATACAAATGTACTGTACTTCTTCATACAAATGTTATGTTAAAGAATTACTTCATCCCCATGTGACCATCTCACCTCATAATCAAATGACCCTAAATCCCTCACTGACCTACCCCCGCCCTCACTAAACTTAATAATAAATGCTGGTATACCCAGTGCATTGTTGGCACCGCGGGACCAGAAGGCAGTGACCCACCTGGACCCAGCTTTCACTGTCTTGTGTGTGTCTATTATTTCTCAACCTGCCGATCCACCTAGGAGCAGAGAGAGAGCCCCGTTGCATTGCAGGCTGCTGGCCAGATCCCGCAATAGCTGCTCAAACAGAAGGCAGGTTGTCTGAATGGAGCATGGTGAAGAGGGAAGGAAACAGACTTGGCAGTCATTCACCTGCAGTGTCCTTGTCAAGACTCACTAAATCCGGGAAGCAGCTAAGTGGTCCATAAAGGGCCGTCTCTGGTAAAAGGCTGGTTTGTTCACAGGCTTCTTGTGTGGCTGGTGTGAAACATCCCTTACTCTGTGCTCTTCCTCCATACCCAGAAAGTGAGCCACAGATGACCATCTCCCAAATACTCAGTGCAGAAAGTGGAGGTCCTTGTAGGATGGCACGAGCATTTTTGTTCCTGGGAAGGTAGGTTTCTTTATAGCAATTTATGAGGTGGAATTTGGTTTACATTTCAGTCTCTTGAATCTGGTTTCTGGTGCAGTCCCTCATGGGCTAGATCTTCTCTGAATGTTCAGCCAAAATATCTTGGTGACAAAAGGAGAAGACGAATTCTGAATCATAATGACCTCGCTGTCATACCCCTATAGAGGGACCCTCAAAATTCACACACAAAAAAATAAAAATAATCACAATTCCATCTTAGAACATTTCTCAGTTTAAGATATTGTGCTCGTTTGTAATTAATGTCTGTTCCCATCCTCTGGAAGTTGCAGAGAATCACTAATCTCTTTTCTGTCTCTATAGATTTGCCCTTTCTGAACATTTTGTATAAGTGGAATGATATATTAGATAGTCTTCTGCATCTGGTTTTTCTCAGTTAGCATAATGTTTTTAGAGATTCATCCATGTTGTAACATACATCAGTACTTCATTTCTTTATATGCCCAAATAATATTCCATTTTACAAATACACCATATTTTGTTTGCCCATTCACTTGTTGAAGTATATTTGTGTTGTTTACCCTTTTTGGCTATAGTAAATAATGCTGCTATGAACTTTTACGTACAAGTATTTTGAACATATGTTTTTGGGTTTTTTTCTTTTTTAATTTTTTATTTCCATAGTTTTTTGGAGACAGGTGGTATTTGGTTACATGAGTAAGTTCTTTAGTGGTGATTTGTGAGATTTTGGTGCACGCATCAACTGAGCAGTATGCACTGAACACAATTTGTAGTCTTTTACCCCTCACCCCCCTACCACCCTTTCCCCAAAGTCCCCAAAGTCCATTGTATCAGCCCAAATGTCCATCAATCAACAAGTGGATAAAGAAATTGTGGTATATATACATACAATGGAATAATACTCAGCCATAAAAAGGAATGAATTAATGACATTTGCAGCAACCTGAATGGACAGAAGACTATTATTCTATGTGAAGTCACTCAGGAATGGAAAACCAAACATTGTATGTTCTCACTCGTAAGTGGGAGCTAAGCTGTGAGGATGCAAAGTCATATAAACAAATGTTTTTATTTATCTTGGGTAGATACCTAGGAGTGGAATTGCTAGATCACTTGGTAAATTTGTTTCCACTGGTGGGGTCTTGACCAGCCACAGATCCAGCCTCCTCCTCAGCATTGGACAGGGTTATAATGGGATAGCAAGAACCTACCTGCTACATGTCTACATCATTCGTTACTTGGGAGATTTCCTATTAAAACATTTGAAATTCCACCCACCTTTAAATGGAGGACAGCCTTTTAGTCACTACCTGAGTATGTGATTTCAATAAGATGATCTTCTAAAATACAAAAGATGAGAAAGTATCTTGGAGAGGTGACAACATGAAAGATGATAATGTGATATTACTGCCATCATTAGGATTATTCACTTGTCATCTGAGACTTAAAGTGATGGTGATTTCAGCTTTGTCTGGTAGGATCAGGGAACAGCTAAGATCTAATTCAAAGATCCCTTGACTCTGATGTTTGTTCCCACCACTTCCACTTCCTAGTTATGGGAATTTCTGCAAAGTGATTTGCCTCCCCAAGCTTTAGATGCTTCCCTTACAAAATGGGGCCACCAACATCATTTCTCAGGGTTTCCACAGGATTAAATAAATGGCAGCACGTTGAATCCAGTCCCTTGGGCTATTGGGTAGGTGTTACCAAACCCTAATTTCTTTTCCTTTTTTTTTTTGTTTTTTTTTTTTTTGTGACAGAGTCTTGCTCTGTCACTCAGGCTGGAGTGCAGTGCTCTTATCTTGGCTCACTGCAGCCTCAACTTCTCTGGGCTCAAGTGATCTTCCCTCCTCAGCCTCACAAGTAGCTGGGGCTATAGGCATGCACCACCATGCTCAGCTAATTTTGTTTATTATTTGTAGAGACAAGGTCTCACTATGTTGCACAGGCTGGTTTTGAACTCCTGGACTCAAGCAATCCTCTCACCTTGGCCTCCCAAAGTGCTGGGATTATAGGCATGAGCCACTGCGTCCAGCCTGGACCCTAATTTCAATGTAGGAAGGTTGTATATCTCAAGGGAAACCTCAAAGAACCAAAATGTGCTGGAGAATAGGCTGCTTGATTTTGTTCTCTTGTTTTTTTATTTTACTTGGGATTTATTTGTATAGAATTTTGATATTTTTCTTTTAAATAGAAATACCAACAAAAATAATAGGACAACACATTGATATGGCCCTTTTTAAAGGTGCATTCATATTGATGATATCATTTAGTCTATTACATCTTGTGACTCTTAAGTCTCGTGGCTCACTAAAATTACGTGGGGAGCATTTAGTAACAGTCAGTGCCTGGGCACCAACCCCAGAGGCTCTGATTCAATGGATCTGGGGAGGAGCTCAGGAGTCTGAATTTTTTTTACATCTCTGGTTATTCCCATGTAAAACCAGAGCTCAGATCTGTTGCAATGGGCTGTGGAAGATAAGGCAGAGGCTGCCTTCTCTAGTGTTCAGTTAGGAAGCTGGGAGAAAGGTTAAAGGGCTGCCCATCAGGATTTGAATCCAGGTCTCTCAACTGAGTCCAGTGCTCTGTTTCCTACACCGCATTTTCTAGGGATAAAATTGAACTAAAACGGAGGAGGTCCTGGAGTAGAGAAAGGACAATATTAAGTCCCCTTGGAAGAAATGTACCAATGGGTGGCAATAATACATTCACCCAGAATAACTCCACAGGAGGGCCTTATCCCGCCTCGCCTTGCATATGTTGAAACCAGGGCATGGTTTCCTATAAAAATGCTTACTGTGCAGAAGTTCAGTGAGAGGTAGGGATTCTAAGGGGACAGATAAATCTATGAGCAAGACCAGTGAGTTGGTAAAACACCCAGCTCAGCAGTTCAGAGCCAAAAATAGAAAGGCTTTGTAAGCAGGTAGGTATCTTTATTATGGTAATCAACTCTGGGCCTAAGAAACAATGAGGCCATCAGAGTTCCTGGGATGCTCCATAAAGGTGGTAGTAGTGGGTGTCCTGGTAAGCACAGAAATCTGTGATCTGGCGTACAGCACTCAAGTGGGGCTACCAACTTCAGGCCTCTCTGCATCCAGGGCCACCAACTTCAGGCCTCTCCGCACCCAAGACCTGGCTAAGTTTTAGCCCACCAGTGAATCAATGTGAATTGATAGGGAAAATGCTAAACTGGAAGAAATACACTAAAAAAAAATCATAAAATTTGAGAACAAAATGGAATTCAGATTATCAAGTTAAAGCCCTCATTTTACAGATTAAAGAAAATGAAGCTCGGGGTAGAGAAATGATTTGCTTCAAGGCTACAGAGCTAAGTGGAGTGGCAGATCCAAGAGCCTCCCTGCTTGGTGGTTCTTCTGCCATTAAAAACCAACCAAACAAGAAACCATGGGCAAAACACAGGCACACCCTGAATACTGTCAGGAGGAGACGGTCTTCATTCTCTCTTGTGGTGCCCTTCCCTCTTCCTGAGGAGTGAGCCGTCACTTTGGCTTCTACTCTATGTTAAGGGGATCAAGGGACATCATGGAAATATGGACTCTGGCCCTGGCTTTGCTGTGTGTCTTGGGGCAAGTCACTTTACTTTTCTGGGTCTCACATCTCCATAGGCAAAATGCTGAGTGTGAAAAAATAATTCTAATGATACACTACCTGATTTACTCTCTAAACCAGGGATTGGCAAACTAAGGACCAACTCTGGCCCACCACCTGTGTTTGTAAATAAAGTTTTATTGGAACACAGCCACACCCAGTCTTTAATATATTGTCTAGGGTTGCTTTCATGCCATAATGGCAGAGTTGGGTAGATGCAACAGAGACCACCTTATGCCCCACCAAGCTGAGCATATCCACTATCTGGCCCTTTACAGAAATGTTTGCTCATCTCTATAAAAGAACAATCTATCTACTACCTCTGAGATACACACAGACACACACACACACACACACACACACACTCCTACCACATATTAATATATATCCTGGACCATGTAATGTTGCTGCTTCTGTATTTGCTTTTAGTAGGAAAATGTTTCAAACATATAGCTAAATGCAGAACCAAATTCAATGAATGATATTTATAGCCCTCTAGGTTTAACAGATATGATTAATATTCAGTCAGATTGTATGTTTGCAAAACACTATACCATAGGAATCCATATTTATAAAGAATCTTGATTTCTCTTAGAATAAGGAAGAAAAGACAGACATGCATACATGCATAGGCATATATGTAAATGACCTGAAAAGTTCAACACTACTGTAGCATGATTGTCCTCACTTGATTTTGGTGTTCCAGTTTCTGATTTTTCAGATAAGTAGCAAGGTCTTACTTATGAGATGCCTAGTCTAAATCGCAAAACACACATTTTACCAGATATTCAGAAATAAGCATGAGTTTTTTAATCAACTACATGGTTTAACTTAAAAGTAAAAGTGTAATTTTCAGTTATGAAATTTAGTTATAATTATCTTAACTGCCAATACTTAAAGGTACTACTTAAACACTAATAAAACAGGGCAAGATTTAAAGAAAAAAATCTGAGATTGAGTTGAGTACCTTTTTCCATTTCTTTTTAACCTTAAACCACTTGGTGAAATCTCAATTTTAGGAATCAATCTTAATTGGAATGTCCTTGCATAATCTTTACATATTTCTTTCATTAAGAAAACCAAAATGTTTAAGACTTCTCTGGTCTCCAAGGTTTGTACAATTTCATTTTAAGTCAAAGCCACTATAGTCATTCAATTCCCCCATGACCTGGTCCCAGCTCACATGAAACCAAGGATAGATTTTTGTTTCATCTTCTTCAGTCATGACAAGGAATAAAAGAGGAATTTCTACCTCTGTCATTTGGCTTCATTAGCATCAACATGTGCCTTCTACAACCCTGTAATATTTCTTCACTATATGAATTATTTGCCTATTTGAGGCTTTTGGGTGTGCATGTGTGTCTGTGTGTGTACGCATGCACACATGCACAAATATGCACACATACCTGCATTCTAATCCTCTCTCTTGCTTCTTCCAATCAGTAATTGGGCTGGTTATCAGGTGAACACAAATTGGCATCAAGAGCTCACCTTTGAAAAGTCTCCCTTTCCAATATTCCTCTGATACAGAATTTGGAGTTAAAGATATTTTTGCTAAAGCCAGAAGTTTTTTTTTCTTTAAAGACCAGGAAGTCTACTAGGCTAGCACATGGTTAAATAGTCATTGGAATAAATTCTTAAGACAGAGATATGCATTACTTTTATTACAGCTATTTTCGTTGTGCTAATGGCTCCACCAGGCAAGGAGGGGCTGCCGTGGGCTACTCAAAATCTAATGTTTCCATCTGTCTTCCCAGTTCCACCCTGAAGTGGGCATTTGTCTCACATGTGTGTTCCTCTCTCCAGATTAAGAGGACAATATTTTTAAGCTTTGGGATTTAATGTCTTTGCTTTAGCCTTCAGAAAAACTCTCCCTAAAACCAATGACAGGCTCCAGCCGTATATTAGGCATCCCAGCCTCCACAAGGCAGGAGCCAGAAGAGTGCTAGAAACAGAACCAAGGGGGCTTTGGAATGGTTAATAACAAAAGATCCTTAAATGTATCATAAATATCTATTACCAGGAAGATTAATAATGATAAGAGTGTCCTTTACTTAGTGCAAGACTTTTCTCTCTTGATACTTAACCTACCCACGTAGATGAGGTTAAGCTATGCACCTTAATGGGGGACTATTACGATGTCTATAATTAAAATGACTTTTCTTTGGAATGCTCAAGGAAAATTACACTTCTTTTCCTCCTAACAATTGTGAAAACATTATAACAAAATAACTATAGCAAATTTGAAAAGATAATATCCCTACTAATTCTACGCCCCTCAAAAAGGCGTAAAGCAACAGTTTCAATATAGGGCAGTCACACTTGGGAGCACAAGGACACCTGGAGAATGTATTTAAAATGCAGGTTCCCAGGCCCAACTCACATAAACTATTTCTTGAGATTTGAGGTCAGGGTCAGGATTACACTTGTTAATAATGTCCCAGGCTATCTGGATGTCGTTACAAGACCAAGCTTTCAGAAGCATCGAGATAGAATAGTCCCCCTTAGCAGTAGGGCACACATTCTAAGACCCCCAGTAGATGCTTGAAACCACAGGTAGTACTGAACCATATCTACACAATGTTTTTTTTCTATACATACATGGCCTAGGAAAAAGTGTAATTTAGAAATTAGGCACAATAAGAGATTAACACTAACTCATAATAAAATCGAATATGTATAACAATATGCCAACATCACTACTCTTGTACTTTGGGGCCAATATTAAGTAAAAGTGATGTGGTGGCTGTTGGCCTGATTACCTCAACGGCTCCTATGTGCCACAGGTGGGTGGCATCTATAGCATGGATATGCTGGACAGTGGTGTCCATAGTGTGGATATACTGGACAAAGGACTGATGTACATCCTAGGCAGGACAGAGCAGGACAGCACGGTTCTCATGTGGTCCCATGTGGTTCTCATCACATGACTCAGAATGGTGTCCAAATTAAAACTTATGAATTGTTCATTTCTGGAATTTTCCTAATATTTCCAGACCGAGGTTGACCATGGGTAACTGAAACCAGAGAATGTGAAACCGAGGACAAGGGAGACTACGGTAGAAATGTTCAATTCCAGCTGCTTTTCTAATGCAATACGTAGCTCTCAATCTTCCAGTTCTATGCTCCAGCGTTTTGTTATCCACTACATATTTATGGGCACTACGTACATGGTTTTCAGCCTGGTGGAATTTAAGATATCATAATTCAAATCCTGAATCTTCTCTTAAACAAATTTATTCAGATAGATTCTCATAACACCATTAATGAGCCAAAGGGCAAGAACACATTTGTGGCTTCCACTGTGTTGCCATGTTGCTTTCTCCTAAGGTTAAGAAATTTATATTTAAATCAGCAGATTAAGAGGCCCCAATATTCACCATAATGTCATCAGCAATGTGTATTTGAATATATTTTTACTTTGTTCTGCTAATTTAGTCAATGCAAAATGGTATCTCAAGGTGGATTTAATTCACTCTTCTTGCATTTCTGGTAAAGATTAATATGTTTCCTTGTGTTTCTTTTCTACTTAAAAGTTTCCCAGAGATACAGTTAAACTTCTGAATTTCTCTTTGAGCTTAGGGCAAGACTTATTACTTCTTTCTTTATTGTCCAGGCAACTGGTACCTGACAAAGACTGAAAGCTAGGGATGGAGAAGAGACTGCAGCTTGATTGAGCATCCAAGGACAGAGCTCTTGGCCAAACTACCTTGTGTCTTGAGGGTCCTAAGACCAAAACTTCTAGATGGAAGACAAGGAGGAAGAAAGCATTCCAAGTCAGGTTCCCTGGGAAATAAGATTTGCATACAGGAGATTCTTGGGGCAGTTCCCTCAAGATGAAGACCCGGAGGTGGTGAAGAACTCTGGAGCTGAAAGAGAGAGGTGTTTAACAGTTGCCAACTCACCAATGGCCCTGGGGAACTCTAGAACTGGGATGGCTCTTTATTATTGTCCTGTTTTGAGGCAAGGGCCTTTCTTCTCAACTACATGGACCAGTCATTGGAGGTGGCTGCCCCAGGGAAAGGACTGTGAGTTTAGGTGAGGCAACTCTCTTCAGCTAAAAGCAAACCTTAGCAAGGCACTCAGCTGTGAAATGTCAGCTGCTAATATTATCAGCTGCTGGTGGGATAAGAGCCTCAGTCCTGAAGAGTGCATCTCAGTGATACACCACAGCATTCCCTGCAGAAGGAATCTAATGTTTATTGAGATCTCACAGTTTCTTTAATGTATGCTCTTTTAGTTATCTACTGATGTGTAATGAACCACTCCAAAGTTGGTTTAAGACAACAACAACAACAAACATTTAAATTCAGTTCACGTTTCTGAAAACTGGGCTGGGCTCAGCTGAACAGTTCTTCTGCAGGTCTTGCTGCTGATCACTTACTGGCTGCATTCATCTGGTGAGACAGCTGTGGGCTGGGCTTAGCTGGGACAGTGGGATGGCTGGGCTTAGCTGGGACAGTGGGATGGCTTGGCTTCTGTTGTTCTCTCCAAGGAGTTTCAGGGCCTCTTTCTCTCAACGTGACCTTGTCACCTACAGGCAGCCCCTTCACACCATCTCTCCTGCAAACTAACTGTTTTCCTACATGGAGAATTAGGACCAGGACCCAGCCTAATATTTAGAACAGGGTTTCTCACCTCCATGATATTGAAATTTTGGGCTGCATACTTATTTGTTGGAGGGAGGAGGCGGTAGATACCCAGGTTGTGCGTTGTAGAATATTTAGCAATATTCCTGGCCTTCATTCACTGGATGCCAGTAGTACTTCCCCAATTGTGATATTAAAAATGTGTCTCTCAGCACTGCCAAATGTCCCCTTGTGGGGAAAAATCATTCTCCATTGAGAATTAGGGCTTTAGAAAGACTTGCACTTCAGCACTCTTAGAAGTTCCACCACATCCTATTAACTAAAGCAAGCCATGGACACAGCCCAGTTTCAAAGCACAGGAATACCAGGACGCACAGTTCATTGGGGCCACCAATGTCGCAGACTACCATAGTTCTATGAGGTTAACATTTACATCCCCATATTCTAATGTTGAACTAAGGCTCGTTCTTTCAAGGCCATGCAGAAAGTCACAGGACCAAGATTGGAGCCCAGGTTTGCCTGACAGCAAAATCTATACTGCCCCTGCTACATTGAGCCACCTGCAGCAGGTTCCAAAGGGTTACTTTTAGAAATGAACTACCCTCAATCTCCTGCAAAAACGTGTTAGAGAAAAGAGAGAGGCTTTGCTCAGGCTTAGTTACGGTTAATAAAGAAAACATTAATCACTTGAAGTGCTATTTTGGAGCTCATGAAACTGAAATGAAGCACAATATGAAATGTTCATTTATTTCTGAGGGGTTTATTTTGTTAACATTCAATCACTCAATCCTCTTTGCCTTATTTATCAAGTTTGAGGAAAAGAACACTTTTTTTTAATACATAAAGTTCTGTTCTGAATGATATAATAACAGCCTCCTTCTATTAGAGATGCAGAGGTCATAGATCACAGGTGGAGTCAGGACATCGCTCCCCTGCTCACCAGGGCAGTTCTTTCAAGGGAGGTCCACACCAGTGCTACCTATTATAGCCTCCTGTAGGCTCTTATGAGACTCCATTTTCTGTTGGAGCATGAAATGCCTGGATTTAAAGCTCCTCTCTGCTGCTCACTGGCTATATTGCTGTTGATGCGTCACTTAAATTTCTGGAGCCTATCAGTGTCTTTAACTTGGGTGAAATGACTCCTACTCCGTGGGATTTGTGTTGAGGAAATGAAATAATGCATGTGCATTTGGTTCCTTCACTGTCCCCTCTTGAGAAAGGAGGGATCTGCAGTAGATAATAGATACAACCAAGAGAACGTCATGGGCCAATTAACTCAATTCTTCTCTTTGCCAGGCTGGACAATGAGTTTAAGAGTGAAAGGTACCAGAGGGCTGGAGCACATTCTATTACCACCATGACTTGTGGATCTTGGGCCACCTCCTCTCCCACACATCAAGGCAGCAGACACATAAAGGGCAAAAATGAAGCAGAGACCGTGATCCTCCTTCATTCCACTCCCAATCTCCCAGACAGGTGATGGAAATTGGACAGAAAAGAGCAAAGAAGTCAATTGTCATCCATTATTTGGTATAGTCCCACTACTTCCAAAGAGTTTCTCAAAACACAGTCTGTGAGTTCTTCTCCGTATTGTATTTATTACATATTTGTAAAGAAAACTTTTTTATCTGGAATGCTCAGGAAATTGATGTCCTGATTAATTCAATGTTCTATTTAACTGGAAGGCACCAGATATTGCATAGTTTTCCACATTGAAACATGGCAACAGGTTTTTTTAAAAAAAATTTTAATCAAACATAACAATATTTATCGGAGAGTTTGTAAGGCATGGTAGGTTTCTGTATTGCCTCCAAGGCATAACAAGAAACATCCATTTTTCAAGATTTATACAGGTGAACATGTGGATTATTGGAGGTTTCTCACTGATTTAGTAAAAATGACATGGATTTCCTTCATAGTTAAGCAGATCTGGGTTGAGTCCTAGTTCTAAATGTATGAGCTGCTGGCTGTTAATCTCCACAAGCCTTAGTTTTTCAATCTGTAAATTTGATATAATGGCATTGCTTTAAGGAAGTAATCAGACCATGATTACAAACCCCTTTGCACAATGCCTGACTCATAGTAAATACTTAATCAAGTCAACTTTGTTTTGTCCATTCTCTTCTTTGGGGTTCTACTCCAGCTACACGGAAAATAAACTTGCAGAGAAAGTGTCAGGAAACACTGCAGACCACCTAACTATTCTCATACAGAAAATGTTGACAGGGCAAGGACATCAGGGCATGAGAAATTTTGCATTTCTGCAGTGCATACTACACACAACCATTTCAGCTAATCATCATGGCCATCCTGTGGTTGTGAACACAGCCTGACTGGAGAGGATGGTTTAGGATGCCAGTTTTACTTGTGAGTAAAATTTCTGATGTGCATGTTTAGTAAAACAGCTGTTTGGATGAAAGATACTTATGGTTGCAAAGTCAGAGGTGCATCGCCAGTGCTTTGGTTAAAGTTCTTGCAGTTCAGCCCCAAATTGCATTTCTGCAGCGAGTTAGGAAAAGGCATTATATAGTTCTTGCCTGTGCCTCCTTATGTGGTCCCAGAGATACACACAGTGGCTTTTTTCTGTCATCAGTCACCCTTGGGCATCAACTGTCTGTAAGAGATTTTGCCTCAGATACGGAGCCTAATCACTGAACCAGTTTTTATTTGGCTATATCTCAATGATAGCTAAAGGCCCCATTTTACTTGCTAGCCCATTGTTTGTCTAATTATTAATGTGCCTCAATTTCAATTAGGTCAACTGATGAAAGATCTTGGCTCAGACAGGTGGACTCACCAGTGGGGATCCTTTTGCCTGTGTCTCAGCCACCTGAAGGGTTTTTCCATGACAATTCGCTCAAGCAAGATGGGGTCAGCTGTCCAGGGAGCACTCAGGAAGCAAAAGGTTGTCTTGAAGTGTGAACAGAAAAGCTCAATGGACATCAGTGATGCAAGAAAGCTCTGGCAAAAGCAAATAGGGTCATGCCAGGCAGCACTGGGGGTAGCTCCCCCGTATCCCGGAGAAGCTGCAAAGTAAAGGTTAGCAAGGCATGTGGTTTCTTAAGAACCAAAAATGGAGAGGGCTTTTCTTTTGAAAGACTTGCTCCAGCAGAGCCTGCTGTGTTTTCACTTGCTCTGCACGAGATGCTTCCTGTTGGGTGTACTTGCCCAGGTACCAGGATAGTGTGAGGGCTGAGGGCAATATTGTTCCCACAGCTCTGAAAGGGAAGAGGTGAAGAGGTCAAAGGAAAACAGTCTACGTCCTGCCGGGTTAAACACAACTTCTTGCGGTCAAGCTGGAGAGTAGAAAAACAGGGAGAAGTGGGATTTTCTATCTGCTGGGTTGGTCTGCAGCCCCCAACACATTCAAGATGAAGCAGCGGTGGAAGGATGGGGCATGGACTCATCATCCAGTGTCCGGTGGTTCAATTTCACCTCTGCCTTCTATCCTACCCAAGTGTGATCTTGGGTCCCCGTTTTATCAAAGTGAAATGGGAACAAGACTACTGACCTCGTATGGTGGCTGGGAAGGTAAATGGAACAATATACAAATAGGGTACATAATGGTACTTCCTAAATTGTTCTTTCCCTTTCTCTCTAACTTCCATTCTTTTGGTTCCAAAGCCTTATCCAACTCTGGGTGACTCCTTACTAAAATACCAGCCCCCTTTCTCCCTAGAAGCAGAACCCTGACTTCATTTGGAGGCTGCCATGAGCCAAGCTGAACAATGACGTCTACCAGCCTGCCTTGCAGAGAGGGGTGGCCAATGAGACATAAGCAGAAGGTACTGAGTGGGGTTTGGGAGAAAGCATCTTTCATTTCTTGCCTCTCCTTCTGCTATCCAAGAACCATGGCTGAGCTCAGATGGAGCTGGCACAAGCCTAGTGCCAGGAAGATGTTTGCTGCCTAAATAACCCAAAAAATAAAAATAATAGAAACAGTGAACACTTATGGGCTTGTACATTGCCTGTCAGTACACTAAGGCCTTTATTTGTTCTGTTTAATTCAATCCTATGAAATTTTGTTTTACTATTATTAATTTCTATTTAAAAATTAGGAACCTATGGTACAAAATACATGAATAAATATATGTAGGCATGAGTGACTGAGTCAGTGCATGAACCACCGGGCCTATTGGAATTCAAGGAGAATTAGGGGTAAAGGATAGGGATATTGGTTTTCTATTACTACTATACCAAATTACGCTAAACTTGGTAGCTTCAAATAACACAAATGTATCATCTTACAGTTCAACAGGTTAGAAGTTCAACATGGGTCTCACTGGGCTAAAATCAAGGTGTCAGAAGGGCTGGGTTTTTTTCTGGAGGCTGTAAGGGAGAATTTGTTTCCTCGTCTTTTCCAGCTTCTAGAGGCCACCCACGTTCCATTCCTCTGCTCATGACCACTTCCTCCATCTTCACAGCAGCAAGGTCAGGCCAAGTCTTTCTCATGCTGCTTTACTACCCAGTGTCTGTGGTCTCTTCACCTTTGAAGGACGCTGAGATTATACTGGGCCCCCCAACAAATTCAGGATTACCTCCCTTTCTTAAGGACAGATGATTAGCAGCCTTAATTCCATCCATAATTTTTATCTTCCTTTTGCCATGAAAGGTAAGGGATTTGCAAGTTCCAGAGTTTAAGACGTGGACATCTTTGGGGGCCATTATTCTGCCTACCACTGTATATTTCTGCAGAAGCTTGTTCGTCATTTATAAAAACATTTTTACAATAGGAGCAGTTTCAGCAAGTCCCTCACTCCACAGCAAGGTGTCAGATCTCAGTTCAAAGGTTACAGGAAGACAAGACCCATTTAGCTCATTTTCCAGTATGGCGGGATGCTGCATGCACAGGATGCTGTGGCCAAAGCATCTCATGCTGTCATCCTTTCCTGAAGACTCCCAGGCATCCCTCTGGGGGAAGGAGGCAGGTAACAGTGGCTATCTGAGGGCTCTGGAAAGTTTCTCATCTTATTCATTGGCCCTTGGCCAGGTGGAATTGATTTTCAGACATTTCAGAAGAAAGAGGGAGGAGAGCATTTGTTGAGCCAGGGCCAGTCTTCACATTCACTTTACCACTGCAGGTCTTTAATTAGACGTGAGATTCAGGTTTTAAGTAGGACACTGAAGTCCTGAAAGGGAGAGCAACTAGTCCCAGATGACCCAGCTACTAATTGACAAAGCAGAAAACTGGAGTCTGGGACTTTCTACCCTGCTGACCCCTGAGCAAGTCCGACTGTGAACCCACCAGTCCCCATGACCAGACCCCTCTCCGAATCAGTGCCTTTCTTGCCAAAACAAGCTTTTTATGCCCTTACAAATGTTTATATCTTTTTCTCTATCAAAACCCATGCTGCCCCTAGGAAGTACCTCTCCCACCTCCCCAAGGAGCCCATTTGACTTCTTGTCCTTCCTCTTGTGCAGGTCAGTCTTGGTCATTTCATGTCAACCGGTATTTCTATTTTGTCCATGATGGGTCTCTCTCACTTGACCTTGAGCTCCTGAAGGATGATTCCATCTCAATTATCCTTTACTTTCCCATTGCCACTTCCACTCCTTCTAGAATATCTTTCCCACTGTAGATCAGAGCTAAATCTTTGCTACTTAGATGCTTTGAGTTGATCCTACTTTAAAAATTTGTTCCTTTTCATATTTCACCTTAGTGCAGCAGCCCCAAAGCAAATCAGCTACCTTTCCTCCAATACAGCAATGATTTTTAAGAATTATTATCATCTTTAGGATCCACTCTGTCCCTACTCAAGTTTCTATCCAGAAACGTTTTGCAAGAAATGCCTCACTACTCTTCCATTAAAAAACAGAAGACAAATTAGTTGGTCCTTGAGCCATCACTGGTGTTTCTGCAAGGTGAACCACTCAAGGTAGCAAAAAAGCAAAGCACATTTGTGAGGCTGAAAGGTGATTTGCCCCTCCCCCGCAGGCTCTGTGCACTGAAAACCCAAGGAGCAGATGGAGTTTTATGCCTAGCTGAGCATGGCTAAACACCATGGTTTGAACAGAAACATTCATAGGTCAAATCTTAGAGATAAACAGGTAATACAATTAATCCCTTCTCACTCCATCTTCCTACTGCCCAGCACACTGAAAACAAACTTTGCTCATTCTTCCCAGGGTCTTGAGTGGTGCCATGGGTTACCATGCTGCCTGTGGAGCTCTCTAGATAAAAGGCCCATGTCTCCATTTTGTGGATGGAAAGACTGAGAACAGACAAGACACATGTTTCCAGAGTTGCTGGGGTGGCAGGAACACCTGGTTGCATCTGCATTTCTCCATTTTCAGCACAGCTCAACAAAGACGATCAGACATCTGTGAACCGATGAGCACAGAACTAATCTAAAGGACTTTGTCCAGATCTACAAGAACCTGACTTTGGGAAGCTGCACCTAGTACCTACATTATACTAGGAACCAAACTGGGTACTTTTACATTTCATTTAATCTTCACAACAACTTTGTGTAGTACATATGTCAGTTTGTAGCAGACAAATCTCAGACTCAAGGAAATAAAGTTATTTGCCCAAGGCCCCTCCATGTAAAAAGCGATAAAACAAAAATTTAAATAGTGTATTCATTCATTTTTATTCACTCCTCAACAGATATTTATTATAGAATGATCTGGTGCCAGGCACTGTGCCCATAAACAAAGCAGGCCACTAGCAGAAGCCAGTGTTCCCGCAGGGCTGGGCTTTGATCTGAAGCTGGCCTGGTGTGTCCTAACCAGACACAACATACTGCGTAGCTGGGGCCGGGTCCAAGGAGGAACCCATGCCCTGGAAAAATCTGTCTCATCTTGGCATTATTCTCTTTCCAAGGGTGAAGGTAATTACAGGATCACTAAATACAATTTTGCAACAAGACCCTTCATTTCTCCCAAACCTGAGAAATGACCCACCAGAGCACACTAGCTCACAGTCATTTCTTTGGCAGCAGTACTAGACCAGAGCAGGGATGGCCAGAAATCAGTTGGGCATGTTGGGTAGACTGGACCGGGGACTTAGAGTGTAATTCTAGGGTTCGAGTACTTACCCTGACACTCTCTGGCTTTACAGAGGTTAGGTCACCTCTCAAACACTCCATTTCCCATAAAGTCAAATAGTAATTCCTTTCTTGCAGGCTTAGGGTGAAAACTAAAGGAAATGACATATGTGGCACATAGCAGGTACTTTTTAAGACAAATGAGAAAAAAGATCCACCAGCCTGGCCAGACACTGTGGGAAGTTTGCAGAGAGACAGAAGAAAGCAGTGTGTGTACTTGGGGGAGAAACCAGGAGAGAATGGAATATGAATAAGCCTCATGAAGGCATGGGCAACAACTGTGTCCCCGATGCCAAAAGATAGTCTGCAACATAACAGGAATTTTCATAAACATTTGTTGAATTCAGGAATAAATGAATATTGGTTGCTGTCATGGTTCAAGGGGGGCCAGTGGTGGAAAGCATGGTGGGCAAAACCTGAATCCTGTGACCATGGGTCTAGGGCCAATGCATGGATGGACAATGACAGAAAAGCCATTATCCCTTCAGATCCCATTCCTGGAGGAAGGCAGAGCCTCGACCTCAACCAGGAGGAAAGCACCTGGGTTCCAGCTGTGGGTCACTTTGTTTATACCATTTGCTAGGATGAGAGGATGGAGCTCCTGAAAGCTCCTGCCTGTCCTAGGCAAGCCCACTCAGGCTAGGACCATTTTAGACATACCCATATTTAGAAATCTTTTCCTGGAGCTTCTGGACCAGTTTTGCAGAAAGACAGTGATACCCAAAGCCCCAGAATACAACTAAAAGTGTTGCACAGAGATAGATGGTGGACAAGTTGTGGGTCAGCCTAGGAGAGAACTATGGTCGCTGATGTTTGGGACATTCTTTGAGATGTCCTGGAGTTTGAAGACCAGTATCCTTTGAGAGAGAAAGGAGGAGGAATCCCCAGTGAGGAGTGAGCTTGCCCAATTCTAAACAAGATTTCCTCCTTTCGCCATATTGTGTTTTGTCCCCATGGGATGCAGCAAGCATCAGAACCACCCACACATGATTTTAGACACAGGGAGAAACCAGGCCTGGAACACACAGTTAAAAATGCTGTCATGCTAACAAATGGCCAAAAAAACTTACAGCAGAGAAGAGCAGGATTCTCTATGAGATCTCTTTTCCTTGAGCCCCACCTCTTCCTCCCTGCTCGCCCCTTTGAGCCTTTGCTTTTGTTATTCCTTCATTGACAAATGTCCTTCCCCTTTTTTGTTTTCTAGAAAATTTCTGCTCACCCTTTAAAATCACTTTGTGCCACCTCCCCATGGAGTGTCCTCCATCTCTCCAGGCAAAGTCCATATCTCCTTTCTCTGTGCACCTGCAGCTGCAGGCTTGTGTCTATAAGAGGACACTCACAAACTCACAAAAGGCAAGTTCTCTTAGGGCACGGATGGTAATACTTAGTGCTATATGATAGGGCCCAGCTGAGTAACAAGCACATAGTAGGTACTTAATGGTTAAATGAATCTATTGGGCAAGAACATTCCTGCATGGGAGGCAAACCCAGGAGCGAGCTCAGACCTCCTGACTTCTAGTCCAGCATCCTTACTTGTCACTCTGGTCCAGAATGGACCAAAAATTAAGGTCTTATTCTTCTTTGTTTTTTTCATCAAGGTCCAATTCTTTTCCAGATATAGTCCTAAGGATCAGAATTATCAAAAAAATAAACAAATAAATAAGTAAACATAGCCAGGCATGCTCAACTACTCAAGAGGCTGAGGCAGAAGAATTCCTTGAGCACAGAAGTTTGAGGTTACAGTGAGCTATGATCATGCCACTGCACTCCAGTCAGGGTGACAGAGTGAGACTCTGTCTCTAAATAGTAATAATAATAATAATAATAGTAATAATAATAACTGATAGATAGATACATATATAAATTCAAAATAACAACATGACCATGTTGGGGGACAACTAACTCAGGTTGGCATCCATTTTGGCCCTCAACCCCAAGAACATCCAAGCAAGGTGGGACCTTATGGGTCATCACATCCCCCCTCCTCCACTGCCTCCAAAACCCCTGGTTAAGCAGGGACAGGGAGGGGCATCCACTCAGCTGAGTTTCTCCAGGGACGGCGTGCTCATCACCTGCTTCCCAAGCATCCCCTTGACTTTAGTAATAATAAGAATTATTGCTGTGTTTTCAGCCCTTGTCACTCGCCTCCTGTGCCACAAATACCGACCTTAGCTCTTTGTTTGGCAAAACAACTTTTGAAAGTCAGGTGTGACCATTCCCACTTTCCTAGATGTGGAAACTGAAGTCAAGAGGTGTTTATAATTTTATCTGGTCCCAGAGCTCAGACAACCAGGCCACAAAATAAGGTCCCGATAGTTCCAAAGCCTTTGTGTTTCATTGCCATGGCTCACGATGACATGAGAAATGGATATATTTAGTCTCTGCCCCTGTTTCCTGGCACACAGCTCCTGAGTTTCTTGAGATCTCCAGAGTGATAGGTGTCTTTTTATTTGCCAATGACATGACAGTGGCTGGGGGCTCCTGGATAGTCTCAGGATTCAGGGCTGGTTGTCAGGGGAACCAACCAAGTCATTACAGGGTTGGAATTTTCAGCTCCAACCCCTCCCGTTCAACATCCTGGGAGAAGAGAGAAGGAGCTAAAGATTGAGTTGCTCACCAATAACCAATGATTTCATCAATCATCATGGCTCATGCAGGTGGTGCAAACACAGGCAGAAGAGGCCAGGACAAGCTGGCTTCCCCACTGACAGCCTCTACCAAGCTCAGCAGTTGCCTGGACTGGGCAGTAACACTCACTCTGGATTCTGTGTGGCTGAGGCTGCTAGCCTACTTCCTGCACCAGCCAGGCCTGAGTAGCCTCAGACCCTCTGCTGGACAGCTCTGAGGGTTGTCAGCTTGCCCCCACCCCTGCCT
Organism: Homo sapiens; assembly: GCF_000001405.40. Lineage (NCBI taxonomy): Eukaryota > Metazoa > Chordata > Mammalia > Primates > Hominidae > Homo > Homo sapiens. Next base: position 65,832,488 of record NC_000016.10, read on the forward strand.
TATGGTCAGGCCTGGGCTTGGTGACACATGTCCATTACCATCCGCCTCTGCCTGAGTTCCCATTAGTGTCTGAAATACTGTCATGATCCAGCATGAGCTGTGACAGGCTACAATTAATTAATTAATCAGTTATACTCTATCAGCAAGTACAGACCAGGAATGTTAAATAAACAAATTAAAGGCTATGTTTCACTAAAGCTCAGCCCAATGAAATAATAATGAGGCAAAGTTAACTGCTCTGAACAGAGGAAGAAAGAGTATTATAAGGAAATATACCAGTGCAGTAATATCCTTTAAAAATGCAGAGGGTATACTGCTGCAAAAGCAGCTATGACTGCCCCATGCTCTGCTCAGGGAAGGTGGTAGGAATGCAGCAGATGCTGCAGAAAGAGCAGGGCTCTGCAGACAAAATTGGACTTGAAGCCCAGCTTCGCTGCTTATCAGCAAAAATCCATCCCAGCTTTGCCACTTATCAGTAACTCCCTTAACTGCTTTGAGCCTCAGTTACCTAACTTACTAAAAGGAAGAGGAGGAGAATACCATTAGTAATTGTTTGGATTTTTTTTTTTTTTTTTTTTTTTTTGCCAGAGTCCAAGGACACTTTTTCAGACACACTATTAAGGCTGGGCCAGGGTCTTTCTCAGGTTGCAAGAGGGTGGTTCTGGGGCCAGACACAGTGGCTCACACCTAATCCCAGCACTTTGAGAGGCTGAGGCAGGAGGATGGCTTGAGCCCAAGAGTGCAAGACCAGCCTGGGAAACCTAGGGAGACCCCACCTCTACAAAAATGAAAAAATTAGCCGGGCATGTTGGCCTGCACCTGTAGTCCCAGCCACTATGGAGGCTGAGGTGGGAGAGTCGTTTGAGTCCAGGAGGTCAAGGCTGCAGTGAGCTGTGATTGCACCACTGCACTCCAGCCTGGGAGACAGAGTGAGACTCTGTTAAAAAAGAAAAGAGAGAGAAAGAGAGAAAGAGAGAAAGAGAGGGAGGGAGGAAGGAAGGAAGGAAGGAAGGAAGGAAGGAAGGCAGGCAGGCAGGCAGGCAGGCAGGCGGAAGGAAGGAAGGAAAGAAAAAGTAAGCAAGCCAAGAGCTCTGGAATCTTTGAGAAAATGGGTCCATCATTATTGCAGGATCTGTGGTTACTCATCCAGGAATTGCTATCTGGGCAGTTTTCCAGCGTCCTTGTTGGATGATAATGTTCTTTCCCAAGGCTTTATCTATATAGATCAGCATCTGTGGGGCCATGATAGAAGGTTAGCTATTTTTCTTCTAAGGCCTTCTGTTTAGAACCTGACTGTGGCCCCCAAGGAAGGCACCCTCACTTTTACCTAGGGCAGCAGCATTTTAATTCTCAGCTAATGATACCATCATGCTGGCATCTTGTGGGAATTTTTTTTTTTTTTTTTTGCCCCTCTACATTGAAGCCTCCAGTCCCTGTTCTGGCATAAAAAGGCAGATAGGGATTCTGAAAGCCAAGGAGAAAATGTCCTAGAGAATGTTCTGGAAGTTGGGGAAGAGGGAGTCAGAGGGCAAGAACTACACCATGGGTCGGTGACAGAGGCAGTCCCACGTCCCTCCACCCGCCGCGGTGTGACTTTGAGAGGTCAAAGGGAGGATTCCAGTCCTGCTCAAACCAAGAAAATGGTCATTATCTTAGGGTATTGCTTCCAATTAAGGCCCTTCTAATGGTGATGGGTTTTCCCTGCCAGATACAGGTAGAGAATTTAGGTGACAAATGGTTTGTATTATTCTGCTGACACCCTTTTTATCTTCCCAGTAATTCCAGAAGATCAGAGCTCTCTATAAGGTCACTGGATAGCTGTGGGGTGGTATTTGTGTGACCCACCAGGGTCTCCTGGAATTCTACAACTCACACACATCTTTACAGCTGGGACCTGGATACTGAACTTAATTATGCCCAAAGATAAATAGTAGTAAAACTACTAAACTACTAATAACACTAATGATAGGCCGGGCATGGTGGGTCATGCCTGCAATCCCAGCCCTTTGGAAGGCCGAGCCTGATGGATCACTTGAGGTCAGGAGTTCGAGATCAGCTTGGCCAACACGGTGAAACCCCGTCTCTATAAAAAATACAAAAATTAGCCAGACGTGGTGGTGGGTACCTGTAATCCCAGCTAATCAGAGACTGAAGAAGGAGAATTGCTGGAAACTGGGAGGTAGAGGTTGCAGTGAGCCAAGATGGAGCCACTGCACTCCAGCCTGGGCAACAGAGTGAGACTCTGTCTCAAAACAAAACAAAACAAAACAAACAAACAAAAAACTAATGACAGTGGTGGCACTATTTATTCATGACTTACCTTGTGCCAGGCCCTCTGCTAAGTGCTTTACATGCATTAATTCAGGGATTAGCAAATGAAGGCCACTGGCTGTATAAAGTGTTATTGGTACAGCCACACCCATTCATGTGTGTGTTGGCTGTGGCTGCTTTAGCACTACAATGGCAGAGTTGAATAATTAAGGCTGAGCACATACAGCCCACAAAGCCTAAAATATTTCCTCTCTATCCTTTTTGAGAAAATTTTTGCCAAGCTATGAATTAAAATTATCTTATTCTTACCCAAGCACAGTGATCTGGGGATCACTGTGACCATTTTATATAAAAATAAACTGGGATTTGGAAAGATTAAATACTTGGCCCAAGGAGACATAATTTATAAGTGGCAGAGCTGGGGACTGAAACCCCGGGCTTCAGAGTTCAAGCCTGGGAATCCTAGGATCTATCCACAACTTATTTTCAAAGTGAATCAGAAATGACCAACATATTGGCATGAACTTGCTAAGGCCTCAGAAGCCCTGGCCCACAGGAGTGCTAGGAGATTGGGGGCCACTGATCAATTGAGATAACTAAGGCCCCAGAGCCCTGAGAAAGACAAGAGTGTCACAGGTATTACTCTGACTCTGGAAAGGAGTCGTGCCGCTTCCTTTCCCAATCTCTGTGAATGCTGAGGGGTTTGCACCTGCTGGATTGATAATATGATTCCGCATCATACAGAACAATTTGTTCCTTACATCATGAATGTTGCAGGCCTTATACCAGTGCATGGTGCATAGCAGATACTTAAACTTATTTGCAAAGGTCACCCTCACTTTTTTAAGTCTTTTTTCCACATTGAGTGGAGAATAAATGGGAAAACAACCTGTCATAGTCCTACAACTTCATAATTTCAAAAGTGCATTAGGAGCTGAGAAGTCAACCTCTCTCTGGGACCCTCATCCTCCCAAGGGCCATCCTCCTGCCTGGTTCTCTTGGACTCGAGGCTAAGCATCCCTGCCTGCTTCCAGGGCTCTTCATAGGATAAGGTGGCCACACTCTGGGTCCTCCTTCCTTGGGGTCCAGGGATTTCCTATTCTGGCTGCCTTCAAAGCTTGCTGAGTCCAGGCACAGTGGCTCATGTCTGTAATCTCATCACAAGGAGAGGCTGAGGCAGGAGGATTGCTTGAGTCCAGGAGTTCCAGACCAGCCTGAGCAACATAGTGACACCCTCATCTCTACATACAACTTTTTTTAATTAGCCAGGCGTGGTATGTGCCTATAGTCCCAGCTACTCAGGAGGCTGAGGTGGGAGGATCGTTTGAGCCTGAGAGTTCGAGGCTGCCGTGAGCCATGGTTGCACCACTGCACTCAGCCTGGGAAACAGAGTGAGAGCCTGTCTAAAAAAAAGAAAAGAAAGAAAAAAACTTGCTGAGTTGTCTGCAAATACAGATGTCCCAGCCCACCTCAAAGACTATGACGTGCCAGATCTGAGGTAGAGTTCAGGATCTGTTGAAGTCCCATAGGACCAGTGGGCCTGAGGACTGGTGCTCTGTCTGGTCCCATATGTCTCAGCTAAGTTCCTGATATGCTTGCAAACCCTGGTTTACCTGGAGGGTCTGCTCCATGTTGTCGGTATCTTCCTTACAAAAAAAAAAAAGTCAAAGGCATGTCATATCCCCAGGGCTGTGAAGGCTTCTGATTAGAAATTTCCTCCAGTCAAAAATCATGGCTGAGCAGGTTGGTTGCACAGGTATTCATTAACATAACGAAAACCTGACATTAAAAGGATAACCTCACAGTCTAAGAGGTTTGCCAGAATATCTCTCAGTCTGTTCAAATTGTCATTATTTAACTCCTATATCTACAAAAATTTCAGTAAAACTGATAATGATATTTAAATGGGAGATGAAGTTGGATTTTCCTTATTGCAAAGAAATAGGATTTGGAAACCTGGTGATGGAATGCACAGCAAATCTGTATCAAAAACAAAAAAAAAAGAGAGAAACTTAGAATAAAGCTTGAATGATGATACAAAGCTTGCAGTTTGATCTAGGTGAAAATTCAGGTCCTGACATCTTCTAAATATCACTATCTTGGGCAAATCCCGTAATGTCCCTAATCCCAGTAACTTCTTTAATAAAATGAAGATAATAATACCCTCTCTTCCCCACTCCAGAGTGATGGGAGAACAAAATACTTATGTAAGTTGCTTGGAACATGGATGGTCCTCAATAACCACTTCCTTGGAACAAGATTATTTCTTCTGTTGAGAAGTTTGCAGCCTGGTAGGAAGGAAAATTCACACCCAGAAATTATGATCAAAGAGGGTAAAATAGAAGGGTAGATAGGAGGGTCAACAGAAAAAAATAGGCAAAAAAGGAAGAGCTCAGGAAGAAGGAAGTATGCAGTCTTGGTCTTGGAGGGTGAATATAGTAGAATTGCAACATTTAAGAGAGTCAAGGCAAGCCTAGTAGAAGAATGGCAAAGTTGCACAGACTGGTCAACTGTGCAAGCCCTGACATTTCAGTAGTAAATGAGGATACTCTCTGCTGATGGAGCAAGCAACTCAGGGGTGCATTTATTTTCCAACCAGGATAAACAGAAGCATCCTACCCAAAGCAGGAAGGGGCTTTATCTCCAAGACCAGCTGGGAATTGAATAACTCAGTTATTTATGCCTTCTCTGCAACCAGCCATGGGGAGGAGCACTCCAAAGCCTAAAGCAGCTGTGGGCTTCTCTTAGGAGGCAAAGAGGGCCAGGATGAGGAGGCTTGCAGAACCAGAAAACAATGAGTACAGCCCAGGCAAATGGGAGTTTCACCAACACCTGGCCAGAAAACACCCAGCAAGTAGAGAAAACCCGAGCCAGCCAATCAGTCTGACGCATAAGGCCTTCTAATTTTATGCAACATACGCTATTTTTATCTACTTATAGAAAGGGAAACTCTAGGGGTGTGGAGAATGGGTTTTTATAGAGTTTGGGGTTGTGCAACATTTTCTAAGATGAGTTGCCTCAGCCTTTGCATAAAAATGCTGTCTGTTCCTTTGCAAGAAATGGCACCTGTTGCCCAGCAAGAAGGCTGTGACCAGGAATACCCTTGGCCCAGTATTCCAAAACTGTGGCCAGTAGATCCTGAGACTCCAATGTCCTGCCACGTGGTCCAGTTACAAGTCTCTGAGATCAAAATGCTTTGAAAAAGGCTGAGCAAAACTTTCTTTGTGGCCGTGGGACTTGAGAGAGGTTGAGATGCTGACATGCATTAAAAATCTACAGAGGAGAAACGAGTATGAAGTGCTACCCAGGCTCATGTCACCATACCTAACACTTGCCTTCCCAACACACACACACACACACACATACACACACACACACACAGTGTTTTTCACCTAGGAGGCCCTCTGAACAGCTGCTACTGGCAATCCATGGAGCAATTTAGGATGGGATGGAGATTGCATTATAACAGCCACCCTGAGTAGGTATGCACAACCGTGATCAGGTGACAGAATGAGCTTCCAGTCTGTCTCCTCTGATCATGCTGTTCTTGGCTGATTGGATGCTCCTGGAGAACCAATATTCACCACTGCCTCCCAAGTGCCTAGCACTGTGCTTCGTTATTTAATTTAGTGCTCATGGCATTCATTCCCACGTCAGCTGTAGGAGGTAGTTATCATCAATGCCATTTTATTAAGAAGAAGCTAAGGCAGCACATGGAAAGTGAGACTCCTGCTCAAAGGACCTGCAGCTGTGAAAGGAAGAACTGGGATTTGAATCACATCTTCCTACCTTAGGGTCGGCATTTCAGCCCCATGACAGGGAGAGACCCAGGGATAAAGGCTCATGGTTTCCATGCAGTTAAGGAGAACAGAAAACATCTGTGCAAAAGGTGGGACCTTTGTAACAGAAAAGCCAGAACTCAAACCACAGAGCCACTGTCTGTCTGCTCACCTGCTGACAGGATACAAGCAGATCACGCAGGCTTGGGGCAGGTGGAGTCTGCAGAGCCAGTGGGTTCTGCATCCTATAGCTGTATCCTTGGTGCATGTAACTGCCCTGCTGGATCTGAGGCCTGCAGGTGATCTCCAGTAGGTTCCTGGCTTAATTTGAGTGATCAGATAATTCGTCATTTCCACAAATTTAAAACAAGGAAAGTTTAATCATTCACACACTCATCGACAGAACAGAAGGAAGTGTTCGGTTTATTTTTCCTTGATGTCATAATTTTATCTCCTGCTCCCTCCTTTGTTTCTGACTTCGGGACCAAACTCTGGAATCTTTTATCCTGGAAATGACTGAGACAGAAGGAGTGGGGGTGAGATGCTGAGCTGTTCGGCACTGTCATCATCTCTGATTCCTCCCTCCCTGTGTCTCCACCATCTTGTACCATCTTTTCCTGAGCCAAGCATCAAATCCTGATGCCTCTACCAGATGCTTCTTTGTGTGGGTCAAGTCCCTGATCTCTCGGATCCTCAAGATCCCCACCTGGCACTGAGTCTATGGGACTCCTTTATGGCAGCTCCAGCAAATTAATACAAGGGACAAAGTGGCAAGGGAAAAGGTGGAGAGACTTGGTAGAAGGACAACAGCTTCAAAAGGAGGAGCTTCTCCAAAGTAGTCAGAGGGGAACTTTGAAGATCTTCAGAACTGGATGGAGACAGAGGCAGAGAAGGAACAGATAAACAGACGAAATCCCTTGTTGCCAGACAAAGGAGCTTCTGCCCCATGAGTGGTGGTTCAGGGAAGGCCTGGCATAAAATCCGCATTATGCCCTGCAAACGGGTTCAGCCCCCAGGAAGCACACAGGCTGGCGGGCACCACCAAATCACTTCACTTACTCACACCTGTGATTATTCACAAATTCACCATGTGTCTCCGTTACTCTTTGCCTCTCTCCCCTCAGTTACCCCGTGTTTAAATGTGACCAGGAGAGCTATAGACATAGACCACTTAAGAATGACTCCCCTTGGTCCTCTCATTTACCATAACTTTAAAAAAAATGATTTAGGGGGCTGAGCACGGTGGCTCACTCCTTTAATCCCAGCACTTTGGGAGGCTGAGGCAGGAGGATCACCTGCAGTCAGGAGTTCGAGACCAGCCTGGGGAACATGGCAAAACACCATCTCTACTAAAAATACAAAAATTAGCCAGGTGTGGTGGCGGGCACCTGTAAACCCAGCTACTCAGGAGACTAAGGCAGGAGAATCGCTTGAACCCAGGAGGCAGAGGTTGCAGTGAGCTGAGATTGTGCCACCGCACTCCAGCCTGAGTGACAGATTGAGACTCTGTCTCAAAACAAAAAAGATTTATGGAGTTCAAGTGCAGATTTCTCACATGCATATACTGCATAGTGGTGGAGTCTGGGCTGTTAGTGTAGCCATCGCCCACATAGTGAACATTATACCCAATAGGTAATTTTTCAACCCTTATCCCCTTTACCCCCTCCCACCTTTTGCTGTGTCCGGTGTCTGTTATTCCACTCTGGATGTCCACATGTACCCTTGGTTTAGCTCCCACTTGTAAGTGAAAACATGCAGTATTTGACTTCCTGTTTCTATAAGTGAAAACATGCAGTATTTGAAGTCCTGTTTCTGAATTATTTCACTTAGGGTAATGGCCTACAAAGACTTTTTTACGGCAAAATTGCTTTGGGTGTTGTTACAGGTTGGGCCTCTGGGAAGCAGAATCTGAGACAGAGATTAATAAGCTTATGAGGGTGTTCTCTTGGGATCAACACCCATATAAAGGAAGGCAAGGAGGCAGGAGATGGCAGAGGGAGAACCTGAGGTGCAGTGTGGCCTCCATGGAAGCCTGAGCCAACTCCATGGGGAATTCGTGAGACAGAATGACGCATCAGAGCTATCTGAGTTGGAGTGAGAGGGATAGACCTTTAGACCCCCACAGTGATCAGCCACAATGTTGCCACCCTAGAAAGAGGGTGAGACTTGATAAGGGAGCTCTCTTCAGCCAAGGAAATCCCTACAGCAGGGAGGAGTCTGGGTGATGGATCAGGGCCCAGCATGGGCATACAAAATTTAGGTTGTGCAGGTTTTTCAAGAACCTACCCCTCAATTATGTCAAGGAGTGCCTAGGCTCACCAGGAAGCTGCCAACCCCAATCTCCTGCTTACACTTGCTCCCCTGGTGCTGTACCAGGTGCCTTTGATGGAGTCCTCAGTCATCCATTCTCTCTTGACCCTGTGCTCAGACCAGAGACCTGATTAGTTTAGCCGAAGGAGCTAGAGTTCCATTCTACATCAGATGCATGGGTACTTTCAGAACCTCTACTTATCTGTTTGATTTCCCAAAGTATTAGAATCCCAGGAGTTGACGGGGGAGATAGACGGATGCGGTAATCTGAATGCGATCTGAGCTTTCTTCCCCCAGAGTCAGGTTTCCACGGTGAGAAGCATCTGCAGCTACACCTCTGTGCTGAATCCATTTCACAGCGATGCCGCCGTGAAGAGCAAAGATATGCGTGAGATAGCAGCTGCAGGCACCTCTGTGGCCCCATCACATGACTCTCAGTAACAGGGCACACCTGAGCACATAGTGCCTCACCCTCTGGTCTCCAGAATAAGCCTCCAGCCCAGAAGGGATGGGAGCCCTCTGCTTGGGGATCTCTCAATAGCAGCAGTCCTGCTGAAGGGGGCATAGCTAGGCACAGAACATAAGTCCCTTAATTAGTATTTAGTGGCATAGAAATCCACTCTGTGTCCAGTGCAACTCTGACCCAGGGTGCACGAGTCCTGGTTTCAAGGTCAAACAATGCCATTCATGCGTGTGGGAAGTAACTGCATCTCTGGGCTTGGATTCCCACAGTAAGTGTGCTTCCTTGCCCTCATGCTTCTGCAGTGCTGTCCCCCTGTCCCAAATGGTTGCTCTCCCTTTCCTCTCATTTTCTGTTTCTCACTCTTAGTGTCTCCTCCCTGGATACTTTTTCTAAACACCCAACACAATCAGATGGTCCCTCTTCTGTGCCCCCTAGAATCACACGTATCTTTCTCATAGGACTTCTCTCTGCCTGCATTCCCTGCTGTCCTAAGGGCAAGCACCTCATTCTCCCCATCTCAATGTCCCCAGCACACTACTCAGGGTCTGCAGCAGAGCAAACACTCAGGAGGGGCTTGCTTCATACATCAAAGGACCAGTGCCATGTTGGGAGCAGGGAAACACTGATATCTAGAAGTCTATGATGGCTATGCGAGGTGTACACATTCTCCTTTGGGAAGCTGAGTGAAACAAGTTGAATAGACCTTTCTCCAAAGAAGATACAGCCATGCGCTGTATAATAATGTTTTGGATAATGATGGTCATGTATATAACAGTGATCTCATAAGATTATAAAGGAGCTAAAAAAAACCTTATCAGCTAGTGATGTCATAGCTATTGTAATATCATAGTGCAATTACTTCATTTTAAAAATAAATTTCTATAGAAATTCTATAAAGTCTACAGTAGTAAACAGTAATGTCCTAGGCATTAACACTCACTCACCACTCACTCACTGACTCAGCCAGAGCAACTTCCGGTCCTGCAAGCTCCATTCAGGGTAACAGCTCTATATTCAGGTGTACCATTTTTAATCTTTTGTACCATATTTTTATTGTATCTTTGTTTAGATATGTTTAGATACATAAATATTTACCATTGTGTTGTAATTGCCTACAGCATTCAGTACAGTAAGAAGCTGTAAAGGTTTATAGCCAAGGAGCAGTAGGCTATACCTCATAGCCTATCCCTGTAGTAGGTAATATCATCTGGATTTGGGTAAGTGCATTCTGTGATATTTGCACAGCAGCAAAATTGCCCGACAACACATTTCCCAGAAAGCATCCTCATCTCAAGCAATGCATGACTGTATACAAATGGTCAATAAGCACAGGAAAAGATGTTCAACATCACCAATTGTTAGAGAAATGCAAATCAAAGTCACAATGAGATACTACTTCACATCCATTAGGATGATTATTATTAAAAAAAAAAAAAGAAAATAAATGTCTGCAAGGATGTGGAGAAATTGGAACTTTTGTGCACAGCTGGTGGGAATGTAAAATTGTGCGACCAATGTGGAAAACAGTATGACAATTCCCCAAAAAGTTAAACATAGAATTGCCATACGATACAGCGATCCCAATTCTGGGTATATATCAAAAAGAATTGAGAGCAGGGACTCAAGCAGATATTTTTACACCCATGTTCATAGCAGTATTATTCACAATAACCAAAAGGTGGAAACAACTCAAATATCCATTGATGGATGAATGAATAAAGAAAATGTTTATCCATTCATATATTCAAAATATATCCATACGATGGAATATTATTCAACCTTAAAAAGGAATGAAATACTGACACATGCAACAACATGGGTGAACCTGGAAGACACTGTGCTAAGTGAAATAAGCTAAGCAAAACAAATGTTGTATGAGTCCACTTATGGAAGGTACCTAGAAGAGTAAAATCATGGAGACAGAAAGTAGAACAGGGGTTACCAGGGACAGTGGAGAGTTAATGTTTAATGGGTGCAGAGTTTCAGTTTGGGAAGATGAAAACATCCTGGAGATGGATGGTGGTGACAGATACACAACATTGTGAATGTACTTAATACCACTAAATTTTAAAAGGTCACTTCAAAATGGCTGAAATGGTAAGTTTTGTGTATGTATATTTTATAACAATTAAAAAAGAAGACATAAAGTTAGGCACTTTTCTGGGGTAATAATTATAGCCCAGCCACCCTGTAGCTAGCACTTATGCGTGGGTGAATGGAGGCATTGCTGTTTCCATTTCCAGATGTGGAAGCTGAGAGGCATAAGTATGTGATTTGCCAAAGCCACACATCAATTGAACCTGGGATTGAATCCTGCTCTTTCTGACTCCAAACCTACAAGGGTCCATGTTGCTGACATCAGTGTGGATCACGTCACACCCCCCCGCTGACCCCCTTTCCAGGGAAGGCTTTGGGGCAGTGTCCACTTACCAGCCTCAAAGAAAAGGAAACTGATGAGAAAACTGTTGAGATCCTGTTATTGATCAAAATCCAATATGAGTTTTTTCAGTTCACACTTAGCAAAAGAAAGAAGATATTCCTTTTCCTAAATATTAAATTTTGATGAAGCAAGACAACTGTGCACAGAGAACAGCATGCATTAGCAATTGGAGGCAGAGAAAGCCCAGAGAGGAACATTAGAGCTGCCTTCCAATACATGGAAACTTTCTCCCAACTCAACAGCCAATGGGAAGTTAGGCAGAAGCCCCAGTGGGTGCCCCTGGGCTGGGAGTCTTTCTGGAAGCACAAGCCCAGGAGACTCCATAGACCCTGTTTTGGTGATTGCCAGCCTGCTCGAAGCCAGCTGGGAGGCCTGGGACTCACCAGCAGCTGGCTGTGCAGCAGCGCATGGTGGGTAACAAGTTTCAGTCTTGGCATCCACACTTATGATGAAGTGAGAAAACTAATATCACAGCCATCTTCTTATGATGAGAGGAAAAAGTTGCTCCTGTGCCTCCTGCACCCCAGAATCTCAGCAAGGCCCAAAGAGGAATTAAACAGTCCTGTTAAAAGCAATAGCCAGCTATGATGTCATGCACCTATTGTCCCAGGTACTCGGGAGGCTGAGAAAGGAAGATCACTTAAGCCCAGGAGTTAGAGGCTACAGTGAGCTGTGACAGTGCCACTGCACTCCAGCCTGAGTGACAGAGTGAGACCTTGGCTCTAAAAGTAAATAAGTCAAAATAAATTATGAAATTACGAAAGCAGTAAAAACAGCAGGTAAGCCTCCTAGTGGCATGCAACGCACCAGCCAAGTGTTAGTCCCTTTCAGCCTCTCAACAAACCTGTCCGCAGGCCACTGCATTTGGAATTTGAGACTTGGGGCTCACAGGGGTAAAGGAGCTTATCCAGGGTCACACAATTAGTAGGGTACAGAATGAGGAAGGAAGCCCATGTTTTCCCAGCCTGCAAAATCTCCCTCTTATTATGGCTGGACTTGGCATCTGACTGCACATATTTGGGGTTGAATGACAGCTCTGGAATTTATTAAACTTGTGTTTTGGGGAAAATTTCTATGACTTTCCATCCCTCTTGCTCTAAAAGTGGTCACAGTGGCATCAACCTTTCAGAGTTGCTGCAAGTATGCAAGGTGGTAGGGATGGCTGGGGATAAAAGGAGGAGGTATTATAGGAAAAGGATCCAGACCCAGGTCTGGCCTGGCTGATCTAAGGATTTTGTAAAATGAACTCAATCTTCACAGGCAGAGTGGGCATTTGACCCATAATTTTTGCACGTCTGTTATTTGAACCTCTACGCCTTTCTGTGCATTGCCAATGCTCAATGGCTCTCCATGCCTTTTCTCTACAGGGAAGGAATGGAGTCAGATTTCGAGTCTTCAGACAGGAACTGTTATGACCAGGGAAGATTCAGGACTCACTGGTGCATTCAGTGGATTCAAAGAGATAACAGAAGTACAGCACCTAGGTGGTGTCTGGCATGGAGCAGGTGAATGATACAAATGGGGCGAAAATGAAAATAAATGGAAGATTGGCATGTGGCTGTGTTTTTAGGGAGAGGGGCTGAGCTGTTCTGTTTCCATTTACCAAACCTTTTTAGTGACGGATCTGGAACCCAGGTTGGAGGCTGATTAGCATTTTGTTGGATGCACTTAGTATCTCTTGGCAGGCTCCCTCTACCTACGCAGTTACATGAGCCCAGCACCCAGATTGTGTAAGCTTATGAATCCTTTTCCCTGGAAGATCTGAGAAAGAGAGGCCAATCGTCACCTTCTCAGTTAGAAATAACCCAGAATTGTTTGTCATCTCAACCATTGAAAGTCAGTTTCCTTTAGATTTCCTGTTCATAGACAGTCAGCTGAAAAGCCCTAGAGTTCAACCTCAGCTCCTGCCAAGTTAAATAGGAGTCCTGAGAGAAGCCAGAGGTCTAGGATACTCTTGTGATGGCCTGGAGGAGGCTGTGCCTCCTGCATATGCACCTGCTAGGGAAGCCAGTGCTGGATATGAGAACATCATCCCTTCACTGTGTTGGTCCCTGGCAGTGCAAAGATAAGAACTCAAGTTGTTGTGGGCCCGAAAGAGGCCTGCTGAGCAAATGCAATAGAGGCCCATGTGCATTGGAAGGATGAAGGAGCTCTGAGTCAGACACAGAAGCAAAAAGCCTCCAATAGTATAAGCAGAGACTGGAATGCCAAGGGCATGTGGACTCGGGAGCTGCTAGGGTGGTCTGGTGGGAGCCCTGAGTTGGGGAAGGTGAGGCCAGATTGGCACAAACCTTAAATTTCACACTAAATTTAACTTTTGTTCTAAAGGCAGATAATAGTCACTGAAGATAGTAGAGCCAAGGATGACACGACTGGATTCTTTTGACAATCTGATGAGTCATTTGGCCTGGAGACAGAGAGAGAATTCCAGAGAATGGGTAGGGGGAACAAGTATTTTTACAAAGTTTAAGTCCCTGAGTTTTTGTTTTTGTTTTTGTTTACATGTTTATATGAACCCACATGTTTGTGATATCCTGTCACCTTTGTAAGAAAAAGTATTCTCTGGACCGGATGGTGGCCCAAAATGCCCCACCCTGCAGTCTGTGCCACACACAGCTGTCACACAGTTTCTCTCTCTGCTCAAGGAACCTCTAATAGCTCTCTATTGCCAAAGGATAAATTCCAGCCTCTGCCACTGCCTCACATTCATACATCCCCTTGGCTGTTTTTCATACTTCATTTTTAATCTGAGTGGTCATGAACCTCTGTCCTGTAGGGTCAAATTATGTTCCTTATTCTTCCTGTGACCTGGCCCTGGTTTCTTACCTCCAAGGCACTTCTATTGCTGTTCTCTCTACGTGCAAGGCTCTCTAAACCCACTTTCTCACATCCAAATTTTACCATCCTAGGCCTAGTTCGAATGACACCCCTGTCACAAAGTCTGTCCCAATTTCCCCAGTCAGCAGTGGAATTGGACACCCCCACCATGTCATTGTGCGTTAAAATTACTGAATTATATTAAAATTGCTGAACAGGTTATCAGTCCACTATTAGTCTGTGAATAGCTAGAGGACAATAAGCCATCCTTATCGTCCCTGCTTCATTAACACAGCCTTTTGCATACCAGAGTTTTAATAAACGGTCTTCTTTGAATGCTGCATTCTCAGGCTTTGACTTCATTTCTACTCTTAATTCTATCCTTCTACAATGGCTCACAGTTAGCCATCTTGCTTCTCCCCTAAGAGTAAGTCGCCTTGACTGTTACAGGTCACGAAATACACACATGGTATCCTGAAACCACAGATATGACCAAAATCCACATTTATTGACAATTACAGGCTCATGTAGTCAGTTTCCCTGAAGGTAGTATATTTAATGTGTATCTACAAGTGATTTCATGTAGCTCTCTTTGAATTGTCATGTCAATAAAATCACCCCAAAGTTAGGTTCTTGGATAAATCATGCATTTGATCTTGGTTTTAGATAATGATCATGCGTTCCTGTTTCTCTCCATCAGACTGGACACGTATATGTTTTCAATAAATGTTTTCCGAATTGAGCTGGTTTGGACAGAAATCAAAGGAAAGGAGATTAAACAGCGTTCTGAGCACCAAATTTTAGAGTCCGACTCTGTAGGTAGAAGACCAAGAATGCTCTTGGGAACCAGGAGAAGAATCAGAGCTCTGGGTGATGTGATGCAATGGTGATTTTTATGATAATTCTGATTTAAGGTAAAGAAAAGCGACTTTCTCTCACATGGGAATTCTCACTTCAATCTTCTGTTGCATTTAGCGGGGGACAAAAGGAGATGCAAAAGTGTATGTGTTGCATTGATGAATGTAGCAAGATCTTACTTGGTTATAAAATCCAGAGCATTTTCAATCCTGAAGGTCCAGGCATGGGTGATGGAACATCACTCGCACTCTCTGGGCTCAGTAGTAGGATATAAGGAAGAGAACAGTGCTTTGCAGCCATGACAGTCTGGAGAGGCAGCATGTAAAGAATGGAGAATCTCAGCCCAGCTACTTGCCAGCAAGCTGATACTGAGGGAGTTACTGATGTCTGCTGATTCCAAGGCTAGCCAAAGTGCTCATCTCTCTCCGAACTGCTCCAATCTTAAATTCACAAACTGTGTAAGCAACTCTTCCACTTGGCATCTCAAATCCAAAGATTCTCAAGCCAACCCTTTGATCCCACATTACACCCACTTAAGCCCACTTCTCTCCTAGGTCTCCCAGTTCTAAATGACAATGCCACCCACCATGTTCTTGGGCCCAATTTCGGGATTTAATGTTTATCACTCTTTCTCTGTCCATTCTACCTACTCTATCATACTCCTTAAGACCCTGTTTCATAATAGGTTAAATTGGGTTAACAGCTCCATTCCTGAGATGAGATGAGGATGAGAGATAATATATATAAAATCCCAGGCACGTAGTAAGGGGTCAAATGGTATCTATTTTCAGTATTGTGCCCTGCTCACCAGACAAAAGCTCCCACTTTCCTGATTAGATACATAGGCTCTGAATATGTGCATTAAACAATGAATTAGGCCAATACATGTGCTAGAGTCCAGGTTTGGAGGAGACAAATACCAAAGGCTTCAGGGTGAGTGTTTAAGAGCCTGAGAGTGAGCGTCATGATGCATGAAATGAGAGCTCTCTCATTTTTGCGTGATCCTAAGCAGCCCTTAATAAGCTGTGATCATAATAGATGAATGAAGATTTAACAGAAAGAAGAAGGAAGGAAAGAGAGAAAAGGAAAACAAATGTGCAATTCAATCGAAAGGCATTTTGCTGCAGTTATGCAATTTCAAGTTCAGGATCAGGCATTACACTTATTTTCATCTCTGATAACTAATACATTAGTTTGCTGCTCGATGCAGCTATTATGGGAAAAACAAAATTCAATTCACCTGCATTTGTCACCAGAGTATTGTATCTGCTACACAAAGGCAGGAGATTGAAATGAAAGATGCCTGTTATTGAATTTTAATTTTGAGAAAATGGGACCAATTTCTGGGCCTTGCAGACACAGTCAGCCAGATGGTCTGAGGAAGGCTCAATGCTTAGCCTACACTCCATGTCTATGGCATCAAAACGCATGCTCTGTGTAGGTGCATCCGCACCCTGACCCTGCCTTTTTTCATATTTATACTCATGAACAGCAGACCTTTAGCCTATCTCATTTGTGTGCTTTTGCAGTCGATGTTTACTCAGAATGATCTGAAGAGCCCTCAAAGTCTCAAATAAGACATTTTTCCTTACCATCACAGTGTCTGAAGCCACCCCCCACATGAGAGCTGGCTTTAGGAAAATGCCTACTGCTATGTAGCTCTCTATTCCATACAATATCCGGGGCTGTTGGTTACCTCGTTGGCTTTATTAAAACCAAATACTCTATCAGATGATTTTGCTGCAACACAACAAAGGAAAAGATCACCTTTTCTTTACCTTTTCCTCATAGCAAAGATGAAGCATGCACTAGAAAGAGACACGTCTGTTGATGGTGGCGAACCAATAGAAGAGATGGACGCATATATGGCACATGGCTGTCTTTGATTTTGTCTGGAAATTTTTCAGAAATAACAACTTGGGGTAAAGGAGATCTGAATTCTGATCTTTGCATGGCTTCTGGCTTATCTGGTGGCAGGGAGCAAGCCTAGCTCTTTGTCACTCATACAGTCACAGTGAGAACAGTGACCCCTCCAGGAGCAAGGGGTTGGGCTGGGCAGAGGGGGCAGAATGAAGGAGATGCTATATGCAAAGGGATTAGTGCAGGGTCTAACCAACACTCAGGATCTTGCAGAAAGGGTTCAGTCTTTATAGCCATGACTGGCATTTGGCTCTTAATTTTTGGCTGGCTGTTTTTTGAAATCCTCCACTTGAGGATCTCCTGCTTGAGAAATCCCCCCACTTTTATGAGGCAGAAACAGCCTCTCAATAAAAAATGCAAGGTGCCCCCTTTCCCAGCCTCTCTTGTGTCTAGAGTGGTGGGTGTAACTGGGGCTCTGCCAATGGGTGAACCTGAATGCAGTAGGGAGATGAGGACACAAGGACTCTGGAACTGTGGAGGCTCTACTCTGGCAATGGGTGGCAATTGTATTGGGGCCAGCATTGAGCTTCTGGGGACAGTGGTGGCCAAGAGGGTATCTAGGGTCCAGGGTCAGATGGTGGCAGGAGGGTCCTCCCAAGGTCATGGGCTGATTTTGGAGCATCATTCTGGGCATTACTCTGGGTGTCGCCCAGGCTCCCCCGCTCCTATCCCTCCCTCCCATCCTCTCTCCCTTTCATCCTCCCTTTCTTCTCCCACTTACAAAATATTTTCAAGATACCATCAAGTACTGAGATAATAAAATAGATACCAGGTTCACAACAATCCATGTTGATAAAAATCTTAGCATTTTTCTGTATTTGCTTAAGCTTTGTAGTAAGAAATAAAATATTACAGATAATTTTGAAGCTGCTATGTATCCCTCCTTAATTTTCTTTTCTTTTCTGCCTTCCAGAAGTAACTTCTATGCTGAATGATATTAATTGTGCACAGACATGTTTTTAATATATAAAATTTAATATTGTATATATGTATGTATATACATACACATACGCAAGCACACACACACAAGCACACACATACACACATAATACATGAACGACTTCTGCTCCAGATAATTTGGAAAGCAGATATTCTAAAACTGCTTCCCACCTAGTATAAAACACTTAGAACAAAGAAGGTTTTCAATAAGTAGGTGACCTCATGAACAAGGGAAATCCACAGGAGTTAAGAGCAAAATGAAAGCAGCAAACAAGAGTGGTGAGAAGAACTAAAATCCAGGCTGCCTTGAGGGCACTTGCTACAAAGAAAAAGGAGGAAAAGGAGGAAACAGAAAAAGGACGCCAAGAAGAAAGAAGAGGAGGGAGAGAGGGGAAAAAGGTCAAGGCAGGGAGCCAGGGCCTTGGGCCTATAGAAAACTTAGGCCTCTGCGTAGTAAATTCAAGAATCTTAAGGAGCTGTACCTGGAATGAAAGATTGGGTTAGATGGGAAAAATCCCTGTTCTGGCAAAGGAAAATGATAATGTATTTGTCTCCATTTAGGCTTGCAGGTGTGAGGGGAGGGGCACCCAAAACAAACTCTCTCCCTCAAATATATCTTCCCCAAGAATTTTAACTACTACCTTATTCTAATGCAAGAGTAGGGTTTGAGTGTATTCTACTTATGTGGTACATAAAATTTGAAGCTGAGGAATTAGTGTTCCTAGTTTGACATTGCCTTTGAGTACCTAGCAGAAGAAAACGCAAAACCTTTCCGAAGAAGTGTATTCCAATGAGGTCCCTTAGTCCTAAAATTAAGATCAGTCAAACAAGAGAAAGCTATAAAAACTAACAGCAATGTGAGGAAGTAATATACCATGAAAGAGAGTCAGCAGAAACTGAAAGAAACAGCAGAAATAGACAACTCTTCTCTACCCCAAAGTCCTTAGATATTAAGATGATCAAATGTAGACTATATTTTATATATACATATATGCATACATGCATATGTATCTAATATTTAAAGGAATAGAAAAGGGGAAGTTGAAAATACCTTGGAAAATAACAAAAGACCATAAAAAATGACCACCCAGATGCTTAAGTGAACTAAATAGAAATTCTAGGAATAAAAAATATAACCACTGAAATTTAAAACTCAAGGATTGGGAGTAGATAGCACTATCTATACACCTGAAAGCAATAAGGATAATAGGATATAAACATAAGAAAAATTTATAGCACTATTTTCTACATTTTAATTATCATATAAATTATATCATACTGCATACATCTGCTGTGACTTGCTTTTTTGTTGTTATGAAATGGTATTTGTTACAGTTTATCTATGATGTTATATACCAGGCTTCCACCATGTGTGTAGACCATAAATTACTTATCTATCTTCCTTTTGGTGAATATTGTTTAGGTAGCCACCAGTTTTTGCTGCTATAAACAATGCTGTGATGTCCATTCTTGTTCCAATGGTGCACATACCTAGAAGTGGAATTGCAAAGTTGAAGTATAATCTCCTCTAAATTTGGCCAAATTGCTCTCAAATGTGATTGTACCAATTTATGCTCTAACGGTGCAAGAGGTTTTCCATTGCAGGTCCTCATCCTTGCCAATGTTTGATTTTAGCATCAATAATTATTTTTATTTGCCAATTTGATGGATGTGCAATATCTGTTGAGTGTCTTATCGTGTGTTTATTAGTCTGTTCTCACACTGCTATAAAGACATACCTGAGACTGGGTAATTTATAAAGAAAATAGGTTTTAATTGACTCACAGTTCTACAGTCTGTACAGGAGGCATGGCTGGGGAGGCCTCAGGAAACTTACAATCATAGCGGAAGGCAAAGGGAAAGTGAACATGTCTTCACATGGCAGCAGGAGAGAGAAAAAAAGTGAAGAGAGAGGTGCTACACACTTTCAAACAACCAGATCTCATGAGAACTCTATCACGAGATGGCATTAGGGGGACGATGCTAAACCATTAGAAACCATCCTCATGATCCAATCACCTTCCACCAGGTCCCACCTCCAATATTGGGAATTACAATTCAACATGAGATTTGGGTGGGGACACAGAGCCAAACCATATCAACCTATCCTGAATCCTAGAATTTACTTTCATGAACTGCCTGCATATGTCCTTTGCCTACCATGGTGCAGATTCCTTGTGCTCTCCCATACCCAGTTCTCCTCTCCCCACAGATACAGGTGAGGATTACACTGCTCCAACCCCACTGCACAGCTAATCAAAGGTTCTGTGACTAGTTTTGACTAATGGGTTGTAGGTAGAAGCGAAGCATCTAATTGTCAGTGTAAGAACCTCCAACTCAATCATTCCTTACTGACCCATGGAAGCAACTCTATCTCTAAGCTTCTGAGAAGGACTCATTGTCCTGAAAAGTGGATTTCACAGTGGACTTCACAAGACAAGAAATAAACTTGCGTACTGTTAGTCCACCTCAATTTGTGGGCTCTTTTTTTGAGACAGGGTCTCATTCTGTAGCTTTTTTTCTTATTGATTTGTAGAAATTTTAAATATATACTGGTTATAAGTCTTTTGTTGGTAGCATTTAATACACTACGGAATGTCTTTTAACTTCAATTATGTAAGTTTTGCTTTTACTTCCCAATCCCTCAACATGCCCAATATCTTTAAAAAAAAAAAAAATTCCCTGATTAAATCATCAGGGAATGGTGTCTATTGTTTACAATTAAGAACCCTGGAGGGCTCAGCACCCTTCTCTGTTATGTCAGATATGAGTGAAGGTGATCTGGTTTGGCTGTGTCCCCACCCAAATCTCACCTTGAATTGTAATAATCCCCATGTGTCACGGGCAGGCCCAGGTGAAGATAATTGAATCATGGGGGCAGTTTACCCCATACTGTTCTTGTGGTAGGGAATAAGTCTCACAAGATCTGATGGTTTTATAAATAGGAGTTCCCCTGCAAAATCTCCCTTAACTGCCACCATGTAAGACTTGCCTTTGCTTTTCCTTCGCCTTCTGCCATGAATGTGAAGCCTCACCAGCAATGTGGAACTGTGAGTCTGTTAAACCTCTTTTCTTTATAAATTACCCAGTCTCAGGTATGTCTTTATTAGCAGCATGAGAACAGACTAATACAGATGGATACTTTATTTTGTTTAGGACATGGAGTGACACACATTCGGCCATTCTTCTGAGCTGTGTATGGGAGTATTTCTGGATGAGATTAACATGTACATGGGTACACTGAGTAAAGCAGATTGCCCTTCTTAAGGTGGGTGGGCCCCATTCACTCCAATGAAGACCTGAATACAACCAAAAGGCTGAGTGATGGGGAACTCTGCCTGCCTGACTGCTTGAACTGGGCACTGGTCTTCTCCTGCCTTCAGACTGGAACCTACACCATTGGCTCTCCCTGTTCTTAGGCCTTCACACACTCAGACTGGAACTAAACCACTGGCTTTCAGGTCTCCAGCTTGCAGAACCCTAACTAATATAGATTTTGGTACCAAGAGTAGTTCTAGAGGAACATAATTTAAACATGTGAGTTTCCTGAGTTTGTTCTTGGGTTTCTGGAATTGGTTCTTCAATCTGATTAAAGATGCTAATGACTCTATTTCCAGTAGTAAAGAGAGGACTGATAGTCCATGGCATGCCATGGCACTAGAGATACAGAAAAATACCACCATTAGATGCTCCTAATCAACCATTTGAAAGGCAAAGAGCTGGGTGACTATGTATAGGACACTGTAACATTTTTGGAAAACTAATGAATATCTTGAGATTGGCTGGTTGCTCCTAACATCACTGGACAAAGAGAGGAGAGAAAAAGCTGAACTGAGGGATTTGACGTCTCACCTCAGGAGCTGCATGGATGACAGCCCTGGCTAGCACAGTCTGTGAGAGGTGAGGACAGACAGCAGTTATGAAAATGTCTGGTGGAGGCTCTGGGGTCATGGTGGGAGCAGAGGAGTGGTGGGGATGGGATGTGGCATGGGAGGAAGAAGATATGGCTGTGGAACAAAAATTGGCCAAGGGCCTTGGTATTGCTGGTCCAAAGACCCAGAACCAAAGGCTATCCTCCTCCTTTTTGTTGCAATCTTATATCTTGCTTTATTTCTGATAATTAAATGAAGTAAATTATGTAAAGCCCCTGGGTTCAAGAGAAGAGCATTTTTTTCTCTACTGAGAAAGAAGAAATAAGGATAGGGCAAAAAAGAGGATGAAGTGTCTGAGGTGTGGGTCTGAGGCAGAATCAGAAATGCCTATCTGCTCCAGGGAAGTCATATATTGTATCTGAATGGAAAAAAACATTGTGTTCAAATATTATTGTTGTAAAGTTATATAGGCTCGTCGAAGAAAATGTTCAGTGTAAAGAAAAGGAAATTAGAGATAGAAAAATCATCTACAGACTCAGCACCCAAAGACATTAACTGTTGCTAACATTTCAGGGTGTTACTTTTCAGATAAAGAATGTAACTTTGCCAGATGTGGTGGCTCACATCTGTAAACCCAGCACTTTAGGAGGCTGAGGAGGCAGGATTGCTTGAGCCCAGGGGTTCAAGACCAGCCTGGGCAACAAAGCGAGACCTCATCTCTACAAGAAAACAAAATTAGCTGGACATGGTTGTGCATGCCTATACTCCTAGCCATTCAGGAGGCTGAGGCAGGAGGATTGCTTGAGCCCAGGAGTTCAAGGTTGCAGTCAGCTATGATCACAGCACTGCACTGCAGCCTGGGCAAGAGAGCAAGACCCTCTCTCTCAGGAAAGAAAAGAAAAGAAAAGAAAAGAAAAGAAAAGAAAAGAAAAGAAAAGAAAAGAAAAGAAAAGAAAAGAAAGGAAGGAAGGAAAGAGAGAGGAAGGAAGGAAGGAAGGTAAGAAGGAAGGAAGGAAAGAAAGAAGGAAGGAAGGTAGGGTGGTTTTGGGATGTGAAATGCTGTCAGTCAACAAAGAGCTATGACCACAGGTGTCACTGAGTAGCAGGGGCAGCCCATCCTGCTCCCTAGCTGCACTCACCCTGAAGATCGTCCATTCCCTGGTATGTGGCTGTGGAGCTGGGATACCTCCCCGACAAGCTCCAGATACAGCCTCCTATAACCCCCAGGACTAGGCCCCTAGGCGATCTTTGCAAGTGTGGTGGAGCCTGGCCAATTCCCTCCCTGGAGCTCTCTGAGTTCTCAGGCCCTACAACATGCTGAGCTTCTGTTCCATCTCACATTTCTGCCCTAAACACCCTGGCTCCATGCTTCAAAATGAAGAGTTTGTTTAGCACGGTTTGCTCCCTTGTAAGGAGGCCAGGTGTGGAGCAGGGCCAGGTGGCAGGGAGGTGTGGTTATAAACAGCGTGGGGGTCATGTCACTAGGGTGGGCCTCATCTCCTCCCACCCATCTCCCAGCCCTGCATGCTGGGCAAGATCACCGGTGGCTGGTGCCTCTGTGTGTCACCCAGAGCCAACACGGTCCCTACCAGCCTCTGCTCTTACCTGCAGCTGCTGGTCTCCCTGGCAGGAGGAAAGCCAGATGTCCAGCTCTTGCCTCCAAGAACTCACTGCTGATTGGAAGGGACATCGATGGGGGCAGATGATGGGTTTGGAATGAGAAACTCACTCCCAGCTCGGTCATGGTCACATCAGTGGCCCTTTTCCTGGTTCGAGGTCAGCGCTCAATAAATCTTGGTTTCATTGTTTGATTAATGGGCAGAGAGAAGGGTAGCCCATTCTCCCCTGGCCCCAGAGGACTCAGACTATCTTTCTCTCCATGAAATTCCAATTACAAGGAAACAGCTGGTAATAAAAACAGTTGACCACAGGACCTTCAACAAGCCTCTGCCTCTCTCTGGGTCCCATCTGAGAAACAGGGAGGAGGTGTTGTACTGAAGAACTAGGTCTCTGTTAGCATTATCACCAAGGGTTCAACATAGCATAAGGAATGAGTATTTGCCCATGATCTAGGTTTGAATCCTGACTACCTCGTGTGACTTGAGGCCAGAGACCTGACTTTCCATACATGTAACTTACAAAATTAGGACAAGAGGTTCTACTTCACAGAGTGACATGGTGAAACTGAATAAGGGCTCTGGATGGAGAGAAACGCGGCCACACCTGAACATGAAACCATTTTCTCCCTTCCTAGGAGAGGGCTTGAGCTCTTCCCATTATACACATACACTTAGGCTGTGCACCTAACTGGAGTCCAACATCTATGTCCAGTGGTAATGAGTTATAGAAGTTTCCAGAAGCCTTGACCTTCAGGCCCATCTGCAGACTTTTACATAGAGAGCTGGGCTGGGCTGGGCTGTGGCCAGGCTGGCCCTGCTGGTGTCCTGGCCATAGCAGGGCTATGAGCAGCACTCTCCAGTAGAAACAGAAGGTGAGCTGTGTTTGTAATTTTAAAAGTTCTAGTAGTTGGCTCACACCTGTAATCCCAGCACTTTGGGAGGCCAACGCAGATGGATCACTTGAACTCAGGAGTTCAGCACCAGTCTGGCCAACATGTTGAAACCCTGTCTCTACTAAAAATTAGCTGGGCGTGGTAGTGCATGCCTATAATCCCAGCTACTCGGGAGGCTGAGACAGGAGAATCGTTTGAACCCAGGCGGTGGAGGTTGCAGTGAGCCAAGATTGTGCCACTGCAGTCCAGCCTGGGTGACAAAGCGAGATTCTGTCTCAAAAAAAAAAAGAAAGGAATGTTCCAGTAGTTAAATGTTTTAAAGTAAAAAAAAAAGAATGAGTGCAATTAATTGCAATCAATGTTAACATATCCTAGTTAACCCAATGTATCAAAAATATTATGATTTCAAGACATAATGCATATCAAAAATGTAAATGAGACTTTTTTCTGTCTTCTTTTTTTCATTCTAAGTTTTCAAAATCCAGAAGTGCTTTTACAATTACAGAATATCTCAATTCAGGTGGTAAATTTTTATTGGGAATACCTGATCTATCTTTAGATTTCATTTCCCTCCTAGCCCATTTATGTAATGACTTCCCAGAACTCAGGAGACCAACCCCACTGTTGAGGATGCTGAGGACAGAGTGGAATAATGACTGTCCTCCCACCTTCCCGGGAGCATTGTTAGTCTTGGCCACCAAGTCCCACCTCTGAACCTTTGCTTGTCCTGTGCCTCCTGCCAGGAGCACCCTCCTACCGCTGCCACCTACCCAAAGCTCACAAGTCCTTGGCCTCTAAGTGCTATGGTTTCTTCCTCTAAGGCATCCTCCTCATTCACTTGGTCTTCACCCACTGCTCTCCCGCATGGATCACTTATTCAGCCCTGACAATGACTCGACTCCTATCTTCATCACTGAATTTTTCCTTTCCAACTAAATGTGCTGAAAATCAGGACCTGTTTAGTGCTTCCATCTCCCAAGGGGCCTACAACACCTCAGATTCTCAACAAGGCCTCCGACGTGCCTGACATGGAGCAAAGACCCAATGGGAAACAACTGAGACTCAGTGTCTAGTCTCCAGGGGACCGAATCCTAGCCAAGTGTCTTGCCCATGAGAACACAGATATTAATAACAACTCACTTTTATAGCACTTGAAGGTTTAAAAAGCACTTCCGTGTGTCAGTTTTGATAACAATCTCCCTGGCAATAGTAACTCCTCACCTCCTCAGAGAGCCTTCCTCAAGGAAGCCCCACCTGGCTAACATCTCCTCTCCAATATGGTTTTTCTCAGACCTTTATTTTTCTCTCCCACAGCAGTACCATGCTTTTGCATTATCTTTTCCGTGCACTTGTTTTGTCTGTCTCTCCCACTGGAATCTTATGAGGTCAGGGCATGCCTGTATTTTCCTCTATGAACACTGTGTGCATCCATAGAAAGCACCCAGTACATTTATAAAAGATGAATGAATCAGTTCATTAATACGTGCCAAGCTTGGTGCAAGGCTTTTTCTATTTTTTAATATCTTTTTAGAGGCATGGTCTCATGCTGTTGCTCAGGATGGAGTTCAATGTCATGATCACGGCTCATTGCAGCCTACACCTCCCCAGCTCAAGCAATCCTCCCGCCTTAGCCTCCTCAGTAGCTGGGACCATAGGTGCATGCCACCATGCCTGGCTAACTTTTAATTGTTTTTATTTTTTGTAGAGATAGAGTCTCCCTATGTTTCCCAGGCTGGTCTCAAACTCCTGGGCTCAAGCAATCCTCCCACCTCATCCTCCCAAAGTGCTAGAATTACAGGTGTGAGTCACCACACACAGCCAAAGTATTTTCTATATCACCACCCTCCAATGTGAATAGAATGTGGGCCATGTCTATAATGTTAAATTTTGTGCTAGTTACACTTTTAAAAAGGTAAAAAGAAATAGGTACAATTAGTGTCACTATTTTATTGAACCAGATATATTCAAAATATTATTTCAATATGTGATAAGTATAATTATATAATTGAGTTCTTTCCTAATCTTAATTTTTTCATCCTAAATTTTTGAAATCTGGAAAATGCTTTAGAATTACAACATCTCAATTTGGATGACAAATCTTTATCGTAAATACCTCATCTTTATTAAGACCTCATAAATTTATAGTTGAATAAGCAGATTCACATATCCAAGTCGTTCCAAATGCAGAAGTTTTCTAATAACTGAATCAAGTAAGAATTTTTAAATGTAAGTTAATTCCAATTAAATAAAGTGGCAAATTTGGCCTCTCAGTCTCACTAGCCACATTCTCAGGGACCCATAGCTCTCTCATGGGGTAGCTTGAGTCTAGACGATGCTGTTCAGCCTGAATCAGATTGTTTGGGTGCTGCACTCATAATTCTCCACTGACTCCCCCTTACATTCAAGGTAAAAGCCAAAATCCCCCCAGGGCCCAGGGTGCCTCTCACATCTGCCCCTGCTCACCCTTCTCTCATTTCCTGCCTCCCTCCCCATCAGTGACTCCCCACCCAGCCACCATGGCCCCGTCCTGGTTTCTCAGACTCCCCAGGCCCACTGGCACCTCGAGTCCTTTTCCCCTCCTCTTCCCTGCCTGCCTGCTCTCTCTCACCCCAACATCACCATGAGTTGCTCTGTGATTTTCTCCAGATCTTCACTCCAATGTCACCTTCTTGGTCAGTCTTTCCTGGCCACTCTTCTTTAAATAGGTGACCCCCACCTTGTACTGAACTCGAAATCCTCCTTCTCTGATTTATTTCACTTCTTGGCAATCAGGTATCGCTGTATTAGTCAGGGTTCTCTAGAGGGACAGAACTAATAGGATATATACATATGTATACATATACACACACACATACACATATATACATATATATATATGGAATTTATTAAGTATTAACTTACACAATCACAAGGTCCCACAATAGGCCATCTGCAAGCTGAGGAGCAAGGAGAACCAGTCCGAGTCCCAAAACTGAAGAACTTGGTGTCCAATGTTTGAGGTCGGGAAGGATCCAGCATGAGAGAAAGATGTAGGCTGGAAGACTAGGCTAGTCTCCCTGCTTTTCATGTTTTTCTGCTTGCTTTATATTCTCTGGCAGCTGATTAGATTGTGCCCACCAGATTAAGGGTGGGTCTGCCTTCCTCAGCCCACTGACTCAAATGTGAATTTCCTTTGGCAACACCCTCACAGACACACCCAGGATCAATACTTTGTATCCTTTAATCCAATTAAGTTGATGCTCAGTATTGACAATCACAATCACTATCTAACAATCTGTATTTTACTCTTCCGATATTTTAACTACCTCACCTCCTCATCCAATAAAATGTAAACTCTACGAGGACTAAATGTTTGTCCTTTGTGTTCACTGCCGGATCCCCAGCCCTCAGCACTTCATTCGTTGAGTGGACAGATATTAATGCCACATGGTGACATTATTGTCTCCATCTTACACATACAGAAGATGGATCCAGGTGGTGCAAAGATGTGCCCAAAGGAAAATAAATAGAAAAAGTCAAAATGACTAGTTGCAGAAGGTTTTACTGCGAATTCCATGTAGTTCCCATCGTGCATACTGCCTTCAAAAATGGCAGCTTTTCATATACTTTCAGGGAGAGATTAGAATCCTATAGAACTCCTGACAAATGCAAATGTTTCAAATATCAGGTCAACCAGCCAATCAACAACTGTGGTATCCATGTGGAGGCCAAAGTAATTCCCTGGGTCTTGCACATCCCACGCATGCACTTTGCAATCATGAAGGTGAGGGCTTTGCTCTGAGTGCCATGTGTATGTCCCCACTGCTGTCCCTCCTGGATGCCACCTGCAGCAGATATGGTACTGGGCAACTGCACCACCCACACTCCCCCTCAACTATGTCTACCCCCAACCCCATATTTGTAGCCACACATTTAAATTTGTAAATATGGGTGCGAATGGCAAATTTTTTTTCTATGATAGCAACAATCAAAAGACAGTTTAAATGAAATAATTACTACAAATTATCAAATGTCATGAAATAATTACTATAAATTATCAAATGCCAGCTTTCTAAATACACATGATCAAATTTGATCCCTAAACAACGCTATGAACTCAACATTATCATCATGCCCATTTGACAGATAAGGAAATTGAGACTCAGGAAAGTGATTGGGCCATGCCACATCATCACTAAAGGACAGAGCCAAGATTTAAAGCCAGGCCCATCTGTCTGTAACCTTGTCAATAGTAAACTGCTTCCATATGCCTGTTAGCTCTTAGAAACCCCTCGCTAGGACATCTCCTGGAAACAGCAAAATAAAATTAGTCCAACAAGCCAAGTTAAAACCCATTCATTTCCCAAATAAACTCACAAATTCATTTGCAAATATGTAGAATCTTATAGCAATTACATTGCCTCAAATTTGCTTAATGGAATGACAACTCAGCAAAGCAGAAATGTAGCTCGAAGAACATTTTATTAACATTTTTCTCTATATAAATCCACCCAGTGCGTCAAGTTAACGGTAACAAATCATTAGTGAAAAAGCATCTTCCTGAATCTGCACATTTTGATCCTGACCTTGGGATCTATAAAGTCTGGCACAGATGCATTGCCTTAGCTTCCCTCTGCATCAGGTGTGACAACCTGAGGGAGAATAATTCAGCCCAAGCACTGTATGGACAATCATTTGTTTTTAAGTGACATGCATATTTCATATTCTCAGTGCACAATCGACCTGCTTAAGTACTGCCATTAATATTCACAATGTGGCTGTTACAAAGAGAAGCATGTTGAGAGAGCCATTCACATTTCAAGTTTTTCAAGGAAAAAAACTAGACATTGCTTAGTAAAGACCCTATTGGTAACACATAACAGGGCCTCCTTCAAATAGGCTGGAGGAGGGGAAAGAAAAATCACTGTGATGACATACTCCTAACTCTGTGACAGGCTGATAGCCAGACCTCAGCTAGTGCTGAAATGAGAAATCTGTGAGAAATTAGGAACCCAGGGGGTTAGGAATACCTCTCCATCTTTGCTTTTTTCTAAATACAGACAGTTCCCAGCTTATGATGGTTTGACTTAAGATGGTTGCAAAGGCAATACACATTTGGTAGAAACCATATTTCAGGTACCCATGCAACCATTCTGTTTTTCACTTTTAGTATAGTTTTCAATAAATTACATGAGCTATTCAATATTTTATTATAAAATAGGCTTTGTGTTAAATAGATGATTTTGCCCAAATGTAAGCTAATCTAAGTGTTCTGAGCACACTGAAGGCACGCTAAGTTATGATGTTCAGTAGGTTAGGTGTATTAAATGTATTTGTGACTTAGAATATTTTCAACATCATGCAACTCTATGATGGGTTTATTGGGACATCGAGGAACATCTGTAGCCCAATGCCCTTCACTTCTCTCCCTCTCTTTCTACAGAACTGCTTCCATCGCTCCCATTTACTCATACACAAAACGGCCACCAGAGCTCTGCAGTTTATGATTCTGCAGTTTGAATAAACTTCTAACAATTCCTAAGTTCGAATCCTCAGAGAATGAGTCAGGTCGGCTCAGTTTTCTTCATGTGAATTTAAATGGTCCCAGGAGATAGTATCACAGAGAACACCTGTAGAGTATGGTCAGTATAAGAGACATGTTTACACCATAGATGGATTGGCACCTGAAAAGGTATCTACTATCAGTGTGACTGCATTCAGAAAATTCTTAGTCAACAACTGTTTTCACAAAATGCATTCTATTTCTCAGTACTCATTTACTCAAGAAACACTTACTGAATGCACACTAAGTGCCCTGCTGACAGCCCTGCCCAAAGGAACATGCAATCTACAAGGAGAGACAAGCAGGAAACTCTAAGGTTGTGTGAAAGTTAATATAATAGGAAAAAGCATGGGATGTCATAGGGTGAATGTATAACTCAGCCCAAGGGAGGGTGGGGTGGGATGAGGTATGGTGGGGATAGGATAAGATTTCCCAGAGGAGAGAAGACTGACCTGAGATTCAAAGGATGAATAAGAATTAACCAGGGCTATGAAAGAACAGGATGGTTGACTTTAGATAAAGGAAAGCAGGTACATAGGAACCAAATTGTCAAGAAGCAAGGACCTGGGAGAAATGTAGAGACTTGTGCTGAAGAAATAAGCAGGGGTCAGATTATGAAGAAACTTGTCTACCAGACTAAGGGACTTGGAAATACTTGAAAAATTCTAAACTGCAACTCAGTGGAACCAAAGATAGTCTGCCAAGAAAGCAAGTTTGGTAAATGTTGATTTTATATCACTCTTGTGATAAGATTCACAATTTGCATCAGCATATTAAAGGCTCTGAGAAATCCTGTAACAAACACACAAAAATACCTGGTTAACCATGTTTAACCCAGGGTTTCCCAAATGTGTTAAACTATATTCTCATTCCTAGCCCACACCCTGTGGAACACTCACTCATTAATCCAGTCTGAGAAATTTTGCTTTGAGGCAATGGGGAGCCTATTGGAAGGTTTTAAAAAGCATGGTGAAATGATTTAGTTTGTACTTTAGAAATGGCCTACTGCCTGCTACAGAGAATGGAATAGAGGAGTGTATGCCAAAATGCTAGGAGACTTGTTAGGGGCTGTTGTAATTATCCAGGGGAGAAATGATACGGGTCTGAACTAAGGCAGTGGCATTAGGGATGCTGTGGCTGGGAACAGTCATGGTTGCCTAAGATCGTAATACAAATGGCTGCTCCATGGCAGGCCCCATTTAGGAAGATAAAAAATGAGCATGAGACTGAACTTTATTATAAGAGCCAAGAATGGAAGCACTAGCAGGGGGCAGGGCAATTACCAAACAGTGACTGTAACTCTCCAGCTTATAAAGGATCTGGCATTTCAGAAAGGACAATGCCCCCTTTGCTATAGAACTATACAGTTTGCCCTCCTGGAAGGCCTGCCTGAGCCAGGATTGCTGGCCTGGTTTGCAGATGAATCCAGTTCAACAGGGATGTTGGTTCTCTTCTTAAAGTGGAAGGCTATAGTGAGCAAAAAGGGAATCTGAATGCCAAGTGACAGAATTGACCCCTTCTTCTTCATAGACATTTTAATTAAGCATCTACTATGTGCTAGGATGGTACTTTAAAATTTTCCTGGTACTTTAAAATTTTCCTGGTGCTTTAAATTTTTCAGGTCTGATATATTGGTCATCTCTTGCTGTTTAACAAACCATCCCAAAACTTAGCGCTTTGAAACTACAAAGATTTATTATTTCTCATGATTCTATGGGTTGACTGGGCTCATTAAATGATTCTTTTCTTTGCATGGAGTCCACAAAAATTACTAACAGAGCTGTGATTTTCTGGAGGCTTCAAAGGGGCTGGTAATCCTAAACGATCTCTCCATATTGTGAGCGGGGACCTCATCAGGGCTCTTTTCTGGGAAGCCTCAATTCTCTTCTCTGTGGCCTCTCTGATAGTGGCAGGAGGCAGACAAATGCATAGGCAGATAGGGGCGTGTCCCTGGTGAAACCCCATCTCCAAGCCAAAGACAGTTTAAGCCTAACTACAAGTCAAATCCACAGACCAGACTGAGAATCTATCTTCCTGTTGGGCATGCTTTCCTCTGATTGATCCTCACCCTTCACCTATTTTACATATACCTACCCTTCCCTAATTGGTTTATTTACACTGTCATGCCCACATTTGAGTGGTGCCTTTGTTTTAACCATTTTTGCATATTCACAAACCAATCAGCATGCACTCCCCTATTCTGAGTCCATAAAAGCCTCAGATTCAGCTACACTGGAAGAGAAACCACCCAACTTCAGGTGGGGGACTACCCCCACATCCCCTCTCTGCTGAGAGCTGTTCCATCACTCAATAAAATTCTTCTCTGCTCTCCTCACCCTTCAATTGTCAGCATATCCTCATTCTTCTTGGACGCGGGACAAGAACTCAGGAACCACTGAACACAGGTATGAGCTATAACACAGGTGAGCTAGAGCATGCCCAGCCCAGCTTCGGGCTAAGCCAGTTCACAATTCAGGTGCAGCCCAGGTGGGCTGGGTGGGCAGGCCACCTCCTGCAACAGGTAGCATGCTCAAGTGAGGCCTGGGCAGGGTCATTGCTGGCTGGAGGTCCCCAGCTGGCAAAGGGATCAAGAAAAATCCTGCATCATCTCCATGCAGCTAGCTTGGGTGTCTTGATAGCATGGTGACTAGCTTCTAACAGGACAAACCTTAACTCACAAGTACTTATGAAGTTCTTATTTCAAGCTTGCCAATGACCCATTGGCCAAAACACATCACATCACATAGCCAAGTCTAGTGCCTATGTGAAATGGGACTACACAAAACTGTGAATACTGGGAGGTGGTTGATTGGAGCTAACAAGGTAACAATCTAGCACATTTTAATTATAAAATGTATGTAGTACACATAATAAATATTTTGATGTATTTATTTATCTATCTTCATTGTTGTAATATAAAATAAGGTCTTATTGGAAATGAGTTATCAAAAGAAACCAACATCAAATGTACACACATTGGAAAACAATTTGTGAATAATTTTAAAAAGCAAAGATTTGGGGGCCGGTGGGCCAAGGTTCATTTGAAGGCTTATGATAACTTTTGTTAGATATGTGATTTAGTAAAATATTGTCACCTGTTTCCTCAAGGTACTAAAACCTGCCTTGCAGAACTATTAGGAAGATTTTCAAAAGTAGACATGTATATATATATGTGTGTGTATATATGTATATATGTATATATATGCATATATGTACATATATGTGTATATGTGCATATATGTATATATGTATGCATATATATGTATATATGTATATATGTACATATATACAGATATATATGTATATATATCTGTATACAGATATGTATATATGTATATATGTGTATATATGTATATATGTATACATATATATCTGTATACAGATATATACATATATCTACTTTTATAGATATAGATGTGTGTGTAAATTTTATATAAAGTATTTAAAATAAAAATTAAAATATTTTTATATATGTACATAAAGGTATATATACACATATACATATGTAGATATACACATATACATATACACATACATATGTACATGCATATACACCTATATAAGTGTACATACACATTTATGTACATATACATATTTACATATACATATGTGTATTCATGCATCTATATATTTACATAAATGTATACATACATACGCACATGCATGTATACATACATATATAGCATGTATAAAATAAATTTAATTTCACTAATATAACACAGCAAACATGTTCATGTCTTTATTCTTTTCTTCACGGCTGTAAGTAAATATATCATTTTGAATCATTTTAATCAAAGTATACATAAAATTGTGTTTTACCATTACACTTATTATTTTCAATCACTAAATGTTTCTACCTGGGATTTGTCTTTAGCCTTCTTAATTGCTGTGAGATATTCCATTACATTGTTGCACTGTAATTTATGTAACCTTGCTCCCATTCATGTGCATTTAGGTTACTTTTTGTTTTCACCTTTGTAAATTACACTGATGCCTATATTTAACTTGTTCCTCTCTAAAAATCATTCTCCTGTAGTAATTCTTAGAACTGCTGTGCGGTGGTAAAAGTATATGAAAATATTTATGACTCCTGGTAAGCATTGCTAAACAGGCCTCCAAAATAAGTGTGCCTGTTCCATCACAAATGTCACCAACACTGGGTTCTTATAATGCCTTTGTTTTAATTTTTGTTTGGCAGGAATAAAATATAGGCTCTGCCTTCCATCTATGTCTCAAGTTGTCTGTACTATACCATGCAGCTACAATTTATCCAGTGCTTGCTTTATGTGTTCAATGTGACAAATTTTTTTTTTCAGAGATTTTTAGAGATGTGCAAAGTTTTTATTATCATTTCCATTTTGAATGTTAAGGAAGCCGATGCTCAGAGACTCTGAGTAGTGAAGGAGTCTGGGCAAGTCTGGAGTAGATTTAAAATAAAGATACTAATGTTTTAAACAGAGAAGCACACATTTTCCCCTTTACAGTTCACACCCTGAGAAGTTAATAATTGTATTAATTTAGAAAGAAAATACTTAGAGAAGGTAATCATGCATAAGGCACTGGAGTAGTTGCTTGGGTAATTGAAAAAGAGTAACATAGTCCTTTGGCGGGAGTGGGATAATTTATGTGCACAACACATACTTGCTCACATTCATTGCAACAAGATGGTAATTCCTATTAACATCTCTGAGACTTATGTAGGAATCCAAAATATTAACTGACCTTGTGCTATGTGCAAGCCACTGTTTTCCATGGTAGGAATGTTCAAGGTGGATAAGATGCCCTCCCTAGAAGAGGATGTAGGAAGGAAAGAGCAATACTATGTGCCTAGCATCATGTCAGGCCAGGAGCTTTCCTGAAGCCCTCTGTCCGTGAAAAACAGAAATCCAGGTAAATTCACATCAGAAGGATCCACAGACCCATGGGCTTATATCTAGCTGGAGGTAATGGAGTCAGTTCTTGGAATAAGAGAGCCTTGAGCTGGTCTTTAAGCAAGAGGAAGCACCTGGCTTTGCAGAGATGAGGGATAAGAGCAGACATCAAGCTGGGGAGGTGCAGAAGCCCAGGTATTAGTTTTGCAAGGAGCTTCCAGAATTTCCACTCTGGACATGCCTCTCTTCCTAAAGCAGATGCAGTCAGTTTTCCATAATGCCAGTCACCTAGCCAGCACCATGCCAGCTCTCAGGGCAATGCTGAATTAAGTGCTGTTGTCTGGGCCTCCAAGGAGCTTAACTGATGCAGAAGAACTAATTGGGGAAGAAGATAAAGCAGGATACAATTAAGTGCTAATTGGATGGGCCTGACTCTCAGTCAGCTTTCCCAAACTTGCCAGATGATAAAAAACCCCTGAGGCTCTTAGCTAGAGATTCCCAGGCCCACCCCCTCCAGCCCCCACCCCCACACCCGGAGATTTCCATTCCCATTCTGTAGGTCTGGGGAGGCGGTTGGCTTCCCAGGAGCCTCAGGGAGCCACATCTTCAGTTATGGGACTACGTGCACCTCTGAAGGCAACGGTTCTCAAATGGCTACAGGACCAGCCATAAAACCATAGTCACCAGGGACCGTTGGTGAACCACACACAGATGTTTGTTCCCCACCCCAGAACGTCTGCCAAACAGTCCCTGGTAATGTACATGCACCCTGAAGTTTGAGAACTACTGCTCTCAACATCTGGTGTGCTCCTGGGAAAGCAAGCACACCAAGGCAGAGTAGAATAGACACAGCTGTGGGGGCTCCAGCTCCTTCCTCCTGGGGCAATACCCGGCCTCTCTGAACCTGTTATCTCATCGATAAAATGGAGGAAATGATTCCAACCTTACAGAGTTGCTGGAATGTAGACTAAAATGATGAATGTTTAAGTTCTAATATTGTGCAAATACTCAGGTACCGGAGGGCATGAGTAGATAGAGGAGAGCTTCCTGAAAGGGGGGGCTTGAGATGGTCTTGAAGGTGTGTAATATTTTAGCAAGAAAAAGGGGGTACATGGGGCATTCCCCAGGCAGGGAGTGCAGGGAGCCACAGCTGAAGCAAAGATCTGGGATTAGAAATGAGCAGAGGATGTTCCAGGCATAGGGAAGGAAAAAAGAATGTTTGAAGTAGTAAGAAATGAAACAGGATCATGAAGATGAGACCAGGAAAACTGATGTTGGTGGTGGTGGTGGTGGTGATGATGATGATCATGACAGTAATTCCCAAAGACCCAACACATTATGATGATTATAATGGTGATTCCCAAAGACCCAACATGTTATGAACAGAAAATTAGGATACTGGAAAAGAGCCGTGTTGCATAGCATCTTGCTAAGGCCCATGGAGATGTGCTGTGGATGCTGCAGGTGGAAGTTCTTGCTACGTGCCAGTATTATCTCCAAGGACAG
Organism: Homo sapiens; assembly: GCF_000001405.40. Classification (NCBI taxonomy): domain Eukaryota; kingdom Metazoa; phylum Chordata; class Mammalia; order Primates; family Hominidae; genus Homo; species Homo sapiens. The sequence goes on from NC_000016.10 coordinate 65,868,588, forward strand.
GCAGCCAAGCCCAGAGGAGACAGCTATTTGACTGATCCTTTCCTTCTTGGTTTCAGTTCAGGTTGGCTACATGTGTTCATCTTTCTTGAACTGTGCTTTCTTCTTAGGTTCAAATGACAGCCCAAGGAAGCATTCACTGGGAAGTCTGCAAGCCCATGTTCCTAAGAGTGCTCACCTATCAGCCTCCTTGGGGCTGTACCCACCTGAGCAGAAGCTTTCTTGCCCACTTGATTTCATACAAGATGTAAGCCTGTCACTTACATGGTGCCTTTCTGCTTACCAACTAAAGCCTCCCTTTTATCATCTTCTTCATCAGTCTGGGGACAAGAATGTGGATGGTGGCTATTTTGTCCTCTTCTTGACAGAGGTAGAGACAGAAGGTGCTTGGAGGAAATGACTCCAAGACACAGCAAGAAACTGAATCACAGAAATCTTGTTAGAATTCAAGTCTTTAGTTCCGAATGGCCCCAAAGCCAGCTTCAGTATCTGCCCAGCCTGTGATTTTTAAAAATCCCCTAGACTCTGAGCTCCATGAGGGCAGAGATTTCCAACAATTTTGACAACTGCTGTGGCCCCAGCATGTAAAGTGATTTCAAGCACATAATAGGCACTCAATCAATTTTATTTATTCTCTGTTACTTTCCAGCAAAGTGACCTTATACTGAGTCCCACCAGCAGTATTCCCTGTATTCTTTGTCAGGAGTATTTTTCTATCAGTTCCAAGGGCTAGAAATAATGTTTCCACCCTCACTTTGTACCTGTGTGGCTTAGAGGCATTCTACACATTAATATGGCCAGGAAGTCCCTCATCGTCTGCCACCTCATCTCTGTGTGAAGCCAGTCCACACTGCCAGAAATAACATTCAAGTTCCTCTGTGATGGCATTGGACTGAGAAACCCTGGAAGGGGCCCATCCTGCCCTGTGCATCCCATCTGCCTTCCTGGGCTTTGAAAGAGCTCCATTCAGATGGGAAATTGGGAGACTGGGAACTCTATTTCATGTTATTAATATCGAAGCTACACTCAATAACCCCGACCCTGGCTTCTGGTTTGCGCATGTTTGCTTTTTAATATATTTTTGCACAACTGGCTTTAAAACAAATGGGTTTGGGTTTGACAATGAACCTAATCTCAGCACAAGAACTCAGGAATGTCTGCAGGCTGTTTCAGGAGAGAGAGAGAAAGACGGAGCTGTATCTATGGGCAATCCCAGCCTGCCTTTTGTTACTTCCTGATTTTAGAAAGGAAGAGACGGTCCTAGCAGGTACTGCCTCTTTGATGCCCAGAGGAGAGACAGAGTGAAGCCAGGTTCCTGCTCTTGGGCACCACTTCCCTGACCATTGAGCAAACACCATTCTTGCAGTCAGCATGGGATGAGCGGAGATGGGCTTGGCACGAGAAGAGGAGCTCAGAGGTCCCTTCCCTAGTGCAGGAGCCTCACTGAACCAGGGATCTCTAGGCTCTGCCCCAACCAACACAGGCTGGCTCATGTAGAGGCTTCATCCCTCTCCCTAGACCTAGCAGAACTGACACTTAGAACTCATTACATGAATTCTGGGAAGAACTGAGAGCAGTTAAGGAACTTCATTTTAAACATGAATAACCTGGAATAGAGAGGTAAAGGGATTCCTCCAAGGGCTCACAGCCAGGGCCCCAGCTCACAACCTAGAGCCAACAGCACAGCGCCAGTGTCTCTTTCCACAGAATGCAGTTATTAAAGCCCCTGTTAAGGTGTTATCAGGGAAAATGGAACACAATGATGTTGGAAATTAGGCATGTATTTCATATTTTGAAAAGGGCAGGTGAACTTTGCCAGCTTGCAGCACCCTAGAGAGCACTGAGGGGAAATCCACGTGTCCTCCCAGCAAGGAGAATGCAGTGGTTCCCAAGGACAGAAGCTTGGCCCTCCCTGAAGGGAAAGGCCATTTCCCATTAATACCAGATTGGAGCTTTGATGACGTGCTCATCAGGATCTGATAAGCTTATAGCCTTGAGAGACTTCCTGAAAGGAGGGGTTTAATTAAAAGAGGCAATGCACAGAATTCAAGAGGCTGTGTTGTACACTGAGTTTGAAGGGTCCCCCTGTGTGTTCTCAGGAGAAGCTGGTTTCCTGGTGGTGGAAGCTGACACAGAGGGAGAGGGAAAGGAGGGAGGGAGGAGGAAAGGGACAAAAAGGGACAGAGGAAGGGAGAGAAGAGGAGAGGAGAAGAGGAGAAAGGAGAAGTGAGGAGGGAGGGACAGGAGAGGGGAAGAGAAAAGCATTCAGGTCCATATTCTTTCCGAGCCAAAGCCCCGTTGAGAATTTACTTCCTGCTAAAGGTGAAGAGCCAGTAAACAAAATTTTCTTTTCTAGAATCATCGATTCACTTAACATGCAACTACTGAGTGCCCACTGCATACTTGACCTGGTGCTGGGCTTTAAGGATACAGGAGGGTTAAGATGACCATGCACAGATCTATCTTTCTCAGACTCCCTTGCCGCCGGAGGTCCAGATGCGACTTTCTTTTTTCTGCTCGTCACATGCATGGAGCCGGAATTAAGCCAGGGGATAGGCAGGCTGCAGGGCAGCATCAACATTGCTGGTGTGGACCAGGACCAAGGTGGCTGCAGAGGCTCCATCAGTAGGGATGACTTCCTGACTCCACGGGCAGCTTCCCACATCCACAGTTTTCTGACTCTGGCAGAGGCAGCAGAATCACTGGGGCATCAGTTCTGGAGTAGGCAACAGACATTGTCAGCATCCTATCAGTCGCATCGTATCCCGAGGTGCTGGAAAATGTTTAATCATCATGTTTTTGAAGGGGAGACAAATCCCTGATGGCACATACCCATTTCCATGGTGTAAATATTCCCCCAGATGGCTGATGTACACAGGCAACATACTGTATTTTCACCATATAAATATGATAGATGGAAATAACCTCAAGACCATGCAGAATGACAAAGAGTAGTAAAATAATTCGATGAGATTTGAGCATTTGTTACCTTTGTCCTCCATATAATTTATTTAATTACAAGCTTGTAAAATGTAATTTTTAATAATGACTATGTTTAACAACCAGCTAGCAAAAAGTGTTGAAAAGCTGACAATCAGCCCTTGGGAGCCCGTGTGAGCTGACTCCAGCACATCACTGATTCCAGCCCACCCTGGAGGTCACTGGCAGGCATTTCCTTCTGTTCCAAAGCCTTCTGCGACTCTCTGCCTAATGGTGTTCTCTGGCTGCAGCGGCACGATGGGCCCACACCAGGGGCACTCCAAAGTGCCAGAGAATTAATGCCCAGAAGAGACTCCACCAATGCAGGCATGGAAGGTGGTGAATAAATATGCAGCCCCACACTCTAAATGTGCAATGGTACATTTTTGAAATGTGTTCCTCAGTTTCTCAGACAGCCCTGTGGGGATTGTGGCCCAGGTACCCACAGAAATCACCTACTCATTAATGAACCTTTTTTTGGTTTTCCTCCCTTTTCTGTCTCACTTCCCCACTCCCTCCCTGTGCCTCCTGCTACCATTCCCCCAGTAAACTACTTGCACCCCAATGCTTGTCTCAGAGTCTGGTTTGGGAAACTAAGGCAGGGTAGAATTCATTCTACAATTGAAGCAAAGCACCCAATACAGGCTAGGCACCGAAAACAAGAGTATACTCAAATATATTATTTATGTATTTATTTATTTATTCATTCATTCATTTATTTTGTCACCCAGGCTGGAGGGCAATGGCGTGATCTCGGCTCACTGCAACCTCCGCCTCCCAGGTTCAAGCAATTCTCCTGCCTCAGCCTCCCAAGTAGCTGGGATTACAGGTGCCTGCCACCACACTTGGCTAATTTTTTTGTATCTTTAGTAGAGACAGGGTTTCACCATGTTGGCCAGGCTGGTTGTGAACTCCTGACCTCAGGTGATCCACCTACCTCGGCCTCCCAAAGTGTTGGGATTACAGGTGTGAGCCACTGCGCCATCCTAATACTTCCTATTTTCCTATTTTTCTATGCACAAATATTTATGGGGCATGGCAGTTACAGAGTGCCTTGTTTTGAGTTCGTTGTGTCTGGTACTCACTCTGTGTGCTGCATCTCACTTCATCATTATGACAAGGTGTGCAGACAAGGAAGAATGTTCCTCTGGGCTGCTTACTGATAAGAATCACACAGTGTAAGCCTTTCAAGGGAACTTAGAGATCTCTTGATCTAGGGCCCTTATTTTTCAATTAAGGAAAGTGACACATGAGGAGAGGAAGAGTTTCTCCACTGGTCACTTTGAAAATCAGCAGCAGCCGTGGAATTAGAAACGGGTCTCTTGATTACCAGTGGAGGTCCCTGTCCACTGCAGCCAGTGTGGCCTCCAAGCCCAGAGACATTCTCCTTGGAAGGGTATGAAGAGTCCATGTGCTTTCCAGATACACCTGATCCCCCTTCCCCAGTGCTGTGAAATTGTCTCAGCCCAGGGGTTTGCTAAGTGACAATTCCCTGAGCCCTGTTAGAAATTCGAAAGCCAGAATCACAACTGATAGTAAGACTGGGTGCAGTGGGAGCCCCAGGACCATCAGAAGTCAACTCTGAATCAACAGCTCACAGAGAAGCCGCATGTGGTCTCCAAAGGAGTGAGACCCATGAAATTATGTCAAAGAGGGGCTTCCACCCTCTGAGCCTTAGACTCACTGACTGTATTAGTCAGGGCTTTCTAGAGGGACAGAATAGGATATATGTATGTATCAACGGGAGATTAGTAAACAGAATTGACTGACACAATCACAAGGCAAAGTCCCACGATAGGCTGTCTATAAGCTGAGAGGCAAGGAAGCCAGTGGTGGATCCCCAAACCTCAAAAGTAGGGAAACCGAGTCCCCAAACCTCAAAAGTAGGGAAGCCAACAGTGGAGCCTTCAATCTGTGGCCAAAGGCCCAAGAGACCCTGGCAAACCACTGGTGTGAGTCTAAAAGCTGAAGAACTTGGAGTCTGATGTTTGAGGGCAGGATGCATTCACCATGGGAGAAAGATGAAAGCCAGAAGACTCAGCAAGTCTGCTGTTTCCAACTTCTTCCACCTGCTTTATTCTAGCTGTGCTGGCAGCTGATTAGATGGTGCCCACCCAAATTGAGGGTGGGTCTGCCTCTCCCAGTCCATTGACCCAAATATTAATCTCTTTTGGCAACACCCTCACAGACTCACCCAGGAATAATATTTTGCATTCTTCAACTCAATCAAGTTGACACTCCATATTGACTCCCTCAGGGAATCCACCCTAGGGCACCATGCTTACACCTCAGTCGAGGCACCTGGGACAGGCTTCCTAACCATGACCAAAGTCTATGACAAGACAGGGAAAGGGCCCTGAGGTTATCTCACCACCTGGGTAGAAATTTGCCAGTTATCACTTCACCCAGTATCCTCACGACACCCCCATGAAAGTGTGGGTTATTATTCTGATTTTCAAATGAGTAAATAAAGGCTTAGTGGGGTTAAATGGTGTGCCCAATTTCACACTTATGCTAGCAGTGATAGGCTTTGAACCCACTTCTGATTTTGGAATCTGAATTTGAAGGCTTCTTACAGCCCCATGGAGGCTCCACTGCAGAACAACAGAATGCCACTGTCAGGCCAGGAGAAGTCAAGTTCATGGTGGCCTCAAGAACTGCAAACGATCCAGAAGGACTGGGCATAAGGTGCAATGCAAGGCTCTGGAGCAAGGAAGATCAGGGTATGAAGATCCTTGAAGGCCAAACTAACGGGTTTTGTGTTGATGCCGGGAGCAACTGGGAGTCATACACTTACATGGAGCGAGGCCCCTCCCGGGGTTGAGGCGAGCCCAGAGCCTAGGGCTTTCCCTGATGAGAAGACAGTGTTCAGGACAGGGAGGGCAGGGAGGATTATTCTGGTGGGTCTTACATGTCAAAGCCAAAGCCAGAGGTTAGAACCAAGATTCAAATCAAGATTGAGGGCTGAAGGATAGAGGTGAGGCCACAGATGAGAGACAAAACTGGAGAACTGAACAGGATGGGCAGAGCCGTTGCAGAAGTGGACCACAAAGGGGACTTGAGATGAAAGCTCAGGACATCAGCCATCAATGAGGTGAAGGCGTCATCCGCCCTTCTTACTAGCTGTTGGCTATGGGTTATGAAGCCAGGCTAACTGGTCAAGATTTCCAGAATAGACTGAATGTTCATAAGCCAAGAGTAGTTTATCTGCTGTTTACAGGCCTTTCTGGGGTATTTGAGCCATCAAGGGGCTAGGGACACGGAAATAGTATGGTAAGCAGAGATGGAGATGTGGTCTAAGCTACCCAAGCAGAACTCTGAATGGAAACCCAGTGTAGCCTCTCAGCCCCAGCAGGCCTCAGGTATTTGTGAATATGTAGGTGGAAGACACCCTCCTAGGACCCCTTTATGACATGATGCTCAAGACCATAGGACCCAAGCTGGAGTGGGCATTGGTGTCACTTAGAACTGTGACCATCGATGGGCACACCTCTCCCTGGCTAAAATTTCTTTATTTCACCTGGCAAATGTGGCCCTTCCTGACCTGGCATCTGTCCCTCTGAGTCTTACCACCAAGAAAGCTGGAGAATTCTGTGCTTTCTGAGTTGATTCCTAGGAAATGGACTGTTCATGTCTCTGGACTGGGCTTCAAAGGATATGCAGAACTTGAGCCAGAAGTGACGGTGGTGGGAATGGAGGCATGCAAGGCTGGTGTTTTCCCAGCAGGAACAAGACAAGGTGATGTGGAAGCACCTGATGGTTTCTGGCCTAAGTCAATAGATAGACCAGCCTGAAAAATAGAAGAGAGTTGGGCAGGTCAAAATGGAAAGGAGGCAGTTTAGAAATGTGTCATGTGTAGGCAGATTGCCAAAGGCCTTGGTCGTCAACACCAAAAACTTATGCTGTGTGCTTAATGAGGAATCAGTGGGGAGTTTGGAGGCAGGAGAGTCTTATCTGCAGATTTGCAATGGAAGGGGATTCCTGCGGCTGTTTGCTGACAGGTCATGGGAGTTGGGTAGAAATGCATTGGGGCTGCCCCCAAAGAATCCAGAGAGGAGACTACTGTGATAATCCAGTTAAGAAACAAAGCATCCATGGCAGCAGGAATGCCCTGGCAGAAAATGCAGGCGATACCCTTCCTCACTGTAGCCTGTACATTCTGAGCCCTTGTGTTAAACCCTGGCACTTATTCCACAGCAATCAAGTAGAGCGACATGGTAAAAAATCCTCTGCCAGATAAAGATTTCAGATGAAAAAGAAATTTAAGCCTCTTTTCTTTTACCAATGTTGCCTGTTGGAAAATGCCTGTCCAGCCAAAATTCAATTTCTGTCCTTTTAATTCAAGTGCAAATGGATTGAAGGCTCAGATAACAACATAAAATTGGTTAATCAACTTTCATCCCATATTTATATTGCAACGGGGAGATTTTACAGTTTTCTGCAGCTCAGCCCGGTGTTCTGTGAAAGCCAGCCAGCATTTTATGTCCCTTAAAATTGCAAACCAGAGGCCCCTCTGCTGTCAGTGACCCACCACCCCTCCTGCTAACCAGCTCTCTTGCCTGTCTGACCAGGGCCAGTCAGTGCAGTTCTCATTCTGAATGCGTGAGGCCCTGCAGGAATAGATTTTATGCTTTACTTGAGAAATGAAAATTGCTTTTTGCTCTCATCGCCCCATCACCATGGAGGGATGCCAGTGAAGTCATAGCATGAGCGAAATTACTGAAAATATTTTAGACTTAATTTTCTGTGTCAGGCAGACTCACACTGTAGTCATTGTAGGCCTGGTTAAATACCTCTCTTGGCTTCCTGTTGTTCACAGACTAAGACCTAAAGCTTATTGCCTGGCACTCAAGGCCCTCTGGAATCTGGTGCCCTCATCCATTTTCTCAACAAGTAATTTTTCAGAATGTAGGAGGTGCCTGTCCCAGTGCCAGGTGTTGGGTATACAGCTGCGAACAAGACCAACACCATCCCTCCTTACACGGAGTTTGCATTCTAATCAGGAAGACAGACAAATCACACATGGATATCAAATGAAAGAAATAATTACAGACTATAATGGGCTATGAAACAAGAAAATAAAGGACTCAGAATAACTGGGAGGAGAGTGGAATGGGGAAAAGGAAGAGGTGTATTTTAGGAAACAGTGCTTTTGACAGGCAGTAAGAAGAGCATGTGCAAAGGCTCAGAGGAGGGAATGAGACAGAGGGTGACCAACAGGACGTGAGGTCTGAGAGGTCAGCAGACTCCAGTTCAGAAAGCTTCTCTGTGGATCACACAGGTCTGGACTTTAGCTCAGGGGCCAAGGGGGATGACATAATACTGGAGTTTCAGGAAGATCCCTTTGGCTGCAATGTGGAAGACAGATGACAGAAGGGCAAGGGTGGAAGCACAGAGACTGGTGCTGGGGCTTCTGCTCTGGTTGAGGTGGAAGATGACCCTGAGGAGTGGAATAGGTGGTCAGGTGTGGGAACGAGCTGATGAGCATTTTGCCTCTCCGGCGCCATGCTCCTACTAACCATTTCTCCAGCCTCCCGAGCTTCACTCTCTCTTCTGAATGCCTCTTGCCCTTTCTTGACTCAAGCCATTTCTCCCTTCTCCCCTTGGTGAACTCCTATTTATCTGTCAAAACCTGACACAAATATCCCCTTTCCATACCGTCATCCCTGGAAGGGTTCATTCTCCCTCTTCTGTGTGTTTCTGTCACCTTGTATCATCATCAACCTTAATATATATGATTGTTACATATCTTGAGACAGTTTAATTATTTAAAACATAGTTTTCATGTAGGTATAGCCCCTCTGCAAAACTGCAATACAAGGAAAAAGACAAATTTCTAAGTTCCTAGCACATTCACATTTAAAGTAGTGCGTCTAATTAATGGTGAGTGAATAAGCTGTAGCCAATGAAATGAAGCAAATAACATGGTTCAGAAAAAGACTGGAACTATTGCATTGAGAAATGACCATCTTTGTGTGACTTTTTCTCCCTGCACAGAGGGCCCTGGTATTTGGAAAAATAAAATTTTCAAATGCTTAAAAAGAAAGAACAAGTCTTCTAATTCTAGTATCTATTCCTGTGGCTTAAAAGTCATTTATGGAAATTATGACCGACACTAACATGATAATTAAAGCCAAATTGAATACCTGTTCACTAGAGTTCAGGCTTGGTAGGGGCCTTGGTAGAGGAATCTAGTGCATATCTGAGCTGCCCTAATTATGTGCTCCTTGTAATCAACATTACTTTTCCTGGTTACATTTCACAGTTAATTTGTTTTTCCCACACAAATCGAATTCTGTACCAGAGATGCAAAGTTTAATGTATTATTGCACTTTTTTTTAGGTTCTAGTTTAAAAACAATACCACAAGTACAATTAATTTTAAAAAACGAAATTCTCCCCGTGTGGGTTTAAGATTAATGGCATTTATTTATTATTGTATGATCTGCCTTCAATAAGTAGCATGAATAAGAATTGGCTCCCAATCTTAATGTATTTATTTTCATAAGCCAAATAGCTATAAACAACATCAAATATAATTCTCCAGAATGGTAACACATTATTAACTTCTCAAGCCATTCCCTAATGGGTTTTAAATCTCTAAAAAACAGTAAATTCTAAAGCAAAGGAGACATGGTGGAATTCCTGTCTGCCTTGGAAAACCAAGCCACACTGGGATTCCCCAGCACCTGGAGCAGGACCTGGCATGCAGCTCCCCCAGGATTCCAGACTGAATTATTTCCTCCCCAAATCTCTCCCCATTTCAACTACATTTTTCCACTCCTTTTCCACGGTAGACACAAATGAGGGTTCCATTAAGTCTTGGGCTAGTGAAAGCTTGAACTAGGAGTCAGGTGAGGCAGCCAGTCAGGGGTCTGTGCCTTTGTCCCAGGAGCAAGCCCTGTGCACAGCTGGAGCCTTAAGATCTTCTGAGCAATGGAAAGGGGACCTATAATAATCCAACATCCTTCCAGGTGACGTCATTCTGAATTCAGAATTGGCCTTCAGGCTGCTGCCCATGAATGTGAGAGGGGGCAAATGAAGAGTGAGAAAGAAGTAAGGTGGCTGCTGGCAGAAAGGGACAGGTGGCTCTGGAAGCACCTATTTTCGGTTGGATCAGAGTGATCTTAGAGTAAAATGTCTGCTCCCTGCAAACCCACCTGTGTCTACGCATTGTGTGCCTACCTCTCAGCCTGGCTACTTCTCTTTCTTTCTAAAGTGTTATGGGGAGAAAATTAATCTCTGTTCAAAATAAGGGACGTGGGTTCTGTCTCTTGCTGGTCCAGGGGAGAGGGAAGAACAAAGCCTCTCTTCAGTTTTTGTCTTATTACACTTCCTGCAAATGCTCTCAGCTCCAGCTTCTTAGAGTGAAAGTCACAGTTGTCAGCCTCATCATGACTGATCATTTTGCTCCCTCTTTTCCTGGATCTGAATGCTTTTCTCTCCTCCTGGATCTGCTTGTTCTTCAACCCCAGGCGCAGTGGCTTTCTCCAGTAAGGGCCTGAAACAGAGTAGCTCCTGAGTCAGGAGAAAGGCATGGGTCCAGAGGCAAAACCAGGGCATGGAGATGAGATCCTGAGAAACCAGAGAGAGATGACGTCCTGAGGCTGAGAAACCAGAGCAGAGAAGAAATTGACAGGAGATTCCGGGATAGCCATTTAGGGGGTCACATTCTGACTGGGGTGAACCTTGACCTTTTCTTGGCTTGCCTTTGGAGTTCTTGGCACCCTGAGACCAGTGTTTCCACGTCATCTAGGGGGCTGGATAAGCAGGCAGATTCCTGGGCCTCATCTTGGAGCCACTGAATGCATGGATGGAGGGTGGCATCTGGGAAGGTGCGGTTTTACCAGCTCCCCACGTGATTCCGAGATACCCTATAGAGTAAGGCCCCTGTTCTAGAGAGAGAAGAGCATAGGATGGGGAGCTGATCCTCTGGGTTAAAACATGTGTCAACGTCTTTCTAGTTCCTGGCCTTGGACCCCACAATGGGCTTCTGTTTCCTAATCTACAAATGCAGCCAATGTGTCTACTCTAAAGGGCTATTCTGTGCATGACTTAAGTGAGTCTGCAGATAAAAAATCAGTGAGCCCAAAGCCTGGCACAAAACAGACATTCAACTGATAGGAGCCACCTAGAAAAGAAGGGAGCCGGCCTTTGACCTATAAAGCTCTAAGGAGGAACTAGCAGGAGTTTAAGAGCCCATTTAACCAAAATTCCACAGAGATAAAAAGGAAAGAAGAGGAAAGAAGAGCCTCATATTTTGTAGCAATATCCAATCATTTATAAATTGTAACATTACTCTGAAGGTGAAGGTCAACGTGACCCCCAGGTATGTTGGTCATTATTTTGTTTTTCTCTTTCACATTCAAAAAATTGTTTAACATGTCCCAGGTTCAAACTCTCCCCAACAAAGCCATAAGCTGATGCACAAACCTGAATTCGGAGCAGGGACATGGGAGGATAACTTCCTGTTTATCTCCCTGTTGAGATACTGCAATGGGCTTTGCAGTTAGCACCAGCTCCATGTTTTCAGCCAGAGTGGCAGGTGGGGCAGACTAATTTGAACACTAGACCTCTTCCTTATTCTTCAGAACTGCAAACTGAGACCTTGTTCAACTCTGAAAGAGCACTCAAATTTAGGGACCAAGAAATATCATCACATGTACAATGTAAGTTAAATCTTTTAAAGGAAAAATATTCTGAGATCCTTATACGTGTGGAAGAAGGAAAGATACACAGTTTAACTTTAGTCTTTTTTGATTAAACACACGTGTTAACAATTTAAGGGTAATGTATCTACCAAAAGAATTAAGATAGAATGTATAATTTATAAACCTGGAGGGTAAATATAAATACATAAATACGTAGAATTTGAGAAATTCAATACAAAGCAGAAAAAAGAGAGAAAAATACACAAAAAACAGGGTAAATGTAACATACACAATCAAATGGTAGAAATAAGCCAATATATACTAGTGTTCATGAATAAACTAATTCTTTTAAAAAGACAGGCATTCTCAGATTAGATTGAGGGGTGGGGGTAGAATCCAGCTGTATGCTGTTTATGAGAGTCACACAGAAAATTTGAAAGTAAAGTTATAGAAAAAGGCATCTTAGCCAAATGAAGTCAATTCTCTTTACTCATGATAGTTATGTTTCATAAATTTACCATGAAAACTGAATTAGCAAATACTGAACCATTGTTCCTAGGGGAAATACAGGGTTAGGTTACTACAAGCTTCTGGTCACAACATTTTCATCAACTGACCAATACGTAACATTGTTTTGTTTTATGTGTGTGTCTGTTTAAAGATACCTCACTTAATATATAGTTGTGATTCCTAAACATTGAACTATAGCTCATGCCTGAACAAGACTTACGTAACATTCTTATTTTCTCCATAAAGAACATCACAGCCTTTGAAACACTAGATAGCACTTCACACTGGCTTGGGAAACCTTTTCTTTTTTTTTTTTTTCTTTCTTTGAGATGGAGTCTTGCTCTGTCACCCAGGCTGGAGTGCAGTGGTGCGATCTCAGCTCACTGCAACCTTCGCCTCCCAGGTTCAAGCAATTCTCTGCCTCAGCCTCCCAAGTAGCGGGGATTACAGGTGTGTACCACCATGCTCGGCTAATTTTTTTGTATCTTTAGTAGAGACCAGGTTTCACTTGAACTCTTGACCTCGTGATCTGCCCGCCTTGGCCTCCCAAAGTGCTGGGATTAGAGGCGTGAGACACTGCACCCGGCCAGGGAACATTTTAAACTGCACAATCACCAGGAAAAAATGGCACTGAAATGCGAAAACCATGGAATTAAAATGACCTTGAAAAGGACACTTGTTGACATGTGAGAGCTGAAACAAGCAGGCACAGTGTACCCGTGTTTGACTTCAGATGGGAGCGTGCCCGTCAGATGACTCAATTTTGTCAACGCTGCGCATGCCCATAAATGACCATGGAAGTGCCAAGAGGATTTATTTTGGGGCTACAGATAAATGTTAGCAAGTAATTACATTCCCATGAATAATGAAGATCAAGTGTATTAGTGAAAAGAAAAATGGTGCAGCTATGTTAATATACAAATGAATAGCCAATAAATGAAGTTGGGACAACTGGCCATCCCAATAGAATAGACAATGGAATAAAATAAGATCTCAACTTCACAACACACACAAAATTAAATCAGATGGTTTTCACCTAAAAGTCCAAAAGGTGTGAGTCTGTGTGTGTGTATGTGTGTTTGTGTGTGTGTGTTGACAAGTTAGTTATAAACTAGAATTATGAAGATCCAGGAAGATGGAAGATATCTTTGAAGAAGAATAAAGGAGAGAATTTACTCCGCTGAGCCTCAAGACAGATTATAAGCTTAACTAATTAAGGTAGTGTGGTACTGATGCAAGAATAGACAAACTGACCAATGTAACAAAACAGACACCAGAAAGGGGACCACGCAAAAAGGGGACATTTGATTTATGACAAAGATGCCTCCACAAAGTAGCAGTGAAAAGAGAGGCTTTTCAATGGATGATTGTGGAAGAACTGGTTTTGACACAGAAAGAAATTAAACTGACCTCTGTATCCCCAGACTGGGAATAAATCCATTCCAAATATTCAGTCCTAGACTGGATAAATGCACTGTGGAGTATTTGTCCAAGGGCACAACATAGCATCATGGGAATGAACAAATGATCCTGCACCTCACGTGGACTAATGTCACAGAATAAATGTTGAAGAAAAAGAAGTCAGACATGAAAGCTTATGTGCTATATTACTTCATTTATACATAATTTAAAAATACAAGCAGAACTAAACAATACGGATACTTCAATAATTAGTAAATACTATCTTGAGTTGTTTACTTAAGGATGCTTAAATACATAGTAAAACTACAATGAAAAGCAACAATACAATTGGCATCATAGTTAGGATAGTGGTTAATTTGGGCAAGAGGAAGGGGTTATAATTGACAGTGGACACGTGAAGGGTTTCTCCGGCCCTGAGGTTTTATGTCTTGACATAGACTGTAGTTATGTTTGTTTTATAATAATGGAGCTGTTCATTTTAATATTGTGAACTTTTCATAGTTTTAAAAAAGGACCACTTCAGTTCGCTTGCATTATGGATTTAAATGTAGAAACAAAACCTTGACTTTTTTGGAAGAAACTATTGGAGACTCTATGTATGGTCTCAGGACAGAGAGGATTCCTCAAACAAAATGTACAATGCACAACTACATCAAAGGAAAGTTTACAAATATCTGTAAGAAAGAAGTTGCTGAAAACAGCATTAAAAGATAACCAGAGGCTGGGGGTGGTAGCTCACACCTATAATCCCAGCACTTGGGGAGGCCAAGTGTGAGGATCGCTTGAGCCCAGGAATTGGAGACCAGCCTGGGCAACATGGTGAAACCCTGTCTCTACAAAAAAATACAAAAAACTAAGCTGGGCATGATGGTGTATACCTGTGGTCCCAGCTACTTGAAAGGCTGAGGTGAGAGGATCACCTGAGCCCAGGGAGGTCAAGGCTGCAGTGAACAGTGTTTGTACCACTGCCCTCCAGCCTGCGTGACAGAGCAAGACCCTGTCTCAAAAAAATAAATAAATAAATAAAGAGAGAGAGAGAGAGAGAGAGAGAAAAGAAAAGATAGCCAGAGGTTGGAAGAAAACATTTTCAATGCATATAAGCAAAAAAGGGTTGGTATCCAGAATACATAAAGAACTACATATGAACATATGAAAACATAATCATCTTCTCTATTAATCAGATAAATGTAAGTTAAAAAAACTTAGTGGGATACTGTTTTGAATCTATAAAACTGTCAAAAATTGCCATGTGCAATAATGTCAATGTTAGAAAATGGGATCTGTTATATTGCTGGTAGGAGTGAAAATGCGTACAAACACTTTGGAGAGCAATTTGGAGATATGTAGTGAAACTGAAAATACACATTTCTGAAGACCTAGGTAATCTACCTCTAGGAACTCATACTGGAGACATTCTTACACGTATCAATAAGGAGACATAAGGAAGAGTATTTTCTGGTCTTGAACTCCTGAAACCAGGGGATCCTCCCGCCTCAGCCTCCCAAAGTGCTGGGATTATAGGCATATACCAGCACCCCCAGCCTAAGAGTGTCTGTAGGAATCCAAATGTCCATCCAAGAGACAATGGATAAATAAATTGTGTTATTACCAAATATTGGAATATACTCTATAGCAGTTGAAACAAAGGAACTAGGTTTTACATGATCCACATGGCTAAATCTCAAGAACTTAATATTGAGAGGTAGAGAAAAGTAAGTTGCAGAAGAACACATGTATGATACAACGTATATATACTTAAAACATGTAGCACATACCTAGGTAATGAAAGAAAAACAGTTACAGGGAGAATACAGACCAGCTTCAAAACAGTGTTTTCCTCTAGGCAAGGAGAGAGGAAGGGAGGGAAGTGTGATCCAGAAGAATTGAAAAGGTGACTTCAACAGTGAGGTGTTTTATTTCCTTTAAAGAAAATATGAATCAAATGTGGTAAAATAGGCTCTTTGTTGAAATCTGTCTGATGTACACATGTGTGTCTGATTCATCATTTTCTGTCCATTTCTATATACTGTAAATATTTCAGAATTCCAATAAAAATGCAATAAAATTTAAAAGAGAGAATATGCCATTCCCTGCGGTGATGACGCTGCCTAACGTGATGACTCACACAGTTTGGAGTTTCAGTATTTCATTTTGTAAAGCCCCTTGGCTCCACTGGAAACAAGTCTGGGCATAGAATGGAGGCTGGTCAGTTGGTGACTGTGCTCTGTCCTCCAGGGCCCAAAGTAACCGTCCTCCAGAGTGATATGTGTGTCACTGTGCAGTAATTGCTGTTTATGTGTCTGTCTCCCCCATAAGCCTGGGAGCCCCAGGGAAGCAACAGGGTCTTCTTCATTTCACTGGCACATAGGAGGTGACAATAAACACAGTCTGAATGGGAGAACCCCATGGGCACCAGCTCAGGATGCTGAACACATTGGTAAGCTGGAGATCTGCTCTGAGGATATTCTGCACCTGGTCCTGCAGGGTGCCCTGGGATGGGTCTCTTGTAAACGGGTTTCTCCATGAGTCCAGTGGGCTATGTCCTGGAAGGAGGAAGCCCAGAATAGACTCAGTGTTCTTGGCCTCTTCTTTCTGACTATACGTCACACCAAATGGCACCAACACTAACAATGATGCTGCACACATTTATGAATATTTCTGTGCAGAGACCCAAAGGGACTATACCAACATGAAAACAGTCGCTGCATCAAATTGGGGAAATTACGTTTTTCTCCCTTCTCCCTATTTTTCCAGTTTTCTACAATATGGTTTTATTGTCCTAATAAAACCTTATAAAGAATATAAAAATCCTATTTCATCTATGAAGTGATGAAATAGGTGGCAAGTGTTTCAATGTTTCAATAGACTTCATTCCCCATGCTTCAAATTTTCCCTTTGAAATGACCAGTAAATACATAACTAGAATATATATAATTAGAATATACATACAAATACATGTATATTTCATTTAGCATAAATAATGCCTAAATAATACAGACAACAGTACCATGGAGAAGCAAAACATTATGTGCTAGTTCTGCGAGAAATCCTGCAGCCAGGGTTAAAAAATAGAATGCAGGTTTTCATGCTCAGGGTCCAGGGTGGAGGCCAGGAACTCTGCATGTACACCAAGCTCTCCAGATGATTCTGACTCAAGTGGTCTTCAGATCGCAGTTGGGAAAACAGTGAGATAAAGAAAAATTTGGGGTGGGGTTCAGTGCCTACCTGAGAAAGTGGCAGTGACATGATGTAAGTGAAAATCAGACAGACAAAGAGTAGAGATGAATGGATGGGCAGCAAATGGGTGGCTGAGATCAGCTTACCCTCAGCCTTCCCTGACACAGAGGGGGCTACAAGTTAAGTGAAGACATTTGGGGACCAGGGAGGGACTCTGTCTAGAGTGTGAGGGATAGAGGTGAAGAATACTGCCCCTGAGAAAGCAACCAACTCCAATGGCCACCGCTAGATGTTACTGATCCCACCACCTGCACAGAAGCCAGGTCCCCAAGCAAGTTAAAATCAACCTCAAGTAATGCAGCATTTCCCATCTTTCTAGGACCCAAGTATTTGAACAAGAACCCATTCAAACTCTACCATAACTCATTATTCTCCCAGTAATGGGCAAATAGATCTTCTCTCCAAGAGAATGAGAAATAAAAGAGAAATCACTGGACTTCTGAGAACATTTAGTAGTTTGTAAGAGAAGAATCATTCTGAGGCATCACAGCAATGTTACAGACAATATCAAAAGACAGAGTGAGAGAGAATTCAATAAATCATCTAATTTAAATATTAAATAAATTGGTTGGCAATTATGTGGCTCATATGAAAAAAGATCAAAATGTATTACTTTTAGGCCGGGTGCGGTGGCTCATGCCTGTAATCCCAGCACTTTGGGAGGTTGAGGCAGGTGGATCACTTGAGGTCAGGAGTTCAAGACCAGCCTGGCCAACATGGCAAAACCCTGTCCCTACAAAAAATACAAAAATTAGCTGTGTTTGGTGGCACACACCTATAGTCCCAGCTACTCTGGTGGCTGAGGCACAAGAATCGCTTGAACCAGGGAGGCGGAGGTTGCAGTGAGCCAAGATCATGTCACTACACTCCAGCCTGGGAAACACAGTGAGACTCCATCTAAAATAATAATAATGATACTTAATAAATAAATAATTACTTTTAAGTGAAAACACATTATTGAAATAAAATATAAAGGACAGAGGCAGAGGGTAGCAGATGGTATAATAGTGAGAACTCCTGAGTTTAATTGATTCACTTGAGGAATTCTCCTTGGGGTTTTCTGCCCCCAAGTCTCACTTTTCCCCAATCAGTCCTCTATGAATTGAATGAATCCTTTTATGAATTGAATTAATGCAGTTCTACCTATGCCACTCTCCTGCTTGAAGGCATTAAATGGCTTCCAATTGCCACTGAGTTCCTAGCACCTGAGGATGGCACTGAAGACCCTCCTACAACTGAGCAAATGTTGCCCAAGCTCCACAGAACTCTTTGTTATTCCTGCTGGGCACAGTGGCTCACGCCTGTAATCCCAGAACTTTGAGAGGCTGAGGCAGGTGGATCACCAGAGGTTGGGAATTCACCTGACCAACATGGAGAAACCCCCTATCTACTAAAAATACAAATTTAGCCACGAGTGGTGGTGCATGCCTGTAATCCCAGCTACTCAGGAGGCTGAGGCAGGAGAATCGCTTGAACCCAGGAGGCAGACGTTGTGGTGAGCCGGGATCGTGCCATGGTACTCCCCCATCTTGAAAACACAAACAAACAAAAAACCCTTTGCTCTTTGCTATTCCCGTTAAGTAAGCCATATGTTCCCACTTCTGCAAATTGGTCCATGCTTTAGAGATCCCTCCCCATACAAAGTTCTTTCCTCTCGCTACCTTCTAATAATGTGAACATCATTGAATGCTTCCATATGCCAGGCACTAAGTAACGGCACTTACTGTCATTAAGTACGTAAGTAAGCACGTAAATACGTAAGTACCACCAAATATGGTACTTACATACATCAAACAAAAACATAAACCACTGCTATTATGTCGAATACCTAACATGTTGGGACATTTGCCCAAATACTGGTGATGTAGCAGTGAATAAAGCAGATAAGCTCTTTTCTAAGTGAGGAAGATGAGCAGGGGACAGTTAATAAACAAAAACTATATATACAGTGGGACTGAATTGTGTTTCTCCCTCCACCCTCCAAAATGTATATGTCGAAGCCCTAACCCCCAAAGTGACTATATTTGGAAATGGGGCCTTGCCTTGAGTAGATAATTAAGATTAAATGAGGTCATAAGAGTGGGACCCTAATCTGATAGGACTGGTGGCCTTATCAGAAGAGAAAGAGAGAGATTTCTCTTCATGTACATGCATAGAGGAAAGGCCATGCGAAGGACATAGCAAGAAGGTAGCTGTCTATAAGCAAGGAAGAGCGCCCACATCAGAAATCAAACCCCACCTGACCTTGATCTTGGCCTTTCCTGCCTCCAGAACTGGGAGAAAGGAATTTCTGTTTGTTTAAACCACCCAGTCTATGGTATTTTGCTATGGCTGCCTGACTGTCCACTAAATCTTGCAGATTTCTGCACAAGACAGGCTGTCGCAAAAACAGACTTTGCAGTAGGGGCATGCATTGTGGATTTGAGGAATACCTAAAAATCCAGTATGGCTGGAACAGGTTAAAGCTGGAGAGTCGAAAGGTGATACAGTTGGAATGGGAGATGAGGGACAGGGGTGGGGGCAGATCATGGGGGCCTCATAGGCATAATAAGACTTTAGCTTTCACTCTGAGAGCATGGAGAAGTCACTGGAGGGCTCAGCGAGGAAAAGAATAACATGATTTGAGACATTATGAAAGGATCATTCTGGCTGTTGGTCAGCAGTGGAAGCAAGACAGCATTTAGGAGGCTGTTTCACAACCTAGGTGAGTAAGATGGTAGTTTGGACCAGGGTAAGAACAGTGGAAGTGAAAAGAAATGGTCACATTCAGGAAGTATTTTGGATGTAGAGCCCATGAAATTGGCTGTGGATTTCATATGGGATACGAAAGAAAGAAGAGTCAAGGATGACACGAAGTTTTTATTCTCAGCAATGCACACGATGGAATTGTCAATAACTGAGATAAGAGGAGCTTCTGAAGGAGTCTGAGTGGGTGGAGATGGTGGAGAGTTTGGTTTTGGACATATTGGGAGTCAGATGCCGATGAGACATACCCAAGGGAACGTGTCCAGTAGGCCGCAGATGTCTGAGTCTGGGAGAGTCTGGAAGAGAAACGTAAGTTGGCATTATTCCAGCCATTTAAACCACCTGGTAAGCCAGGGCCTGTAGGTCAGGACATTATTAAATGAGTTCACCAAAAGTGTGCAAGTAGACAGAGAAGAGTTCCTAGAACTGAGCCTCGGCTGGTCCAGCACTAAGTAAAGCTTAGGGAAATGAAGAGGGAACAGCCAGAGGCTCAGAAGGCAAAACCTGGAGCTTCAAGGAAGACCAATAGAGTGTGGCATCTTGGAAGCCACATAAAGGAGGAAAAAATGGTCATTTGCATCAAGTGCTCCTGCTGAGTCAAGTGAGATTTGGACGAGTAACGACCTTTGGGTTCTGCATCATGTAGGTCATTGGTGACCTTGACCTAGAAGTTGCCATGGGATGATAGAGGCAACAGCCTGATTGGAGTGGTTGCAAGAGAGAACAGGGAGTGAGGATGGAGAGACAAGTGTGTACAACTAGTGTAAGGAATTTCTTCTAAAGGAAGGCAGTGAAACAGATGGTAGCTGATGGGGAAGGTGGTTTCAAAGGAGAGAGGTTTTTTTCCATGGGTATTATTACAACATGTATGTGCATTGATGAAAATATCCAAGTAGAGAGTGAAGGACCTATCATGCAGGATAAAGGACAATTACAGGAAAATATTTTACCCACTTTTACAGAGGAGGAGGCTAATATTCAGAGAGGTGAAGTGAGTTCACTAAGGTCACACAGCTAGTGGTCTGTGGATCAGGATTCAGACCATGTCTGCGTGGATAAAGTCTGCATTCTTAATGATTCTTGCTACTTCGATTCAAACCTTCCCTCAAATTCAAGTTTACCTCTACCTTCATGTAGCTTGCTTCAAACATTCAAGCTAGAAGTGATCTCTGTTTCCTCCCTTTGACCTCTCATACCACTTAATCTTGATGTTTTATTACAGCTATCCATTTTCTGTCTCCAACCCTATTGTAAGTGTTTTGAAAACATAGAATATTCACTGTAACCCTCACTGCCTTTCCAGCCCCTAACACAGTGCCTAGCACATGGTAGGACCTAGATCAATGTTTGCTACAGGCAGGCAGAAAGGAGGGAGGATGCCAGTGAAGGAGAGAGGGAGCCTTTTTCCCAAAGACTCCTCACAAGTTTGACACATCATACATTACAACCTGTTTTTCCTGCCCCAGACTAAGGGGCTGTATTTACTTTAAACTTTCCTCCTAGGAACTGTTACCTCTTTACTCATGGCTCTGACTGTTTTCTGGATCTGATCCAGGCTCAGAACTTCCTGTTAATAATAAATCAGACACTGAAATGCTCTGCAAGGGGGGAGGCTTTCCACATATGCACCTGTTAGGTCAGGAACCACCTGGAGAGGAATTTGACCATCTGCTAATTGCAGCTGGGAAGGAGCTGCAGGAGGACTTTGTGCATTTCAATTCATGAGCTCCTGTTGGTCTCCTGCTCCTTGCCAGGTCCTGTGCTGAGCAGGAGGGACAACAGGATGAGCAAGATACTGTTTCCGCCTTCACCAGGCTCACGTCTCGTGGTCTCGTGGGGAGGGCGGCAGGTAATGGCAGAGCCAGAGCCAGGACTCCCCGACTATCTCTGAACCATTGTCAATTCTTAATTCCTCTAGAAACTTAGGAACTGGTTAATTTAATTCCTTGAGTATAGCTTACTTTTCACTGTGTTGGCTAGCAGATTCAGAAATACGCAAAAGTGCTGCCACCAGAGAGTTTTTCCTTTAGTGCAGACATTACCTGTTCACTCCAGAGCTTAAAACCCTTCAGTGGCTCTCTATTAGCTTCAGGAAAATGTTTGAACCCCCTTGAAAAATCTCCATTCACCTCACCAGCCCTCTCTCCTCATGTAGCCCCTTATCTTTATCCCATTTGGGAGCAGAGATTTCGAGCAAAGGCACTGGAGTCCACGCTAGCTTTAAATTCTGGCTCTGCTCTTTGCAGGCTATACAGAAAGCTTTCTTAACCTTTCTGAGCCTCAGTCTCCTTATCCATAAAATGGGGAGAAAAAAATACTAATCGCATGGAATTTCTGGGAACATTAACCAGATAATGTGTGGGAAGAGGCCTAACACATTATGCAAAAGAACATGAAAGCTTTGATAAATATCACCTAGGGAGCTTTTAAAACGCACTAATATTTGGGCCAATCTCCAGAGAATCTGATTCCATCAGTGTGAGTGAGGCCTAGGCGGGAGTATTCTATAAAAGCCTCTTGGGTGGTTCTGGCTTGCAGTTAGGATTAAGAACCACTAACATAGAAACTGTTCAAAAAATATTGGCGGAATCTACATGTGAAACTTACAAATGTGACCCAATGTTGCACCAGGCTGTGCTGTCCAGTTTGAATGAAGTATAGAAACCTCAGCTCCTTGTATATCCCTTCACCATGCCTCATTTATAATTGTCTTCATATACTTCCTCTATATGCATTTATAACCACATCAGAGAGTGTTATAATTTTTGCTCCAACCTTTAAAAAATTTAGGAAAACTTCAGAGAAGAAGAAAAGTTATGTACCTACCCATATTTTTCTTACTGTCTTCTTTCTTTTTACCTGATGTTCCAGGATTCTTTTTTTTCCCCCTAATTTTATTTCTGTTTATAGAACTCCCTTTATCCATTATTTTAGAGTAGGTCTATTGGTGGCCAATTTTCTTATTTTCCCATCATCTGAGAATGCCTTGATTTCTCTTTTGATTCCTGAAGGGTGTTTTTTGCTGGATATAGAATTTTATCTTGACAGTTCTTTTCTTTCAGCACTTGAAAATGTTGTGCCACTACTTCTGGCCTCCTGCTTTCCTTTTTTTTTTTAATTTTATTTTAGGTTCAGAGATACATGTGTAGATTTGTTTACAGGTAAAATCGTGTCACAGGGGTTTGTTATACAGATTATTTCATCACCCAGGTACTAAGCCTAGAACCCAGTAGTTATTTTTTCTGATCCTCTCCCTCCTCCCACCCTCCACCCTCAAACAGGCCCCAGTGTGTGTCATTCCCCTCTATGTGTTCTCAGGAACACATAGAGTTCTCATCATTTAGCTCCCACTTATAAGTGAGAACACGCGGTTTTTGGTTTTCTGTTCCTACGTTAGTTTGCTGAGGATAATGACCTCCAGCTCTATCCACATTGCTGCAAAGGACATGATCTTGTTCTTATTTATTGGCGTCCTGATTTCTCAGAAGTTCTTTGTCATTCAAATTGTGTTTCCCTATAGGTAAGATGTCATTTTTCTCTTGCTGCTTTTAAGATTTTATATTTGCCTTCAGTTTTCAGAAGTGTGAGTATTACCTGCCTTGGTGGGGATTTCTTTGAGTTTATCCTGTTTGGGATTCACTCAGCTTCATGACTTTCTAGGCTTATGTGTATTTTAGGCAAATTTGGGGAATTTCCAGCCATTATTTCTTTGAATATTTTTTCAGACTCTCTCTCCTTCTCCTCCTCTCCTTTGAGGACTTCAACTACACAAATATGTGATCTCTTCTAAAATTCCACAGGCGTCTGAAGCACTGTTATTTTGTTTTCTAGCCTGTTTTTTCTCTGTTATTCATATTAGGAAATTGTCGTTTTTCTATGTTCAAGTTCACTGATTCCTTCCTCTGTTACTTCCATTCTGCTGTTGAGCCCATCATTGAGCTTTTCATTTCAGTTATTTAATTTTTCCGTTTTAAAACTTCCATTTGGGCTGGCTGTGCACCTGTTATCCCAGCTACTCCAGAGGCTGAGGCAGAAGGATCACTTAAGCCCAGGAGTTCAAGACTAGCCTGGGCAACATAGCAAGACTCTGTCTTTAAAAATATAAGTAAAGAAATAATAAATAAATAAGGCCAGGCATGCTGGCTCACGCCTGGAGTCTCAGGACTGCCAGGGACTGAGGCAGGCTGATCACTTGAGCCCAGTAGTTTGAGACCAGCCTGGGCAACACAATGAGACCCCATCTCTACAAAAAAAAAAGTGCAAAAATTAGCTGGGCATGGTGGTATGTGCCTATATTCCCAGATACTCAGAGGGCTAAGGCAAGAGGATTTCTTAGGCCCAAGAGGCAGAGGCTGCAGTGAGCCAAGTTTGCACCACTACACTCCAGTCTGGGTGACAGAGAAAAACCCTGTCAATAAATTAATTAATTAATTAATAAAATTTCCATTTGGTTCTTTTTATATCTTCTATTCCTTTGCTGAGGCTTTCTATTTATTCATTTGTTTCAAGTATTTTAGTAATTGTTTGTTGAAGCATTTTTATGACAGCTGCTAAATTTGGGGGGAGTCAACAATTGCATATGGATTTTTGACAGCACAGGAGTTTGGCATTCCCAACTCCTAAGTTGTTCAAGGGTCAACAATACATGCTAAAAGAGTACTTCAAATCAAACCTTGGGGAGAGGAAGATGGATTTTTTTTTTTTTTTTTTTTTGAGACAGAGTCTCACTCTGTCACCCAGGCTGGAGTGCAGTGGTGTGATCTTGGCTCACTGCAACCTCCGCCTCCCGGGTTCAAGCAATTCTCATGCCTCAGCCTCCTGAGTAGCTGGGATTACAGGTGCTCACCACTATGCCCAACTAATCTTTATATTTTTTGTAGAGATGGGGTTTCGCCATGTTGGCCAGGCTGGTCTCAAACCCCTGACCTCAGGTGATCTGCCCACTCAGCCTCCCAAAGTGCTGGGATTACAGGCGTGAGCCACCGCGCCTGGCCTTATTTATTTATTTATTTATTTATTTATTTTATTTATTTTTTTTTTACTTACATTTTTAAAGATAGGGTCTTGCTATGTTGCCCAGGCTGGGCTAGAACTCCTGGGCTTAAGTGATCCTCCCACCTCAGCCTGTGGAGTAGCTGGGATAACAGGTGCACAGCCAGCCCAAAAATGGAAATTTTAAAACTCCCAGCCTAAAATCTTTACTAGATAATTGTAACATCCCTGTCATCTCAATATTGACATCAATTAATCATCTTTTCTCATTCAGTTTGAGGTCCTTCTGGTTATTTGTGTGATAAGTGATTTCTTATTGAAACCTGCACATATACTGGGTACTATGTCGTAAGTATACATATACTTATGACTCTATGGCTCTTATTTTAACCTGTTTTAGCTGACTTTTTCTGACCCTGCTCTGGCAGGAGAAGGGAAGTCACTACCTCATTACTTTCAGGTGAGGGTAGAAATTTCAAATTTCCCACATGGCCTTTGTGGACAACCAAGTGAGGGGTCTCCTCATTACTGCTGGGTGAGGCCAGAGTTCCACTTCATATACCTCAATTGATACCTCGCAGGCTGAGATGGTGGAAGGGACTCATTACTCCTCCCCAGTTGGCCTCCAGTGATACCATAGGAGTGTGTGGCCTTGTTATAAATGGGCAGGGGTCAGAGTGCTGATTTTTCATGAGGTCTCCTCTGACACCTCCCAGCAAGGAGGAAGAGGAGCACTTCATCATTCCCATGATGGGTGGAGGTCCAGGTTCCCCGTGATCTCCACTGTAATGCGGAGGAGCCTCCTTATTACCACCCAGCAGGGATAAAGTCCCAGTTCCCCACTTGGACTTTTCTGACATTGCCTGGCAAGGATTTAGTTGTGCCCTTGTCATATTCTGGTGAAGGTGAAAGTCTAGGAACCCAACTTGGTCTTTGCTTCAATGGCTTGGGGCAGAGCTACTGTGTTTTCTGTGGTATTTATCTAGAGTGGTTATTGTATAAAAGTTTATAAAATAGGCTATCCCTTTACCTGGCCCTTTGGCTAAAGAGAATATGCTTGGGTCAGGCTTAAAAAAAAAAATCTGCACCTGCTGGTGTTTCTAGGTTGCTGTTTCCTTCAGCTCCAAGCCCG
Organism: Homo sapiens; assembly: GCF_000001405.40. Classification (NCBI taxonomy): domain Eukaryota; kingdom Metazoa; phylum Chordata; class Mammalia; order Primates; family Hominidae; genus Homo; species Homo sapiens. The sequence goes on from NC_000016.10 coordinate 65,894,252, forward strand.
GGATAGATGAGGCAAAAAAAAATCATCATCCAAGGAACATACCTCTGTGTAGCTCCTCAGGTCCCAATGGCCCTAGTTGGTCTGCCTTTTTCTACCTTTCAGAGTCTTCTTATGTTTGTTTCACATATAATATCCAGAGTTTTTAACAGTCCTTAGCAAAAGGAATAGGGAAAAGCACATCTACTTCCCTTCCCCATGAGTAGAATATTACCACACTGTTTTCAACAGTGAATATGCATTTGTTTCTAAGCTGATTTTTGTAATTCTATCATGATACAATTTCTTTAACAGAAACATGCATTAAGAATGAAAGTTATAAAGAATTTTTCTTAATGAATTATGTATGATAAAATGTAGTCATAGTAACAGTATGGTCTTCATAATGGGACTGGAAAATCCACAGATTTCATTCAAATTCTCATGTGTCTCCATACTAAAAATTATTTATTTTTAAATATTGTATTAAAGTATAATATACGTACAGTAAAGTTTATACTTTTTGGTGTCCAGTTCTGTGAGTTTTGACAAACGCATATGGCAGCATAACCTACCATCATGAACAGGATATGGAACACTTTCAATTCTGGTTTTAAAGCAAATGAACAAACAAAACTTCTAGGCTCCTAAACACCTTCAGCATGTAGTCTGGGCTCTTTGCCAGGGATATAATACCCTCCATGATCTGCCTTTTGCCCCAAGAGTCTGGATCCCAGTTGGGGAATAAAGGAGGTTGATGTGGTGACCTTCAGCTTCAACTCTGACCTAGTGATACAGAGAGGAGACAGGGAAACACTGGGTAGAGAGGGCAGTTCCCCAGCAAAGGCCCCTCAAGCCTGGAAGCCAACAGCCCTAAGTGGGAACAGGCATTTCTGTTTTCATGCCAAAATAGTTGCCTTTTGGCCTGCCATGCCCCTATCCTGTACCCATATAAATCCCAAACCCCGGGCTCCAGAAGCAGACAAGCAGATGAGGAGACAAGAAGACAAACAGATAAACGGCGGAATGACACAACAGAGGAAGAAAGAGGAAAAGGAATGTCTGAATGCCAAGAGAAGTTTGACCGGGGGTGGTCAGAGAGGAATTCGGCTGCTGGACAGCCAGGCTCCAGAGGAAGATCATCTTCCCAGTCCATCCCCACTTTCAGCTCCCCAGCTCCGCATCCATCCCACTGAGAGCCACTTCCACCCCTCAAAACCCCCACATTCATCCTTTGAGTTCATGTGTGACTCAATTCTTCCAGGACTCTGGGCAAGAGCTCAGGATATGGAAAGTTGTCACACTGGCCCTCTGCGCTGCAGAAAGGCAGATGGTCCACTGAGCTGGTTAACACGCAAGCCATCCACAGACAGCAAGGCTAAAAGGGCACACTGTAACACATGCCCACCTGGGCTCCTGCACCTGTCCATGTGCATGCTAACCCTTCCTCGGGGGTTTGAGCAGCAGCAGTGACCAAATAGGAGAGCCACACTGCTGTTGCACATCCTGCAAGGGGTATCAGGGAATTATCCCAGTTCACTAGGATATGGAGCCAGGGAGGTCAGGCTCTAATTCAAGGCAGGTGTAACATATATGTGCTGAACTGGAGGTACTAAAAGTTGTGGGAGCTCAGAAACAAGAGGCACCTCAAAATTCTCCTCCCTATTGACTCAGATATTATCTGTTATTTTTGCTTAAAAACAACTCCAAACCTTAGTAGCTTAAACCAGCAAACATTTATTATTTCTTACATTCTGTGGGTCAGCTAGGCAGGTTTCCTGGGCTGGACTGGCTCAGTTGATTTCTAGGGTCAGCTGGCATCTCAGCTATGCTGCGTGATCTAGGCAACATTGCTCACATTGCTGGTGGCTGGCAGTCTGGCTGTTCTAAGAAGGTCTCAGCTGGATTTGCTCCTCTTGGCTCCATATGGTGCCTCATCCTCCAGCAGGCTAGCTCAGGCTCCTTCACTTGATAGTCTCAGTGCTCCAAAGAGCCATGAGAGAGAGAGAGGATGAGCCCCATTGTAAGAGTGCTTTTGAAGCCTTTGCTCACATCACATTCTGTAATGTTCCTTAGGTTAAACTAAACCCAGATTCAAGGGATGGAGAAAGAGACTACATTACTTAATCAGAAGAAACACAAAGTCACACTGCAAAAGGTTGAGAGCAAATTTTGTAAACAATGTGTCACATTATGCTAGAGCTAGAGACAACAAGGCACAGAGACCATCGTGAATGACCTAGGGCAGAAACCTAAGGTGGACTTGGACAGAGCCTGAGGTTAGTCCTTCTGCTGCCAGAGACCTGCTTCTAGTGCACCTAGGAGAAGACCTGGGTCTCTGAGTGCCTGATAAGCCACAGCCTGCAGAGGTTAATGAGGCATCCTCAGGCTACCTACCTCTACATGACCAGTCACCACGGCCTTTCACCTGGTTGCTGTCTCTAGTCTCACTAACTCCTATCAGCAATCCATGGTGCACCCAGAGGAAACGTTCCAAAATGCTCTTTTTTCTGTCAAAAAAAGGGATGCCCTCTACTTTTTACATTCTAAGAAGCTATGAAGTTTAGTGGTGAACACATAGACTTTAGAATCTACAGGTCTGCTTCCAAATCTGACTTCAACTATTTACTTTATAGGTGAGTTTGGACAAGTTAATGAACCCTGTTAAACAGGCTGCTTCTCATCTGTCATATGTGTGTTAAGGGTCTTGCACAATGCCGGGCACACAGTACAAGATAACTTTGATGATGATTCCATCCCTGGCTGCAGAACAAGTGGACTCCTGACCCAGACGCAAGGATGCCCACAGCTTCCGGGGCACCCACAACAGAAGGGAATTGTTTTCTTCATTCAGTTTTAACTTGCAACAGACAGAACCATCTCTGCAAAGTAATTTATGTGTTGCCTCCAGGCTTATGTTTGGAAGGGCTTCCTGCTCTGTTCTAGGCTGATATTCCAAACATTAACATATGTCAAGAGCCCACACAAAGCCAAGGACGTAAAATCACTTTTCAAGGGAAAGAAGAGAGAGGGCAGTTCACAATGCCAGGGGAGATCCAGAAGGAAAAGAATCTTCAGCAAGCAGAGTGGGCTTGGGGAATGGTGGGTACCATGAATGCAGAGCCCAGGGTGGGAGACAGGGATTGCGGTCACTAAGGGGCAAGCTTGGGTTTGCCCCAGATAAAGTGGAAGCAATTATTTTTCAGAAACCACTTACCATGTGCTACCTTTTTAATACTCATCTTATTTAGTCTTCTTGAAACCTATGTGAAATCAGTATTACCCATTTTATGGAGCATGGAACTGAAGCTTTTAGATGTTAAGTAACTTGCCCAAGTACTCACAAGAGGGGCACAACTGGGATTCAAGCATGCTCCATCTGATTCCAGACAGCACACACTTAGACCACTCCTACCCTGTCAGAGAAGGAAGGGTTCTCCCTTCTTGATATGGTTCAATTCCCAGATTGGGAAACTGGCTATTGTAAAGATTAAGCAAGCTTCCCAGGTCACAGAGTTATGAGGATTAAGAACATGAATGGAATCCAGGTTGGAGGGCTCCCACAGACCCAGGTCTTCAAGTAAGTCCTCAGTGAGACCCTTGCTAGTGCCTTCTTATCTGCTTCTCTCCCTGTCTGCCACATCACTAAGTCCGACAGATCTCTGCCATCAAACAATCATCAAACTATTCTCCACTTTAATTAACCTGCATTATTCCTTGACCTCTTGGGCTGGGATAGCTGTATGTCTAGCTTCTTTCCTTGAGTTCAGATCCAGGAGCAGGTGGCATCTTTCTCCGTCTCCTGTGATTTCCCTGACTTACTCTTCACAGCTTTCCACACCTAACTGCTCCTCATTCATTCAGAATTGAACCTCTGCAGCAGGCACTGTGTGGGTTGTTGAGAGCATGAAGATGAAGAATATAGAATATCTGCCCTCAAGAAGCTTGCATTCTATGGGAGACACAAACTTGGGAGATGATCACAGGGCAGTGACCTCTGACCCCTTTCCCCCACTGCTTCTATTACTTCAAAGAATCCCCGCTACTTCCCAGGTGGGAGGTGGGGCATTTGCATTTGTAAAATATCTCACTGGCTGTGCTGTAGACAATGGATTAGTGTGGGCACAAGAGGTGCCAGCTGTCAAGCCAGTAAGGATGGTGAAAGAATATGGCAGGTGAGACACCAAACAAAAAGAGACACAGCAAAGATAAAGTTGGAGGAGTGGGGCAAAGGAGGCAGGAAGTATCAAGATTATATAAAGAGTGAAAAGCCCTTGGTGACTGGTTGCCAGGGGTGGGAGGAAGGAAGCACACAGAGGGAGCTGGTTGTAATGATGGACTTGGTGGCTGCATTCAGAATTGGACCTGGGGCATACGAGGTGAGCTCAGTTATATGCAGAGCACAGAGCCCTCTGCAAATGCAAGCTTTAAACTGACTAACAGAAATCTGCTAAAAAGAAGAAGAAATAATTATCACCAAGCTGCAATTCAATACATCTTGGGCTCATTGTTCTGATTGGCCTGACCTCTGAGATGCAAGGCACTCATTGCAATGAGGAGGTGGAGGTTACTTTGGGATTAAGATTCATGCAACCTGACTGCTTTAGGCTTTTGTCAAAGACAAAAGAAAGAAGTATACCTAGCGTTGAACCAAAATTGTATTAAACTTCTTTTTTAAACATGAAAACTATGCATCTCAAAATATAATGGCATCTAAGGAAGAGAAGTGCAAAGTGCTTCCTGGAAATGCACAAAACCCAAGAGGTTATAAATGCTTTTGCACAAACGGGGCATCATAAGAACCCTCAAAAGTGCTTTGATCTTGCAGGACAGAAAGTTTCACCCCCAAGTGATATATGAGGAGGTCTAGATGGTATGACTTGCTCAAGGTCTCATTCCTAACCATTAGAAACAGGCTTCCAGATTGGGGTCTTTCTGAGAAGCAGGATAGCAGAGAGGTTAAGTGTAAAAGTCATGTTAGAATCAAAATCCTGGTAAGTGACTCAACTCCTCTAAGCCACCCCTCTCACATCTCTTAAATGGGTCCACACTCATGCCTGCCTCCCTTTCTCACAGAGTGGCTATGACGAGTCAATGGGTTGAAGCATGTAAAGAAAGCTCTTACTATAGCACCTCATGTGTAGCAAAAACGGCTGAGCATTGCCTCTCATTATTTCCAGTCCCTTCTATAGTCTCTCTGATGGAAAGCCGACTCTTCATTCAGGATGAACACAGTTTTGATAGGAAGCATGGAGGACCCCTGCTCTAAGGAATTCCATATGCATGGATGATGGGGTCTGCTCCCATGCAACACTTCGCACAGCAGGGTGGATGCAGAAGCACAAGAAGGGATGCAGCAGAGAGAAGGTGTCAGCACAGGAGAGGAGAGCAACTCTCTTTTAAAAGGTGACTTTCTAGGTCTCCTCCGACACTCACCCTCTCAGGAAAGAAGAGGCAAAGACTCCCAACACACTTTCATGCAGACACACAAACAAGTTAAAGGCCAAGAATTTCCATTTTTACCAACAACAATTCTTTTTTTTTTTTTTTTTTTTTTTTTGAGACAGAGTCTTGCTCTATCGCCCAGGCTGGAGTGCAGTGGTGCCATCTCAGCTCACTGCAAGCTCTGCCTCCCAGGTTCACGCCATTCTCCTGCCTCAGCCTCCTGAGTAGCTGGGACTACAGGTGCCTGCCACCCCGTCTGGCTAATTTTTTTTTTTTTTTTGTATTTTTAGTAGAGACGGGGTTTCACCGTGTTGGCCAGGATGGTCTCGATCTCCTGACCTCGTGATCCACCCACCTCAGCCTCCCAAAGTGCTGGGATTACAGATGTGAGCCACCAGCCCTGCCACCAACACTTCTAAGCTTCATATGAAAGGGCTAGCCAGGTGTCCCTCTAAGACTATCTGTTTTTCTATTGCTTAACAGACATTCTCATTCTATTGGGTTGCAATAAACCACTTCAAACCAACAGCATAACCAACAGCTGCTTAACATGAACACAGATTTTGAGGGTAAGGAATTAAGATAGGGCACAGAGGTAATGGCATGTTTCTGCTTCAAAATTCCTAGGACCCCAGCTAGGAAGACTCAAATGGCCAGGGGTGACTTGAATATCTGAGAGTTGGAATCATCTGAAGGCTTCCTTGTTCACATGTCTGCACCTTGATGAGATGGCTGGAAGGCTGAGCTCCACTAGGACAGACTCTAGGAACAGATGGCTTCTCCAGCATAGTGGTCTCAGAGCTTCAGACATTATATTCCAGGAAAGAAGGTGAAAGAACAAAGCCTTTATGATCTAACTTTGGAGGGCACATAGTATCACTTTCATCATATTCTGTTGGTTGAAGTAGTCACAAACTCACCCAGATTCAAAGGTCAAAGACATAGGCCCTATCTCCAGATGGGAAAAATGTTAAAGAATCTGCATCCATGTTTTAAAACCTTCACAGTATAGGTATAAATGCCTCTCAACAGGTGCGACAATCCCTGAGGTAGAGTTGGTTGAATCTTCCAAAATGCCATGGCATTTAAGAACTCAGGATATTTAGAGACCTCCTATCCTTACACTTTAGAGATGAGAGCTCTAAGGTCCAGAGGAAAGAGTTGAGGAATGGAGTTTGCTGTAGAACAGTTAAGGAAATGGGGCCAAGAAAAAAACAATAGCTTGCCCTGTAAGTGATGGCACACTTGGTTTTCAATCACCCGTGATACTAAGGAGAATCTACACATTTGCAGCCCGTGGATTAGAAATGCAAATCTCATTTTAGCTTCTGTTTTAACTTCCTCCACTCTATTTCTCACCATTAGTGTTAGGCTGCAGTCAGGCACCAACAGACAATGAAGAACCATGTAATGGGATAAGGTCATGAAGCAGCTCAGAACCTGGACGTTCTCATTATCATTGCTCCTAAAGGAAACCCTGGAGTCCAAAGACAAGGGTCAAAAAACCAGCCCCACCTTCGACCTGTTTGTAGTAAACTGACCAGACAGACAGATAAATATGCTTAAGCTTATTGGAAAATTTCATAAAGTAAATTGAATCCTCTCAACTAATATTTGCATTGTGTTGAGAAGTTCCTAATTAATGAGCATCTGTAGGTATTTCTGAGAAAGGTAGACAGTTTGGACATTTGGAGTCAAAATGCTGGTAAGCAGGGTTTGCAAGTCAAGCAACCTGTTCCAGGATGGATTCTAAATAGAGCCTTTCCTGTTTTCAAGTGGGACGCTCTTACATACAGCAAAAAGATGATGATGAAGAAAGGTCTTTATAAGCAATTTAATGTTGTTAATTCTTACCAACACACCGAGACTGCAACACCTTCAAAGATGAAGATCCTGGCTTATTCTGGAAATTATATAAGAAGACACTAAATGACATTCTACAGTCTTGTGATATCTTCTTGGCCTTCACCATTCCTAAAAGATCCTGCCTACCCCTTTCCCCATCAGACTACGTGGTCTTGAGAGCTGATTCCAGGCCATTCATTCATTGCTAATCTCATTGTCATCCCATTTGACAAAAGGATGGACACACAGTAGGAGCTGGGTTGAGTAAAATTTATTTGCTGGGAGAGTAAATGGTCCTGCACACAGTGGGTAATCTGTCATTGGGAGTTGAACTTGAGTATTCATTTGCTGATGGAGTCCTTAAGTTTTGGGCTATAAATGGCATTTATACTATAAGAGGTAACCTGGACAAAGAGGGGGTAGACAGGAAGAGGAAAAAGGAAGCCAGAATAATGAGCCCAACTTTGAAATTCTCTCACTAATAAGGGAGAAGCCCCATGAGGCAGGCAGAACAGTAGAAAGAGCTTGCCTCAGTGCTTCCAGAGAGAAAAACTTAAATGCCAGTAATTATCCTCTGGAGACTGAATGTCCTCGGTCTCACTAATGAAGGCAGGGGAGCATATCCCAGAATTTCCAAAGTACAGAGGGACACTTTGGGTTTGAATTACAGATTTTGAGGCTATACTTGTCAGAGGTTCTATTTAACTCTTTTTGGGACTTCAGAAAATACTGGCTTCCAATTTAGTTTTCCATAGGGCAGAGCAATTCTCTTACCCACTTCTTTCCTCCTATCAGTGATGAAATTATCTAAAAAGGAAACAAAGATAATTTGGAAACATGGAAGAGTGTGTGCATATATATATATGTGTGTGTGTGTATATATGTATACACACACACACACATATGCAGGATATTACATTCTGGTATGGCTGTATTTATAAACTTCTTCACAGTGGAGATAGGGATTCTTGCACTCATGTATTCCTTCAGCAGATTTGGTTAAGGACCTACTGTGATGCTCAATTTTATGTGTCAACTTGACTGGGCTAAGGGAGTCCAGAAAGCTAGTACGATATTATCCCTGAGTACATCTGTGAGGGTGTTTCTGGAAGGGATCAGCATTCGAATCAATAGGCTGAATAGAGAGGATCACTCACCCTCACAATTTTGGGTGCTTATTATCCATTCTGTTGAGAGTCTACATAGAACAGAAAGGTGAAGAAGGGCAAATTTGCTCTCTTTCTCACTCTCTCTTTCTCTCTCTCTCTCTCCACCTCTCTCTCAGCTTGAGCTGGGACATCCATCTTCTCCTGCCCTTGGACATCAGTGCTGCTGGTTCCTGGGCCTGCAGACTCAGGCTGGGACTGACACAAATTCTTCCTCTGTTCCTCAAGCCTTAGAGCTTTAACCGGAGCCATACCACCAGCTTCCCGGGCCTCCAGCTTGAAGACACCAGACTGTGGGACTTCCTAGCCTCCATATTCATGTCTGTCAATCCCTCATTAAAAAAAAAAAAAAAAAAAAGTCTTTCACGATTAGTGTGGTGGCTCATGCCTGTAATCCCAGCACATTGGGAGGCCGAGGCAGGAGGATCACTTGAGACCAGGAGTTTGAGTCCAGCCTGGGCAACATAGCAAGACCACAGCTCTACAAATAATTTTTGTTTTAATTATCTTGGTATGGTTGCCTGCACCTAAGCTACTCAGGAGGCTGAGGTAAAAGGATCGCCTGAGCCCAAGAGTTCAAGGCTGCAGTGAACTATAATCGTGTCACTGCACTCCAACATGAGTGACAGAGTGAAATCCTGCCTTTAAAAAGATGTTTTTCTATTCATCCAAACAATTAGTTTTGTTTCTTTAGAGAATCCTAATATACCTACTATATCTCAGCTATTATGCTATCTACTAAGGCTTCAGAGATGAAAAAGAAATAGTACCTGACCTACAGAAAGTTTCAGATTAGAAGTGAAAATAAGAAAGGGGTTCGAAAAAAAATGGAAATTTGAGCAGGCTAATATTGGGAGGATAACCCTTGAGTGTTTCCAAAAGCTCACACGGCTCTTTCCTATGTTCCCAAAACAGAAGAAAGTTGTATTGAGATTGAGGTCATGCTGTATCACTTCTGGTAATTTTGCTACCACCAAGGGTGTTGTATAAGCTGACAGTATGATCCCAAACTCAACAGAAATACAACTACTTTTTCAACCTTTCAACCCAGTTCTCAGAACCTGGAAAGAGGACTCATGGTGTTAATCCTAAATGTGTGGCAGAAAGAACTAGGTTTGTAACCTCATAAACCTTACTTTGCATTATCCTAGACATCACATCCTTCACATTATCCTAGAATAACATAATCTCTGAATCTCAGTTTCATAACTTAAAAATAGGAATGAAACCTACCTCATGTGTTTGTTGCATTAGATAACGTAACACAAAAGTGTCTAACACATAGTGAATGTGTAGTTATGTTAATTCTTTTTCATTCATAAGTATTTCTTTAATGTTACTTTTGCAATCCATTTTCTAATAATTAGCATATAATGCCATGAGTTGGCAATAAAGGTATTAGTTTAAACAGGTAGCAGGAAATACAGTAAAATAAAGTTCAGCCCGAGACCCCAAAGGTATCTTGGGCTTTGCTTCCTGAGTAAAAAGATTAGCTACCAATAGTCATTAATGATTTAAAATTGAATCACTTACAAAACAATCAGTAAAAGGGTGATAATTTTTCATGCTCAGAAACGATGACCCATTTGGGACTTCAATATTAGCAGTAACAGTGTTGTCAATATGAACCCAACACAGTCCGTAATTAATCAGATCCCAACCCCTTTTGTCTGCTGGGAAATCTCCGAAGTCTGTTCCCGGCACCTTAAAAGATAAAGGTTGACCTTGCCCCACTTGCCTAATAATAATATATAGATGTGTAAACATTTACCACAACAATTACAGGTCGCCCTAATGAAATTCGAGGAGCACAAGTCACGAAAGACCTGAGCATGCATCATAAATTCAGAATCAAACCCACAGGCTGAGATCTGCAAATAAATTACGAGTCAAGCCAAACCCTTTCAAGAGCAGACCTTTTCCAGGGTCTGGGGAAATCGGGGGTTTTGTGGTCTGACTTCCTTAAAGGACCTGAATGTGCATGGGCCAGGTTTTAAATGCTAACTCTGCGATATTCTTCACTTGGAAGTCATTTATCCTTCATGAGTCTCTGTCTCCCTAATCTGTAAACTGGGTGGGTGGGGTGGAGCTTCTATACACAGTAGTTGTGAGTGTAAACAGTCACTTCATTCATTGGATAGGTGCTTATTAATTATCATCTAGATCCCAGAGATCTAGCATTTCACATAGTACTAGGCATCAGGCAGACATGAAATAAACGGTGACTATCATATTATATTTGATTTGTCATTCACAATAATAACTAGCATTAGGGTGATTAATGGAAATTTACTCCCTGCAAATTTTATCCTGTAGCAAGTTTATTGCTTAGGGAGTTAGAGGACCAGAAGAGAAATACGATACTGGGAGAAGGTAGAAAGTTACCAGCAGGTAGGGAACCCCCAGGAGACTGGTATTGCTGTTCAGCAAAGGGGGGAAAAGAAACAAAGGAAGCTTCTCTCTTGCTTCATACAAACAGAATTACTAAGGAGGAAGAATTGACATGAGCTGAGGGTCTCTCCCATACCAGGCTGTTTGCTAGAGATGCACTTAAGCCACATCACTTACTCCTTGCAGTCATTCTGCTGAGTTCACTATTGTTATTTCCATGAAGTGGCAATGCAATTGACAGTCCAAGAGACTAAACTCAAAGAAATATAAATAAGAGGAAAAAAGGCCTTTAATTATAAACTAATACATCTGGGGGGAACCTGTGGGGACACATGACTCCCAAAGTCTAATGGCAAGTCCCAAGGGGTGTGTGAGTCCAGCAAAAAGATTCTCAGGGACCAGATCTAGGGTGAAAACACTTACCCAAGCACAGGTAACAAAATCCCCACTCAGAAAACAGGAAACAGCTGGCACCTGTCAACCTCCTTGGGAGGCCCCTTGAATGGGACAGAGACTTGAAACACCAGAGTACCACCTGCCTGTTGCTCCCCGCAGCCGTGCATCCAAATCCTAAATCACGAATGGGAATATTCAGGAATAAAGCTGCCCCATCTAAGACTGTATAGACAGCAATTGTCATCTGCTCTTAGCAAAACCTGATCCTGTTTTTTTTTTTTAATGCAAATGTAAAACGAGTGCCCTGAATGTCACACTCAAGGAACACTTTGTCTCTGATTAATCCTAAATGTGGCTATTCAGCATGTGTACTATTCTTCTCCTTAAGTATAAACCCCATTTGTGAAGAAAGATTTGTTCCAGCCTATTTCTTGGCTACAAATCTCATCCCTGATTTTCTTTCTCTCCCTTGTTACTTAAAAGAACCAAGTTCAGACCTCTGATTGTTAAGAATATTTTGCAGTAGAGAATCTATTCTCTTACATGTTGATCCATTTCCCGGGTAACCCATACCTTATTTCAAGCCACTCAGATTTGGGACATCTTTTTTTTTTTTTCTTTTTTCTTTTTTTGAGACAGAGTTTTGCTCTTGTTGCCCAGGCTGGAGTGCAATGGTGCAATCTCAGCTCACTGCAACCTCCACCTCCCAGGTTCAAGCGATTCTCCTGCCTCAGCCTCCCGAGTAGATGGGATTACAGGCATGCACCACCATGCCCAGCTAATTTTGTATTTTTAGTAAAGATGGGGTTTCTCCATGCTAGTCAGGCTGGTCTCGAACTCCTGACCTCAGGTGATTTGTCCATCTCGGCCTCCCAAAGTGCTGGGATTACAGGCATGAGCCACTGCACCCGGCCGATTTGGGGCATACTTTAAAGAAATGTCCCCCAGTATAGGCCAATGGCAAAAAGCCAGGTTCGTGAGGCCAGGTTTCCTGGGATAGAAGCCGACTGGGCTACGGGATACTTGTGTGATGGTTGACAAGTTGCTACCTCTCTGTGCTCCAGTCACTTATTGTCAGAGTTGTGAGACTTTAAATATTTATGAAGAGCACTTAGTGCCCATTGTCTATTAAGCCCCCAACAAATGTTAGCTAGCGTGATCACCGTCCTTGTGGAATGGGAGGAGATAGCTGATATGCTCTCCTCTGCAGTTTGTCAAGATCTTCTCTTAAGCCCCTGGCACCCATTTCTGTGCTCCCTCAACCTGTTATACTAAAAACAAAGGCTGAGCCCTTCCTAAGTACCAGGCACCTGTTACAAATTTTACAAGCCTCATCTCATGATAGCTCCCAGAGGAAGGTGCAACCCTGTGGTCTGCATTCTACAGAGGAGGCACAGAGAGGTGACCTGGGCCAGAACCTGAGCCTCTGGGCTCTGCAGACTGTCTCAGAGGTGCTGCTTCCTGAAGTCCTCTGACCTGCCGTCCCTCTTCAAAATCAGGATAAACATCACCAATGATTGCCTATAGGGCTTGGGAAAACTTTCTGGGAGATGTAATTGTTCTTCTCTGTCTTGTTGGGGTTTGGTTACATGAGGATACATTCGTCAAAAACTGTTGTATTGTGTGATATTGTACATGAATTTTAACCTCAACTAATAATACCTTTTTTAAAAATGCAAGGCAGAAAAGGGTGGAGTAGAAAGGGAGGTAGGGTGGTAGGAAACAATTGGCAGTGGTGCAGGGTACGAAGGCTGGGGCCATGTGTGGCTGTGGCTCATGCAGCACTGCTTGTGGAGAGAGCCAGAGCCAGTGTTCTCAGCCATCCGTCCCTCGTACTTGTATGGTCTGAGCTTTGAGGGTTTCTCAGGGACCATGCTACTTTACCAGTGCCCTCATCTTTTACCGTATGGTCCTACCTCAACTCACATCACCTTGGAAGAAATTGAAGGGAACTTCCTCCTCCAAAACTGCAAATCCTGAGCACCCCCCATCAAAAGACACCCAGTGCATGGATCCCCTGCAAATCCATGGTGTCTCCCTCTGTTAGTTGACGCCCATCTTTGTGGGAGGAGCGCCCTTGAAACTGACGCTGAAGATGGGGCAAGGTGAGCCACCAATCTTTTCTGCAGCAACATGACCAAGACTTCACGGTCTTGACTCCACTCTTCTGGGTAATGGTGGTGGGGGTGGTTTCCGGTCATTCTGAGATGACTTGGTGTTGATGTCTGTCTCTGTACCCCATCGTTAATTGTGTGATCTAAGAACCTTATAGAGGCTTGTCTCCCAATCCATTCTAGCCCAGGATCTTGAGCACTCAATTTATTTTTATAATTAAAAAAATTATTTAATAAACATTGTTCTCCACTCCCAAACCCCTCCCCCAGTTACCTGCATCCCAGCCATTCTTACCAGCGGGAGTTATCAAAATATATTAAGCTCTGTCTCACCTCCACACTTTTACATCCTCCACTATTCTCTCTATCTGGGATTTGTTTCTTCCTACTTCATCTTTCCAACAATTTGCTAATTCCTCTCAAGACTCAGCTCATGTCCCTCAGTCTGCAAATGCAGCAGATCGTGCTGACCCCACTCCTAAGTTGCAGCCTTGGCAGGACTGCATTGAGCATCAGTCTCCCTCACTGGTCACAGTCTGTTAATAACAGGGGATGGGAATCTTTTACTGTCTCATCCTCAGAGCTCACTACACAGTAAGTAATCAACACATGTCCGTTATGGACTGAGAGCAAGTACCTATCCACAAATAAATAAATAAAGCAGTGCGCTGCAAAGATCCCCACCTTCTGGGTCTGGGACTCTTTGCCAAAGAGGCCCTCTGGGCCAGAGTTGGGCTGAAACGATGTTCTCCCACCACAACTCTTCCACCCACCAGAACTGCCAGCACTATTGAAGGCAGGACATTTGCATCTACTGGGCCTCAGAGCAGGGAGCCTCTTCCACCTGCTGCAGCAGTTGAATTGAGAAGGATAATGCTCTCTCCGAGTTTTAGGTGGCAGAGGGGAGACAGCTTCTCATTTCGTCCCCAGTTCACATGGATAGATTTCTTTGGTTCTTTTCTCCTTTCCTTCTTTTTATTTGTATTATTATTATTTTCATTCTGAACTCCCAAAAGTAGAGAGCATCAAAGTGAGCAGTAAGTAGGAAGACTGGAGCTTTGCTAAACCTAAAATTCTGGGACATTGGAGCAAAGGAAGAGGCTGACCCAGAGGGTGAGCGGCCCCACCTCCGGAGCCCAGGACAATGCTGCCAAGGATCCCAGGAAGGCCTGGATGCAGGGTTGCCATGGCAACAGAGCTGTCACAGGCCCAAGGTCTTGCTGGGTAAGCACAAATGGATGGCATGCAGGATCCCTCTTTTCATCTGAAAATTACCACTAATTTGCAATTAGTTGGAGGAAAATTGGAGATGGAGGAAAGGGAATTGCTCTTTTCAGCAAACAAACACGACCACTGAAAATTGACTTTTCACCAGAGTCATAATGGAGAGCAAAGAAAACTTGTCTATAAAGAACACAGGCTTTGGGGGTACATCAAAGGACTGAATCCTGGTTCTCTCATGTCCTGACTCTGTGACCCTGGAGAAGTATCTTAACCTCTCTGGCTTTGCTTTCTTCTCCTAGAAAACATTTCTAAAATACCCACTTGCAGGATGGATGGGAAGGTTAAACGAAATAATAGAAGTCAGGTCCTGGACACATAGTAAGTGCCCAGCTAATAATGACTGTTATTACCACTATTTGAGGTTTTCATTCATTCACATAATCTTCTTTCCTTCCCTTGCCATTTTCTTAATTTATCCAATTCATTGATTCCACTAATTTTTATTAAGCACCTATCTGCCCAAATGTCTTCTACATACCATAGCTCATCACATCAGAGACCCATGAGCAGCCATCAGTGAGAATTACATCCTGCCTGCAGCCCCAGAGGCCCCCTCACATTCACTTCCTTTTCTAGGACTCTTTCATGTCCCATTAGCACCTCCTCCTCTGCACTCCTGCCAATTGGCATCACGTGTCTCTCTTGGTCCTTTCAGGAGCTGAAAACACGTGAGGAGCTGTGGCTCACAAAGTCAATAGCATGAAGCAACATCAAAGGCAGAAACTGTGGTAGGATCAGGGCTCAGCTAAGTCCAGGTGTCCCTGGGCTTTCAGATCTGAGCAGAAACTGGGTCCTGTTTGTCTCTGAGGTCTCAGCCCCAGGACCATTATGCAGAGTGGGCATGACCAAGTGTCTGGGGAGAACATGCTGGAACAGTACGCTGTGATGCCTTCGGTCATCCCAATGAGCTGTTCACTCTGCCTGGAGGGCTCTTCTCTCTATGCCTTGGGGAATATCCATTCTTCAGCCCCCAAGTCTGAGTCCCCAGAGTATGTGGGAAAAGTCTCTCCCTTCCTCTCTCTTTCTGCGTGCCCAACCCCATCCCAAACCAAGAAAGGGAGCTGACAGCCAGTCCCAAAGACAGAGGTGATGGAGGTTTGTCAAAAGAGCCCCTGTTCTCCCAGGCCGGGTAGCATTGCAGCTTAGGAGGATGGGCTGCGACCAAGTCCTGCCTCCCACTAACCGTGTGACCTTGAACAAGTTACTTCTTGAAGCAGCAGTGTGTTCATTTGCAAAAATGAGTAATGATGATTTGATATTTCCAGGGTGCATCCCTGCTGTCCAAGCCTAAATTGTGGGGCCAGGTGTTAAAACTTCTCTTTCAAGAATCAGGACATAACTACTAAGTGTGGCAGCAGCTTGACAATGATGGGGATTGAAAACGAAAGCCCCCTAACCTGCACATGGTGGCCAATAAACCAGAAGAAAACCAAGATCATTGTGCTGTGCCCAAAGAAGTTGGCATCCAGAACGGTGCTGGCTGTTGGCATTTCCAGCTCACCTTACCCCCATTAGGATGGATGACGTTAACTAATGAAGAATTATCCACCCACATTGTAAGCCGCAAGCAATTATGAATTCCATTACCCAGCAACTTGGCTGAGATTCCTCCTAGCTCACCCACAGACGAGAGAAGTTCCACCCAGAGAACAGAGGCACCTGGGAAACAGGCAGTTAATTGCTGTGGAAGACTGACTAATTAAGTCCTTCCCCAGTGTCAGCCTGTGCTGTCACAGGTATGCCTTGCTCCTTCCCTATGGTGTGAAGGTGGCAGGGTGGAAAGAGGGCAGAATGTCACAACGACCATGTTCAAACAACTGCTCTGCTGTGTGATCACTGCAGAAGTGGTCTAATCTCTTCGAGCTCCATTTGCCTCCTCTACCAAATGAGGTTGATACTATCCTAAGGAAATATATGTGTGTGGAGAATGCCCTTTGCATCCGAGCATCCTTGTTGATGGACACAGACCATACTAGTGACAGTGACCTGGATGAGGCTTTATCATCATGCTCATAACAACAGCTTACATTTTTCAAACACTGGTTCTTCCAAGCATGGGGACTTAGCATGCGTTATTTTATTTAATCTGCAAAATAATTGTCAAAGGTATTCTTATTACCCTTTACTTGACAGACAGTGTAATCAAAGCTTAGGATTAAATGGTTTGCCAGTGATTACATCCCTTTTTTCTCAAGCTAAAATTTGAATCTAGCCCTTCTGACTCTGGATCCATTGTTCCTAAGCCGCATCCATACTGCCTCCACTAATCTAGACCACTCCATTATTGCCTCTGAGGAACTTCAGTGGCCTTTGGATCTGCATTTTACAGTCCAGTCATGCACCACATAATGACATTTTGGTCAATGATGGACTGCATATAGGATGGTGGTCACATAAGATTATTATGGTGCTGGAAAATTTCTATCACTTAGTGTCATCTTAATGATCCTGACCCCGTGTAGGCCTACGCTAATGTGTGTTTGTGTGTCTCAGCTTTTAATTAAAAAGTTTAGAAAGTTAAATAAATAAATAAATAATTTTTAAAATAGAAAAAAGCTTATAGAATAAAGATATATTCTGTATTATAATATTTTTGTATGCCTGTACATCATGTTCATGTTTTAAGCTAATTGTTATTACATGAGTCAAAAATTTAAAAAAAAGAATGTTTCTAAAGTAAGTTATAGTAAACTAAGTTTAATTTATTAATAAAGAAAAAACTTTCTATACATTTAATGTAGCCTAGGTGTACAGTGTTTATAAAGTTTACAGTAGTATACAATAATGTCCTAGGCCTTTCACATTCACTCACCACTCACTCCCTGACTCACCCAAAGCAACTTCCTCTCCTATAAGCACCATTCATGGTAAGTGCTCTATGGCATTTATAGGTATACCCTATACAGGTACTCCCTACACAGCTGTACCAATTTTAATATTTTACAGGGTATTTTACTGTACCTTGTCTATGTTTCAGTAAACAAATACTTACAATTGTGTTACGACTGCCTACAGTCTGCAGTACAGTAACCTACGGTATAGATTGTATCCTAGGAGTGAAACCCAAGACATGTAACCTAGGTGTGCAGTAGGCTATACCATCTAGGTCTGTGTAAATATACCCGATGATATTCACATGACAAAATCGCCAAGTGACGCATTTCTCAGAACATATTCCTATCATTAAGAAATGCAGACTGTAGTAACTTAATAGCATCACAGATGTTAGGCATGACAAGTCCTAGTTGAGATTTTACTTTCTTTTAATAAGGATCACAGTGCACAGGGCATGTGAAGGAGTATTTTGCACCTGTCACACCAGGGTGCAACCAATCTCTGATTAATGCTGTTAATTCAGCTAATGTTGACTTGTAAATAATTCAACTGCCACTGAAACACTTTTGTCACTGCTTCCCACCACAGAACACCAACTAATATTGGCACTCCTGTCCAGGCATGACTTTCTAAAGTCAAACAACCATTGATCCAAAGGGTTGGCCCTAGAAATGTTCTTCTTACTCGTGGCTCCTAAGCAGGCATTTTCTACCATCACACATCAGCTCAGTCTGCCAGTGAAGACTCAAGCTTTGCTGACCAGCATTATTCATGATCAAGACATGGTCGTGAAGACTCACCCTGAGTCCCAGTAGAATTTCAATGGCTCACTTGTTCATCCTTTAATTCAACAAACACATATATCTAAAATGCCTCTCCACAACCATGGTCTCCCATCACGGCTGAGGTGCAGAATCACCAGCAAGTGGGTATAAGTGGATCTCTAAATGCAAACCCTGAGTTATTGAATCAACATCTCATAGATGGAGTCAGAGCATGCTTTCACAGAGTAGGTGCTCAATAAATCTTTGTTGAATGAATCTATAGCAACAGCAACAGGTGCTGCTTCTTGAGCTAATGCAGTAATACTGCTCAGATCCTGATTCCACTATTTCCCAGTACTATGTGACCATGGTGTTTCTCAATCTCTCTGTACCTTAGTTTGCTCCTCTGATATAACCATAGTACCTAGACTGGATAAAGAAAATGTGGCATATACACACCATGGAATACTATGCAGCCACAAAAAAGAATGAGATAATGTCCTACCTCACTGTTTTTTAAGTTTTTTGAGATATAATTCACATACCATACAATTCATCCAAAGTGTATAATTCAATGGCTTTTAGTATAGTTACAAAATTGTGCATCCATCATCACAATCAAATCTGGAATATTTTCATTGACCCCAAAAGAAACCCCATACTTCTTAGTAATCACTCCCCCAACCCTCTTACCATGTCCCTAAACTTAGTCAACCATGAATCGACTGTCTCTATAGATTTGCCTATTCTGGGCATTTCACGTAAGTGGAATTATACAACATGTGGTCCTTTGTGACTGGCTTATTTCATTATCAATGAGCATAGTATTCATGAGGCTCATTCATGTGGTATCATTTTTCAGTACTTCATTCCTTTTTCTTAACAATGTTCCATTGTACGGATGTGCCACGTTGTTTATCCATTTATTGTTTGATGGGCATTTGGGTTGTTACAACTTTTGAGCTATTGTGAATAATGCTGCTACAAAGATTCATATAAAAATTTTGTGTAAATGTACATTTTCCTTTCTCGTAAGTTTATACCTAGGAATGGAATTGCTGGATCACATGGTAACTCTATCATTTAACCATTTGAGGAATTGTTTTTCAAAGTGGCCATAACATCTTAACCTCCCATCTGCACTATATGAAGGTTCAATCATCCCCATTCTCTCCAACGCTTGTTATTAACTGTCTTTTTTATTATAGTTATCCTACTGGGTGTAAAGTTGTATTTAATGCTATTTTTAATTTGCATTTCCATGATTGCTAATAATGTTGGGCATCTTTTGATGGGCTTATTGGTTATTTATATCTCTTATTTGGAGAAAGGTCTATTCGGATCCTTTCCCCATTTTTAACTGGGTTGTCTTTTAATTATTGAGTTGCAATAGGGTCCTTATATTTTCTAGGTACAAGTTCTTTTTAATTTTGCTTGAGTCCAGTTTAAATATTTTTTTCTTTTACTGATGTGTCTTCAGTAGTATATCTAAGAAACCATCAACTAATACAAGGTTATAAAGAATTATACCAGTGTTTTCTTCAAAGAATTTTATAGTTTTAGCTCTCACATTTAGATATTTGATGTATTTGAATTAATTTTTGCAAACGGTGTGAAGTAGAGTGTCCACCTTCATTCTTTTGCATAAGGATATCGTTTTTCCTAAATCATGTTTTAAAAAGACAATAATTTCCCCCACTGAATAGTCTTGAACCTGTTTCAAAAACCACTTGACCATAAATTTTATGGTTTATTCTGGACTTTCAATTCTGTTCCATTGATCTATGTCTCTATTATTGTGCCAGTTCCATACTGTTTTGATTACCACAACTTTGTAGTAAGATTTAAAATTGGGAAGTATGATTTCTCCATATTTATTCTTTTTAAAGATTCTTCCATCTATTCTGAGTCCCTTGAATTTTCATATGAATTGTAGGACAATTTATAAATTTCTGCAGACAAGTCAGCTGAGATTTTGACAGAGATTGTATTGGATCTATAGATTACTTTGGGTAGTATTGCAACCTTAACAATATTAAGTCATCCAATCCTTGTAAACAAGCTATCTCGCCATTTGTTTAAGTCTTCTTTAATTTCTTTCAAAAATGTTTTGTAGTTTCCATAGTATACATATTGAACTTATTTTTTAAATTTATTTTTCAGTATTTTATTCTTTTGGTGCTAGCTTAAATACAATGTTGTATGGAAGTGGTGAGAGTGGATATTCCTGTTTTGTCCCTGCTCTAAGGGGAAAAGCATTCAGTCTTTCACTATTAAGTATGATGTAAGTTAGCTGTGGGTTTTGATAGATGCCATTTATGGGGTTGAGTCAGTTATCTTCTATGTCTAGTTTGTTGAGTATTTTTATTATTAAGTCGTGTTTAATTTTTGTTGAATGCTTTTTCTGCAACTTTTGAGATGATCATGTGGTTTCTGTTCTTTATTCTGTTGAGGTGCCATATTATATTCATTACTTTTTTAATGTTAAACCAACTTTGCATTCTCATTTGGTCACACCATATAATCCTTTTAAGATACTGTTGGATTTTATTTGATAGTATTTTTTTGAGGATTTTTACATCTATATCATAAGAGATATTGGTCTGTAGTGTTACTTCCTGGCAATATCTTTATCTGGTTTTGGTAGCAGAGTAATGCTGAACTCATAGAATAAGTGGAAAGTGTGGTATCCTCTTCTATTTTTTGGAGAACTTTGGGAATAATTGGTATTAATTCTCATTAACTAAATATCTGGTAGAATTCACCAGTGAAGCCATCGGATCCTGGGTATTCTCTATGGGATTTTTAAAATTCTAATTTAATGTCTTTACTTGTTAGCAGTTCATTTGGACCTTTCTATTTCCCCTTGAGTCCTTTTAGGTAGTTCATATCTTTATAGGAAGTTTCCTATTTCATCTAAGCTTTCTAATTTGTTGGCACACAGTTGTTCACAGTATTCCCTCATACTTCACTTATCTATTTTTGTAAGGTCAGTAGTAATGTCCACTCTCTCATTTCTGATTTTAGTAATTTGAGTCTTATTTTTTTTTCTTAGTGGGGATATTGAACATCTCCAACTTTTGTTTCTGAATTGTCTGTTTCTTCCCTCAATTCTGTCAGTCTTTGCTTCATTTATCTAGTGGTTCTGTTGTTTAGGTGCATACATACTCATACTTGTAACTTTCTGATGGAGTGATCTTTGTATCATTATTAAAAGTTTAACTCTAGTAACATTTTCGTGTTAAAATCTAATTGGTCTGATATTAATGTAGCCATTCCAACCACTGGATTTTTATGAGAAGTTAAATGAGCTAATCTATATGAATCATACAGAAAAGCATGTAGCAAAGGGCATATATTTGATAAATATTAGCTAATACTGTTACCCATGGGACACTGTTGGAGTGGGTTTACATGTCTGATTTCAGTTAAAGCTCTCCACATCCACCCCTGAAGTACATACAGTTTTCTGTATCTTATAGAAGAAAAATGGAAAAACAAGAGTTCAAGAGATTGCCCAAGATCCCCAAGCCAAGAGGGTGATTCTAATTGAATCTGACTCCAAAACCCATTCTCTCTTCTGTATATTCTACTTTAGATGCTGTGGCCAAAGCAGTTATCTATAAGATATTAATTCTATATTTCAACTGAAGATAAATTGTAGTGGTCAACAACATGGACTTGGAGGCATGAACCTGGAGCCACTATTTATTATTGTCTCAGTTTCCTCTTCTATATCATAGTGATTCTGATGGTGTCTGCTCCAAGGGGTCACTATGAGTATTAACTATGATGATATCAGTAAATTTTCTGGCACCTAGAGATCAGTCAATAAAGACTGGCTGTTATTAATATTACATTTAGAATTATTATTATTGATAGGTAATGGGTGAAGATGCACACTAACATATTGTATTAGTCTGTTTTCAGGCTGCTGATAAAGACATACCTAAGACTGGGTAATTTATAAAGAAAAAGAGGTTTAATGGACTCACAATTTCACACGGCTAGGGAGGACTCACAATCATGGTGGAAGGTGAAAGGCATGTCTTACATGGTGGCAGGCAAGAGAGAATGAGAGCTAAGTGAAAGGGGAAACCCCTTATAAAACCATCATATCTCATAAGACTTATTCACTACCATGAGAACAGTACGGGGGAAACCACCCCCCATACTGGCAATGATTCGATTATCTCCCACCGGGTCCCTCCCACAACACATGGGAATTATAGGTGCTACAATTCAAGATGACATTTGGGTGGGGACACAGCCAAACCGTATCACATATCTACCAGGGAATGTAAGAACTGCCACAAGGTACACAGGAGGAAGATGTGTGTGTGTGTGTGTGTGTGTGTGTGCGCGCGCGTGTGTGTGTGTGTGTGTGTGTGTGTGTTTGTAGAGAAATAAACAGTCTCCCCCAACTCAGAGACCATCAGAGGCATCCTGAGAAGTGTGACATTTCCTTAGGACCATGGATAAGATAAAGTAAAGCCGGATAAACAAGCCAGGACTGACCCGATGAACAGCAGAGTCAAAGCACCAAGGCAGGCAAGTGCCTAAAAGCTAAAGCCTGGGAAATGTGCTTGATAACCCCTATCAGCACAGCTCTGGCCTCCTCGGAGAGTGCTCTCCTAAACTCAAGGTGCCATAAACATGAAAGTACCTCGATAAAGGAAGAACAGATCACCCAAGGTATATAAGAAAGGAGCTACATCACAAGGCAAGAATCTGCATTTCCCCACTCCACCACTGCTTCTCACCTGTGCTGTTTGCCTTGATCTCTGATGAGTTTATTCAGAGCCCATCTGCTTGGTGCTAAAAGCTCTGTGGGGTGCAGAGGATTGGTTTTGGAGGTAACATCCTGGAAAAGTAAAAGCTCCCCTCAGATCTGTGCTTAGCTGAGAATGGCGCTGCTACGGCATCCCTCAATATTGGACTGGTGCAAAGAACCAATGATCCAGCTGAGATCTGGGAAGGGAGATTGAGAGGCGCTGGGATGTCACATCTTTCAGCACTACCCCAGAGAGAGGTGCACTCTGGTACTGTCCCCCAACCCTGCCTTATCAATTCTGCCACTATAATCAGCTATCACAGAGCACCCTGACCTGCAGAGTAGCCAAAATCAGGATGGCCTCCTGAGGGACATCAGCATGACTTGCCACTTTCTGAGACAAATCCTTCCTCCAAATTGCTCCAAGCCTGGCTTTGTGCTTGGCCATTTCACAATCACGACTTTGTTTTCTCCTAACAGCTTACATGTTGGTTGTTCTTTTTACAGAGTTCATATAATCCATGTGAGTCTCAAAGAGGAAAGGCCACTTACCCAAGACCACAAAGTTATAAACAAATGAGCCAAAGGTAGCCCTTCAATGCCGTCAATGCTTTTTGTTTAGGGGCATGGAATATCAGGCAGCTCAGTGTGACTCCTGGAACACACCAGGTGTGGCAAAGTGGAATCTGTTGGGCTCAGATCACAGGCCCATCTCAGAATAATGGGCCAAGTAAAGAGGAGGAGGCAGGGGCAGTAGGGAAGGGCCAGGGGACAAGTGGAGAGTCTCCCCAGCAGCCCCCACAAGCTGGACAGAGCAAAACCACCTGCGATGCCAGATCAGAATGTGGAAGGTGCCTTGTCCATATCTCTACAAAAGGACACAGAGACTCAGACTTGGGTTAAAGGGTCCAATTCATGGGAGAAGAGACTGCCAAAGACAAGTGGTAGGATGAACATTTATTTAGCACTTACTGTTTGTCAGAAGCACTCATATGTTTAATTCCTTTATAGCCTCTGCTGTGGCCCAGTAAGGGGGCGATTTGTACTCTTGTTCTGCAGATGAGGATGCTACAGCAGTAACAAGCTGGTTGCTCATGAATTCCATGTTTTCTCTTTCTGTGGCATACTGGATAGGTGACACTTTTCAATACCTGGCTTTTAGGGGGCCACATAATTGAGTTTTGTTTGGTGGAATTGGGAAAAGGGTATATAGATCTCATACACACCCCCAGATCTTCATATTCCCCCACAAGATCCTCCAAGCTCCCTGTTCCATTAAAAGCTGGATGAAGATGATAAAGTGGGGCTCAGGAGCCCCAGTCAACAGCAGAGCCAACAGACCAAAGGAGCCTGGGTCCCTGAATGACAGCATGGAACACGTTGATGTAGATAGAGCCCTCACCAGAAGCACAAGAGACACAGCCCTGCAGATAACCTGCTGTGAGACCCAGTGTTCAGTCACTTCCTGACTCTGGCCATCAGTTTCCCTTTCTGCACAAGATACAGGTGGCACTGGATGATGCCCAAGGCTCCTCCAAGGCTGCCATTCAGAGATGTGTATGCTCCTTTAAGCAGGAGAGGAAGAAGAAAGATGCTGAGGATTCCTCCTCCTTCCTTTCCATGGGCTCTGGCTGGCTTTCTTTGAGGCTGTCTGCTGGGGCTTGTGTGCAGCTTCCATTAGAACTCAGCAGACCATGCCAGGTGAGGGATTTGGATACACCCAGGAGCACGGCTGGCACCCTACCCTGGCTTTCTCAGCATCGTCCCTGACAAGTTAGTTCATTTTTCACCTCCAATAGGCATGCCCCACTTACCTCCACCTCCCTGGTGAGGAGCTCACCAAGATGACGCCAAAGCCTCCAAACACGGACTCTCCTGCCTCCTGTGAGCCGGGAGATGCAGCTCCCCTGCAGGCACCAGGCTAGAGATACTTGTCATCCTCCCTCCCCTCCTGGACACTCGTTACAGGGCAGTGACATTTCATTTTCCACGGAGAATCACAGCCAGTCCCCCTGCATTCCGGACCCTGGAGACCTGCAGAAGCGGCGGGAAAGTCAGCCTCTGCCTGCAGGGGCCATGAAGACCATTTCTGTCGCCTGAGTCCTAAACAAGGACACGCCTGGCTTCCTAAAGCCCTCCCTAGCTTATTTGATGTTGGTGTATTTCGCTCCCTACTCTCGCCTCCCCGTCTCCCTCCCGTGAATATCTGTCTTTACCACTCACTCTCCAGAGGCATTTGTCTGCTGGGAAAATAGCGGCTGACAGCAAAGGTCACCGCAACCAGCTCTGACTCGCCGCATACAAATAGGCCTTTTAGCAAGGGGCCCTGCAAAGCAGGCCCAGGTCCTATTATTGATAAATCCTTGAAAATACTCTAATGTATCTTCATTTCAGGGAAAACAACTGCCTTCAAGGTTGCACTGAGAAAATAAAGCAGGCGGCATGGTGAGGGATTCGAGAAGTTGGCATTTTCCCAAAGATTAAAAGATAATAACACTTCTATTAGGATCACTCCGCTACGCTGTATTGATCTCATCAGGGAAGCCACTGCAGGTCTAATATGAACAGAGCGCATTCTGGAATTAATCACGGGGGGTTTTATTATGGTTCATAGGGCGTTTCGTCCAAACTGCATCATTTGCAATATTTATGGCCGCACTCCCTGGCCGTTATTAAGTGCCAGTGTGCCGCGTGGAGCTGGGCCTGCTGGGTTAGAACACAAAGTTATTCTTCAAAAGTAAATCTTATCTAAACTGTGCACACAAAGTCAATTATGTTTTGATTTACATTTTAATTCGGTTGCAGAAGCCCCAAGCTGGAGTGGGAGGGGCCAGAGATGAAGATCTAATTGGAAGGACCCCGTTCATAACCCGGCCCATGTCTCTCCGGAGATGAGACCTCCTCGAGGAGCTCATTCCCTTTGCAGAGCCTCAGCTTCCAGATCTGTAAAATGGGCACGATAGAATCTACCTCCCAGGGCAGCACAAGAATTAAGTGAGACAGCATTCACAGACCATATGCCAGGAAACTGGCTCCAATGAACACCCAGTGATAAACACTGATCCTCTTTGTGACACAGTTTTTTCTTCTATTAGAGACCTTACCTGACTTGGATTCAGGAGAGACTAATCTAAGCAAAATATCCAATGAAAATAGGCTGTTTTTTTTTTTTTTTTCAGTCCCAAGCTTAAGATAAACACATGAGTATGTTTTATAATCCATGGAAAGGAGCTTCTAGTACACTGGTTCCCACCTCCTGTCTTTTTCCTGTAGATTAGGGACGCCTTTATTTACCCCCACAATGTGGGATTAACCATCGGCTTTTGCTTAAAAGGCTCATCATAAATCTCCTGAGTTTTTGTTAAAAAAATAAATAAGATAGAGCTGGAGCTGGGCATGGTGGCTCGTGCCTGTAATCCCAGCACTTTGGGAGGCCTATTGGGGAGGATTGCTTCAGTTTAGGAGTTCAACACCAGCCTGGGAAATATAGGAAGATCCCATCTCTACAAAAAATTTAAAAATTAGCTGAGCATGGTGGTGTGTGCCAGTAGTCCCAGCTACTTGGGAGGCTGAGTTGGGAGGATGACTTGAGCTCAGGAGGCAGAGGTCACACCACTGCACTCCGGCCTGGTGACAGAGTGAGATCTGGTCTAAAAAAAAAAAAAAAAAAAAAAAAAACCCACAAACAGAACTGGAAAGGGTTTAGTCCAGGACATCACACAGAGTATGCACTCAATAACTCAAGACTTCGTGTCATCAGTAGAAGGAAAAAGAGGAATAAATAGTAGTTGTAAAACTGCTAGTCAGAGTAGTAGGACTGGTAACCATGGCAGTAATTTTAAAAGTTATAGTAGTAGTAACAATTGTATAAGCAAGTAGTATTAGTAGTAATGGTAGCAATAGTAGGAGTACTGATGGTAGCAATAAAAGTAATAGCAGTAGTAATAATAGGAATATTCCAGCTCCAGATCATATTACCTCTGTGAGGTTAACCAAGTCATTTAACCTCCCTGAGCCTCAGGCTCATCACTTGTAAAATGGCAGTAAAAATATCTAACTCTCATGGATCTTATCCATAAAAAATCAGATGTTGTAGGTAAAACTCTGCCTGGCCCACCACAGGCTCAGAAGGCATTAATTTCCTTCCCCATCACCCTTCACCTGTTTATAATCTCTGCTTATTCCCTGCCCTGTGCTTCTGAGGCTCCAGCATTTTGTGACTGCATGTCCAGAATGTGCCTGTGTGAATTGTTAGAATGAGAAGAGCAGTAGATCAGGAGTCTGGTGAGTGGAGTTGCTGCGGGATTAAAACCCTAATAGTCCTATCTTCATCCCAGGGCAGACGTGAAGACTCAGTGAGAAAACGTAAGGAAGCCCTTCCCATGGGACCTGGTGTACCATAGGTACTCCGTGCCAGATGCAAATATAAAAAGACTCTTCACTCTCCTGACCTCAGTTTCCACACCTACACGATGAGACTCATGTATATATCTTCTATTTAATAGGGACCACAAGCTCAAGGAACCGCTAGAGCCCTTCTTGAGGACAGAGGACTTAATTGTCTCTTCCTTCCCGAGGCCAATATAGTCCCTTGCAGATAATAGGCAGCCTATTAAGAATTATTACATCAATCACACCACATAGAAATTCCCTCCCACAGCATCAAAATGAGGAGGTCATGTGGCCTATTCTACATGAATATCTCTAATGTGAAGAAGCTCATCATCCCAGGATTTAGCCCACTGCCTCATTAAACAATAAGTTCCTGATAGGAAGCTGAAATCTATGTCTCCATAACTGCCACCGTTTAATCCTAATTCATGCCTTTGGCATCACAGGAAACACTTTGATGTGACAGGGCTGCAAGTGTCCCATTAGATTCCCCCGTCTTCCTCTTTCACTGGCTACACAACACCAGTCCTTCAACTGTTATGCTTATGACATGGTTCATTCACTTACCAACTCAGCAAGCACCGATTACGTGTGCGGCTGGATCAGGCCCGCACTGGATGCTAGGAGGACAGTGCTGGAAAACGATGGGCCCAGGGAGTGAAGAACTAATGGCCCTGCTTACAAGTGTCTGCAGTGACTCCCCTCTCCTCTCCACTGCTCCACTCTGGGTTCCCCTCCACAAGTACAGGCCCTGGAGCTGAGCCCCAACTCCACGCACAGTCTGACCAGTTTAGAGAGATACTCCAGCCTCTAGCCCAGCACCAGGGTGCAGCAAGTATCCAGGAAGAGGCTGGGCATAGTGTCTCATGCCTGTAATCCCAACACTTTGGGAGGCTAAGGTGGGCACATTGTTTAAGCTCAGCAGTTTGAGACCAGCCTGGGTAACATCGCTAAACCCCATCTCTAAAAAAAATACAAACAATTTAACTGGGCATGGTGGCATGCTCCTGTGGTCCCAGCTACTCAGGAGGCTGAGGTGGGAGGACCGCTTGAGCCTGGGAGGTTGAGGATGCAGTAAGCTATAATTCTGCCACTGCACTCCAGCCTAGGTGACAAAGTGAGACCCAGTCTGAAAAAAAAAAATCCAAGAAAGTATGGTTAAGTGAATGTTTCCTAAATGGATATTACCTTCCTCCTATTATAAAGGTTATATGATTGCTAATGTCTTTGTCTTGCAGGAAAAGCCAACAACAGACCAACCTGGAATGGGTCCCATGGGACAGAAACCAAGCGTTTGAGCATCTCTCACCTAGGAGTGTGCAAAACCAGCATGCAAGAGTGCAAGAGCAAGGTCTGCTAGCCAGAGACTGCTGGGTGTCTGGCCCCTGGAGGCAGCTTAAGGCAGAGTCCTTAGCAGGAAGGCTGATGCCAGAACCCCTTGGTGGAGTAGGGGGTGGTGAGCTCATGGGGCGAGTTGGGGACAGGGTCAAAGAGCTGGGACAGAGAGGGAAGGGGTAAAGTTCAAGTGTGCAAGTTGGAGGGAAAACCCAAATCAATAATTGGGACAGGGACGGACTTCTGATGGATTATATCTGTTGGTTGTAGCCAGTTAGGGTTGCAAAGGTAAGAGGCATATGAGCTTGGTCTGTGGAAGCCACCCACCTGTGCTTCAATACGAAGACAGGGGAGAGACAGAACAAGTGAGGAGAGGAGGAGGAAGAGAGAGAGCACACAAGGGTGAGAGTAGAAAAAATAGGGCAGCAGATAAGTTGGACTAAAAGAAGAAGATCTATGGCATATTCAAACATTAAACATCAGCCTTGTGAGCACTTTAATAAACTGGGTTTATTGAACAAGTCATCTTACCATAAAATAGATTTGCATTTCCCTCCCCGCAGTGTCCCGGTTCTGTGGCCTGATAAACACAGCAGCATCACCACCATAATATGCACCTCATAAATCCACAGGTTCCGGTGGCTTCACTGGAAACCCAGAGAGCTCTTCCAGGAGAACTATTGCCTGAAAGCCTGGTTGCTTCCTGAGAACCCCCTCCCTGCCCAGAACAAGCCCTTGGAGCAAACCCTAGAAATAGACACAAACTTCCGTGGAGGAAAAAAGCATGCATCACATCTTCCTATTTTAGCTGAGCAAACCCACCACTTTAGGAAGTGGCATCAATATAGCATTACGGATTTTGAAGAAACACACAGGAGCACATCACTTAAACACCAAAATACTGGTTTCTACCCTTACGTCTGACAGCAGAAGGAGCTTGCCGAGGGCGTAGAGACAAGAAGCACACCAGGGGCTACCCTTAAAGACCAGTCCATTTTCTGTTATGCTGAATCCAGAGGCTAATTCTCAGGAGTTATAAAGGAACTGTAAAACTATATTTTGATTCACAGGCTTTCATTTCGACTCAATTTGAGAATACTCTTACTAAACCTATAGCTGCCAACCTTCTCCATTAAAGTCTGACACATACTTTAAATTGAATATGCAGTTCACCCTTGAACAATATGGACTTGAACTATGAGTGTCCACTTATACATGAACTGTCTTCTGCCTCTGCCACGCCTGAGACAACAAAACCAACCTCTCCTCTTTCTCCTCCTCTTTCTTCTCCTCTTGAGTTTACTCAATGTGAAGATGAGGAAGATGAAGATCTTTAGGATCATTTACTTCCACATAATGAATAGTAAATATGTTTCTCTTCTTTATGATTTTCTTGGTAACATTTTCTTTTCTCTAGCTTACTTTATTATGAGAATACAATATATAATACATATACAAAATATGTGTTATCAGCCATTTATGTTATCAATAAGGCTTTCAGTCAACAGTAGGCTATTAGTAGTTTTTTTTTTTTTGGAGGAGTCAATGTTATACATGGATTTTTAACCGTGTAGGGGGTCGGTTCCCCAAATCCCTATATAGTTCAAGTGTCAACTGTATATCTGTGTTGAATATATGGACATATATATATAAACAAACATAATTGAATATATGTGTGTATGTAATATGTATATACACATGAGTGTGTATACACGCAGGCACACAAATATATGAATGAAATAACAAAACACAGTCCAGTTGAAAACTTCTGTTGATTTTTTAGTCTGAGTTTAATTCTGCACATGGTGAACAAGAACAGCATGTTCTATAATTGCAATGCAGCACAGACATACTAGCATGAGTCTGAGTGTTGGCTGCTTTGATTTGTGAGTTCACCCAGAAGAAAAACCAAAAAATAGATTTGCATTTCTGGGGGTGGAAGAAAATGCAAAAACATTAATTTATTGAGGTTAAAGATAAATCCCAAAAGGAGAAATGCAAATGACCAATCAACATATGAGAAATTGCTCAATCTCTTGGATAATTAAAGGAATAAAACTGAACCAGTAATGAAATTTTATCATGGTTTGTCTTTTAATTTGGCAAAGCCTAATAAAAAGTAATAATACTCAAAGCTGGTAAGGCTGTGATGAGACAGTTATTCATTGATGAGTCAAAAATAGATGGACACATACTGCAATTTGGGGTGTATATTAATAGCCTAGAAATTATTTATTTGACCCACTTAGTGATGTCTTCGGTAAAGAGAGAGCTTTGTTGTTTGTATAATTGCAGGCAGAAAGTCTGGGGATCACCCAAGATAAGAAAGTGATATTCCAACATGAGACCTGGGGAATAAAAAACTCAGGAATGAGAAGAGGCTTGAATAATGAAAGAAGAGGACCTTCCAATCTAGGTAAGTGACCAATCATGGAACTGACATTTCTCAGAGCCACTTCTGCCTGCAGGTTTTACCAAGTGCCCTGTGAAGAGGGATCAGAATAAAGACGAGAGCCACTCTGAAGGCCACCTATCATTGTGGGATTAGAGTAACAGAGAGTTCCAATCAAGAATATGTGTTGGTGGGCCGGGTGGTGGGCCGGGTGTGGTGGTTCATGCCTGTAATCCCAGCACTTTGGGAGGCCAAGGCAGGAGGATTGCTTGAGGCCAGGAGTTCAAGACCAACCTGGCCAACATGGTGAAACCCCATCTCTATTAAAAATACAAAAATAAAAATAAAAAATTAGCTGGACTTGGTGGCATGTGCCTGTAATCCCAGCTACTTGGGAGGCTGAGGTACGTGAATTGTTTGAACCCAGGAGGTGGAGGTTGCGGTGACCCAAGCCAAGATTGCAGCCTGGGTGACAGAGCAAAACCCTGTTTCAAAAAAAAAGAAAAAGAAAACATGCCTTGGTGGAATCCAGGCAACCTTATCCAGTCCCTGTGCTGTCACGAAGTAAAGGAAAACCTTGGGAATACTATAAAGCACAAAACCAAGCTGGCTCTGTGTAGATCTAGGAGCTGAGTGGGGAGAATAAGATAGCACTCCCTGAGAGCTCCATAAGAATTCCAAACCCAAGGTCCCTCATTGCTGTCTGCAGCAACATTCCATTATGCAGGGACTTCTTGAAGGGCCAGTTAGTGCCTTTCCAGCTGCCAACCTGTGGTCGCAGCAGTGCACCTGGTCACCAAAAATGGTAACATCTAGAAAACCCAGTGTCATTGGACTTAACACATTTCTCTCAAAAACTATCCTCCAAAACAGACAAAAACTTAATTTTGGCAATAGAAGACAATTTGGGAGTGATTTCAAGGTGCTAAAGAACCACAGATCTTTCCAAATTCCTTGTCCCATCCCTCAATGGGGTGTGCAGTTTTCTCATGTTCTCTTGACACTAAAAGAATAAGCACAGATTTATAAACAAAGTTCCTTATGGTGGCTGCATGCTGTTCATACTGGACATGCATATTTTGAGGTTTTTCCAATATTATTTGGCCAGAGGCTATTCAAGGGCTTCGTTGTTGAAGAATCCACTGGCCCCTTCTTTCCTGGTGCTCACTCGAGTGACATTCCAGGATCAAAGGGCTAAAATAGAACACCTCAACTAAACAGAAATTAACCATCTGCTGGAATGTATTTCTATATTTGAATCTGTTGAGAATTTATTTGACAAATTCAATGTATCCGTTCAGCAAATGTGTATTGTATTCTCATCAGGCCCTGCTCTGGGTGCTGGAGATTAAGCAGTGAACCAAAGAAAACAACCTTGCCTGCACAGTTACTGCACTGCAGTGGGGGGAGGACAGAGGTGATACACATAAAAACCCCATCTCCACTAAAAATACAAAAATTAGCCAAGCATGGTGGCATGTACCTGTAGTCCCAGCTACTGAGGAGCCTGAGGCAGGAGAATCACTTGAACCTGGGAGGCGGAGGTTGCAGCGAGCCAAGATCACGCCCTTGCACTCCAGCCTGGGTGACAGAGCAAGACTTCGTCTCAAAAAACAAACAAACAAACAGATTCATATCTTGCCTGTGTCTCCACCTCTTCATCTCTGTGGCTCATGGTGAAAGGATCCTCCACTAAAACACTAGTACCTTGGCTTGTACAGTCACAATGAGAATTACATGCAAATAAGACAAGACAATATTACAACAGTTAATATTTATTAAATACTTATTAGGTATTCCTCACTGATCAATTCACTCCCTTAAAAATCATACAGAATGTGGTGGCTCCATTCCAAGATGGCCAAATAGGAACAGCTCTGGTCTGCAGCTCCCAGCGTGATCAATGCAGAAGACAAGTGATTTCTGCATTTCCAACTGAGTTCTGAAGAGACCAGTGGTTCTCCCAGCATGGCGTTTGAGCTCTGAGAACAGACTGCCTCCTCCAGTGGGTCCCTGACCCCCATGTAGCCTAACTGGGAGATACCTCCCAGTAGAGGCCGGCAGACACCTCATACAGGCAGGTGCCCCTCTGGGACGAAGCTTCCAGAGGAAGGATCAGGCAGCAATATTTGCTATTCTGCAATATCTGCTGTTCTGCAGCCTCCGCTGGTGACACCCAGACGAACAGGATCTGGAGTGGACCTCCAGCAAATTCCAACAGACCTGCAGCTGAGGAACCTGACTGTTAGAAGGAAAACTAACAAACAGAAAGGAATAGCATCAACATCAACAAAAAGGACATCCACACCAAAACCCCATCAGTAGGTCACCAACATCAAAGACCAAAGGTAGATAAAACCACAAAGATGGGGAGAAGCCAGAGCAGAAAAGCTGAAAATTCTAAAAAACAGAGGACCTCTTCTCCTCCAAAGGATCACAGCTCCTTGCCAGCAACAGAACAAAGCTGGACAGAGAATGACTTTGACAAGCTGACAGAAGTAGGCTTCAGAAGGTCAGTAATAACAAACTTCTCCGAGCTAAAGGAGCATGTTCTAACCCATTGTAAGGAAGCAAAAACCTTGAAAAAAGATTAGAAGAATGGCTAACTAGATTAAAGAGAGTAGAGAAGAACTTAAATGGCCTGATGGAACTGAAAACCATGGCATGAGAACTTCGTGACGCATGCACAAGCTTGAATAGTCGATTCAACCAAGTGGAAGAAAGGGTATCAGTGATTGAAGATCAAATTAATGAAATAAAGCGAGAAGATAAGGTTAGGGAAAAAAGAGTAAAAAGAAATGAACAATGCCTCCAAGAAGTATGGGAGTATGTGAAAAGACCAAATCTATGTTTGATTGGTATACCTGAAAGTGACAGGGAGAATGCAACCAAGTTGGAAAACACTCTTCAGGATATTATCCAGGAGAACTTCCTCAACCTAGCAAGATAGGCCAACATTCCAATTCAGGAAATGCAGAGAACACCACAAAGATACTCCTCGAGAAGAGCAACCCCAAGACACATAATTGTCAGATTCACCAAGGTTGAAATGAAGGAAAAAATGTTAAGCACAGCCAGAGAGAAAGATCTAAAATCGACACCCTAACCTCACAATTAAAAGAACTAGAGAAGCAAGAGCAAACAAATTCAAAAGCTAGCAGAAGGCAAGACATAACTAAGATCAGAGCAGAACTGAAGTCTCCTAGAGACACAAAAAACCATTCAAAAAATCAAAGAATCCAGGAGAAAGTTTTTTGAAAAAAATCAACAAAATTGATAGACCACTAGCAAGAATAATGAAGAAGAAAAGAGAGAAGAATCAAATAGATGCAATAAAAAATGATAAAGGGGATATCACCACTGATCCCACAGAAATACAAACTACCGTCAGAGAATACTATAAACACCTCTATGCAAATAAACTAGAAAATCTAGGAGAAATGGATAAATTCCTGGACACATATGCCCTCCCAAGACTAAACCAGGAAGAAGTTGAATATCTGAATAGACCAATAACAGGCTCTGAAATTGAGGCAATAATTAATAGCCTACCAACCAAAAAAAGTCCAGGACCAGATGGATTCACAGTCAAATTCTACCAGAGGTACAAAGAGGAGCCGGTACCATTCCTTCTGAAATGATTCCAATAAATAGAAAAAGAGGGAATCCTCCCTAACTCATTCTATGAGGCCAGCATCATCCTGATACCAAAGCCTGGCAGAGACACAACAAGAAAAGAGAATTTTAGGCCAATATCCCTGATGAACATCGATGCGAAAATCCTCAATAAAATACTGGCAAACCGAAACCAGCAGCATATCTAAAAGCTTATCCACCACGATCAAGTCGGCTTCACCCCTGGGATGCAAGGCTAGTTCAATATACGCAAATCAATAAACATAATTCATCACATAAACAGAACCAACAACAAAAACCACGTGATTATCTCAATAGATGCAGAAAAGGCCTTCAACAAAATTCAACAGCACTTCAAGCTAAAAACTCTTAATAAACTAGTTATTGATGGAAAGTATCTCAAAATAATAAGAGCTATTTATGACAAACCCACAACCAATATCATACTAAATGGGAAAACACTGGAAGCATTTCCTTTGAAAACTGGCAAAAGACAGGGATGCCCTCTCTCAACACTCCTATTCAACATAGTGTTGGAAGATCTGACCAGGGCAATCAGGCAGGAGAAAGAAATCAAGGGTATTCAATTAGGAAAAGAGGAAGTCAAATTGTCCCTGTTTGCAGATGACATGATTGTATATTTAGAAAACCCCATAGTCACAGCCCAAAATCTCCTTAAGCTGATAAGCAACTTCAGCAAAGTCTCAGGATACAAAATAATGTGCAAAAATCACAAGCATTCCTATACACCAATAACAGACAAACGGAGAGCCAAATCACGAGTTAACTCCCATTAACAATTGCTACAAAGAGAATAAAATACCTAGGAATCCAACTTACAAGGGATGTGAAGGACCTCTTCAAGGAGAACTACAAACCACTGCTCAATGAAATAAAAGAGGACACAAACAAATGGAAGAACATTCCATGCTCATGGATAGGAAGAATCAATATGGTGAAAATGGCCATACTGCCCAAGGTAATTTATAGATTCAATGCCATCCCCATCAAGCTACCAATGACTTTCTTCACAGAATTGAAAAAAACTACTTTAAAGTTCATATGGAACCAAAAAAGAGCCTGCATTGCCAAGACAATCCTAAGCCAAAAGAACAAAGCTGGAGGCATCACGCTACCTGACTTCAAACTATACTACAAGGCTACAGTAACCAAAACTGCATGGTACTGGTACTAAAAAAGATATATAGACCAATGCAACAGAACAGAGGCCTCAGAAATAACAGCACACATCTACAACCAGCTGATCTTTGACAAACCTGAGAAAAACAAGCAATAGGGAAAGGATTCCTTATTTAATAAACGGTGCTGGGAGAACTGGTTAGCCATATATAGAAAGCCGAAATTGGATCCCTTCCTTACACCTTATACAAAAATTAATTCAAGATGGATTAAAGATTTAAATGTTAGACCTAAAACCATAAAATCCCTAGAAGAAAACCTAGGCAATATCATTCAGGACAGAGGCATGGGCATGGGCAAGGACTTCACGACTAAAACATCGAAAGCAATGGCAGCAAACGCCAAAATTGACAAATGGGATCTAATTAAACTAAAGAGCTTCTGCACGGCAAAAGAAATGAACATCAGAGTAAACAGGCAACCTACAGAATGGGAGAAAATCTTTGCAACCTACCCATCTGACAAAGGGCTAATACCAGAATCTACAAAAAACTTAAACAAATTTACAAGAAAAAAACAAACAACCTCATCAAAAAGTGGGCAAAGGATATGAACAGATACTTCTCAAAAGAAGACATTTATGCAGCCAACAGACACATGAAAAAATGCTCATCATCACTTGTCATCAGAGAAATTCAAATCAAAACCACAATGAGATACCATCTCACGCCAGTTAGAATGATGATGATTCAAAAGTCAGGGAACAACAGATGCTGGAGAGGATGTGGAGAAATAGAAATGCTTTTACACTGTTGGTGGGAGTGTAAATTAGTCTAACCATTCTGGAAGACAGTGTGGCAATTCCTCAAGGATCTAGAACAAGAAATACCATTTGACTCAGTGATCCCATTACTGGGTATACACACAAAGGATTATAAATCATGCTACTATAAAGACACATGCACATGTATGTTTATTGTGGCACTATTCACAATAGCAAAGACTTGGAACCAACCCAAATGTCCATCAATGATAGACTGGATTAAGAAAATGTGGCACATATACACCATAGAATACTATGCAGCCATAAAAAAGGATGAGTTCATGTCCTTTGCAGGAACATGCATGAAGCTGGAAACCATCATTTTCAGCAAATTATCACAAGGACAGAAAACCAAACACCACATGTTCTCACTCATAGGTGGGAATTGAACAATGAAAACACTTGGACACAGGGCAGGGAACATCCCACACCAGGGCCTGTCAGGGGGTGGGGGGCTGGGGGAGTGATAGCATTAGGAGAAATACCTAATGTAAGTGATGAATTGATGGGTGCAGCAAACCAACATGGCACATGTATACCTATGTAACTAATCTGCACATTGTGCACATGTACCCTAGAACTTAAAGTATTATTTAAAAAGAAGAAAAAAAATCATACAAAACGTGGCTCACACCTGTAATCCCAGCACTTTGGGAGGCCGAGGCAGGCAGATAACGAGGTCAGGAGATCAAGACCATCTTGGCTAACATGGTGAAACCCCGTCTCTACTAAAAATACAAAAAATTAGCCAGGCATGGTGGTGGACACCTGTAATCCCAGCTACTCGGGAGGCTGAGGCAGGAGAATCGCTTGAAGCCAGGAGGCAGCAGTTGCAGTGAGCCGAGATTGCACCACTGCACTCCAGCCTGGGTGACAGAGCAAGGCTCTGTCTCAAAAAAAATAAATAAATAAATAATAAAAAAAATCATACAGAATGGTGCCACTTCCCCATTTCACAGATGGGGATCTGAGGTGCAAAAACATCAAGTAACTTGCCCAAGATCACACAGCTAGCAAACAACGGAACCAATTCAACCTCAAGCGATCTGGCTCCAGAAGCTGTGCTCTTGGTCACTACAGTGCAGAGGGCAACAAACAACAATCTGTTACTGTATGGCCTGTGAGCTAAGAATGGTTTTCCCATTTATAAAGGGTTTGGTGGGGGAAGAATATTTTGTGACATGTGAAAATGATATGAAATTTAAATATTAGTGTCTGTGAATAAAGTGTTACTGGAACACACACACAAAGAAGTTTGGAAGTGAAAAGAAGTGGTAGGTTGAAAGAAAGTGGGATGAAAAAGGGTTGTAGTTGGTTTTTAGGCTGAAACTTAAACCAGCAGGAAAGAAAAGTTCTACTGAAAGGGAGATCCCACAAAAGGCAAAAGTCATTGAAAGAACAGCACAGGTGCTTTCAGCTCCAAATAGTGAAATGTCTCAGGAAAGGGGCTTTAACAATGCAGCCTTATTTTTACACACACCCTAAAAAGTGTCAGCCACATGTTTTAGGAAGCTGTGGAAGGGCTAGAACAACATATGTTTTTCATGCAGTCAGAATCCAACTGACGTCAGATGTACACGATTGGCATGGAAACCAGGAAGCTTGAGGGACTCAATTTTCAAAATTTGTTTTACAACTATATTTGCATTTTGTGTGGGTGTGGATGGTAATTGTGATGCTCAGGCCAGGGCAAAGACAAAAACATATTTCTTAATGAGTCTCCTAATGCTGTCCTCACTAGCTAATCAGTACTTGTGTTTTGGGACACCAAACATATTTACGCTAATAATTTTCCCGTCTAAATGTAACCTATAAATGTTGCTCTGTGACAGCTTTGCTGCAGAAAGGTCCATTTTCTGTGTGCAGGGGCATCAATAGAACGAACAGGCCTGTGATCCTACATATGCAGTGCCCTCCTTTCCCCTTCCCCAGGCTCTCCTAGTATCCCTGCTAAAGGATCCAATTCCAATTTCTGGGGCCAATAGCACTTTGCTTAAAGTGATGAATCACTCTCATTAAATTAGGGTTGGTCACCTTCGTGTGACTATTTTGCCCTGTGCCTATTGACCGTACATGTTATAGATTACTAATTTCAGCTAAAACACTCCTCAAGTGTCACAAATTCTGGCTCACTCTGCTAACACTGAGAGAAAGAATAGGAACCAATTGATGGGAAGCGTCTGGTTGTGGAGGATTTTCTACATTCAAGATGACCACAGAATGGGACCACTGAGCTTGAGAGAAAGTCATTCCTCCTTACTGGAATTTGTTTAGAGATTTGACAGTTTTCAGTTTGTCCATGCTGGCTTCCTCAGGAGGTATCTAGCATGCAGTATGTTTATTAAGAGTATTGTTCAGATCAAAGCCTGTGGAAGAGAAGGTGATATGGTTTGGCTCTGTGTCCCCACCCAAATCTCATCTTGTAGCTCCTATAATTACCAAGTGTTGTGGGAGAGACCCAGTGGAAGATAACTGAATCATGGGGATGGGTCTTTTCTGTGCTGTTCTCGTGATAGTGAATAAGTGTCACGAGGTCTGTTGGTTTTAAAAATGGGACTTTCCCTGCACAAGCTCTCTTCTCTTGTCTGCCGCCATGTGAGACGTGCCTTTCACCTTCCGCCATGATTGTGAGGCCTCCCCAGCCACGTGGAACTGTGAGTCCGATAAACCTTTCATTTGTAAATTGCCCAGTCTCAAGTATGTCTTTATCAGCAATGTGAAAATGGACTAATACAGAAGGGAGGGGAGGGTAGGGGAGAGACGGGGGAGTGGGGGAAAGAGGGGAGGGGAGGGGAGGGAAGGGAAGGGAAGGGAAGGGGAGGGGAGGGGAGGGGAGGGGAGGGAAGGGAAGGGGAGGGGAGGGAAGGGAAGGGAAGGGAGATTGGTTAACAAAAGGAGAAAATCAAACGTGATGCATACCCAATAGCTGACTCAGCTGACGCTATGGGGGGCTCCAGCATTAGAATGACCTTTCACCTTTGTCTCAAGTTGAGCCAAGAAACTTTATACTCCCATATCTACTATTCATTGGACAGGCCACCACAAGAAGGGATGTGATCTTAGGTGAGTGGTTTCTGACAGCATCCTTAAAGAGGTTGACAGACTTCAAGCTTCTCTGCCGACACTACCCTCTACAGCTGAGATCATCAGACCTTACTGAAGGGAGACTTCAGCAGCACATCACAGCATCCACCACAGTGCAGCAAGAAGTAAGCCTGTCTCCGCCAGTGTGGGAAACCAACATGCCCCTCACGCCCAACCAAGAGCAATCAACATGTATCCGGGCTGGAATCCGTGGATTCAGAGAAGGGGACTTGCCTTCTGAGAGCCCCCTCGTAATCCTTGTCTGGGTGGGCTAACTCCTACAATGGGGTGCTGGCCTCCAGTTCCCTGTCCCAGCTTTTTAGTTCTCTGCTGAGACTACAGTTGGTTCTGATATCTCCCTGATTCCAGAGGACCATAACCCCCGGTCAGCCTTATGAGTCCTTACTGAGGCATCCGCCCTGCTTCTACTCCACCACAAGTGGTTGAAGCATAGATCCCCACCCACTCCCAGCATCCAACTTCTCTACTGTGTTGTCCCTTGTCAGACAACAAGGCCTGCTTAGCTCTACACAGAGCTCACTTCATTAGGTTAACAAGGAGCCCCTGAGGCCTGGGGCAGTGGCACAGTCAGGCTCTTGGTCCTACCTTCTGTCCACCTCCCAGTGCCCACCTAGCAGGAGCTCATCTTAGATGACAACACAACTTCATGATGGATGCGGCAAAAGGTGA
This sequence comes from Homo sapiens, assembly GCF_000001405.40. NCBI lineage: Eukaryota > Metazoa > Chordata > Mammalia > Primates > Hominidae > Homo > Homo sapiens. The sequence goes on from NC_000016.10 coordinate 65,934,734, forward strand.
GGTTGCAAAAGATTCTGAGGGGCTTTCACTGACAGGCTTGTGAAGTTGAGAATGAGTTCCATTTATACCACAAAGCCCAGCGATACTAATTAGTAACTGAGAGAAATGGAAAGAAGGGCATGACCACAAATTCATCAGCCACTGTCACTCCTCACTCATTCATCCATTCTTTTTTTTTTCCTGTTATCATAAGTCTATGGTAATTTATTTATTTTTATGCTTTTATTTTGATTTTTAAATTAATGTATTTTCATATATTTGGGGGGTTACAAGTGCATGTTCCTTCCATGCATATATCACATAGTGGTAAAGTCTGGGCTCTTAGTGTACCCATCACCTGAAGAATGAACACTGTACCAAATAGGCAGTTTTCAACCCTCACATTCCTCCCACCCTCCCACCTTTTGTTGTATCCAGTGTCTATTATTCTACTGTCTATGTCCATCTGTACTCTTTGTTTAGCTACCACGTTTAAGTCAGAACATGTGGCATTTGACTTTCTGAGTTATTTCAGTTAGGATAATGGCCTCCAGTTCCATCCGTGCTGCTGGAAAGAATATGATTTCATTCTTTTTCACGACTGGGTAGTATTCCACGGTCTATTCAACCATTCTGTCAGCAAGCACTAACTGATACCTATGTTGGGCTAGTCTCATGCCAGTGGCTAGGGACACAAAGGCCAAGAGGCCTGGATGAAAAATCCCATGTGCTCTTTCCCCCATGTTCCCACTTCATCTCATAAAGGTGGGAACTTCTGCCTTTATCCACCCATTTTCTTCATATAGGGAACTGTCATGGTGGGAACTCTGATTCTCCACCTTCTCACTCGCTACTCCCTGTAGAAGGAGATTCCTCCTTCCGTCTAATCCAATTGGTCAGTTTAGATTTAATGAGCTCCTTTTTCCGAGTGGTCAGGGATGCTGCCTCAAAGACTCTCCCTCTTCCCTTTGCCATCCAGACTCTGGTGCCACACATCTCCTTCCCTTCCCCACCTTCCTATTATCATCCCAGCAGGGCAGAGCTCCCCCGTTTCAGGGGAAAAGCCCACCCTTCTCCCTCTGTCTCTAATCTGCTCCCTGTTGATGTGTCTGGTTGATGAGGGCATAACTGCAGTCCTTTTTTACAAAGTTGGATAGCTAAGGGATTTGGAACTCTACAAGCTATGCTCTATTTCTTGCGGTTCGTACAAGTCTGTGTGTCCTGAGGTTTAAATATAGAAAGGCAAGTAGTAGATACCTCTCATCCCCAGGTCTAAGCCATAAGCTTGGAGACAGTTTACTAGAGTCTCCAGGTTTGGTGGTCACTAAGTGTTGTGCAACCATTGTTAGAATAAAGGGATCCCCATTTGGCCATCAGTTCTTTGTATACGTATTCTTTAATGGTCAGAACCTTGAATGGGAAGGAGAGTGTTTATTTTACCCAAATCTCTAAGAAAACATGGTCTGGAGTTTATGGTCTTGTGGTTAAAGGAAAAAAAGATATTGTAAAAATATACCTAACCCGGCTTGAGGGAGGCCATTGGGAAAGGTTTCCTGGAAGCATTGAATGCAGAAAAGATAACTCAGTGATGAATAAGTTAAATGAAGGTCATGGAGCAGAGGGAGATACAGTCCAGTCAGAGGCAATGGCATGAGCAAATGCTCAGGGGCTGACCAGGGCATGCTAGGAGGGAGAGCCACAGCTATTTGGGGCTGGTGTGTGAGATCTTGCATCCAGCCAGAAATAAGTTCATGTGACACTTGCAGGCTGGAAGGAGAAAGTGCATCTCTTATTTTCTGATTTCTCTCTGGATCCCTGGAGATGTACGAGAGCATTAAGCCATCATCATTCACCCATGATACATTTACCTATGGTCTTGATCGGCTCTCCCATCTTGGAAAACAGATCTGACATGAACTTCCTTCAAAACCTCTGAACAAGAAGTAAATGCCAGTCAAGCTAGGACCATGCATTGCTTATATTGGAATGACTTTGAGCTTCCCAGAGAAGAGAGAATTCAAGAGAAGCCTTGAGTGAACAATAACTATTAACAACGAGGCCTCCATTACCTTTGCCTACTCTCCCTATGTCTAACTGGTCTACCTGCATCCATTCTGACCCTCTTTGACTTGCCCTTCAAAGCAGCCACACTACAAATCATACCACATCAGAATATGATGCTTCAATAGCTCCCCAAAGTTGTCCAAATAAAGTCTGATTTCTTTATTATAATGTCACAAGTTGAGTTCTTCAAGAAATAGACCCTGAGATAAAGACTAGCATGCAGGAATGTATCAGGGAGCACTCTTGTTATCAATTCATGAGGAAGAAAAGGGGTCAGAAAGAGGTATGATTGAAGAGAAGAAACTGGGTTATGATGAAGGCCTCAGCCAACTGCAAAGGAAGCTCTAATGCTGGATGACCTTTCAGAGTTGACCCAAGTTGGGCAGGAGGACCAAGCCTTAATACCCACATGCAACAAATCTCGGATTCAGGCTACCATAGGTATAGAGGCATAGCCTTGGAAAGGGCAATACTTGATCCAAGACAAGCCCTGAAGAGAACCAGCAGCTGAGAGCCATCTGCCAGCAGCTAGGGGAATAAGCCATCAGTCCTGAAAGGAGATCTGAGTGGTACCTCAGCACAATCAGAACCTATGGTATTCAGTCATTTTTATAGCTTTTTATGACCTGGTGTGTTCATTTTCTAGGGATACTATAACGAAGTACCACAGACTGGGTGTCTTAAACAACAGAAATTTATCTCCTCACACCCATGGAAATTTAAAAGTCCAAGATGAAGGTGTTGACAGGGTTGATTTCTTCTGAAGTCTCTCTCCTTGGCTTGTAAATGACCATCTTCTTCTTGTGTCTTCACAAGGTCTTTCCTCTGTGTGTATCTGTGTCCTTGTCTCCTCTTCTTATGACGACATCAGTTCTATTGGATTAGAGCCCACCCTAATGACCTCATTTTACCTTTTTTTTTTTTGAGACTGAATCTTGCACTGTCACCCAGACTGGGGTGCAGTGGCACCATCTCAGCTCATTGCAACCTCCACTTCCTGGGTTCAAGTGATTCTCCTGCCTCAGTCTCCCAAGTAGCTGGAATTACAGGTGCATGCCACCATGCCCAGCTAATTTTTGTGTTTTTAGTAGAGACAGGGTTTCACCATGTTGCCCACGCTGGTCTCAATCTCCTGGGCTCAAGTGATCCACCCACCTCGGACTCCCAAAGCGCTGTGATTACAGGCATGAGCCACCATGGCTGGCATACCCTTACTTACCTTTTCAAAGGCCTTAGCTCCAAACACAGTCACATTCTGAGATATTGCAGGTTAAGACCAGCATGTGAATTTTGAGGAGCACAGTCTGTCTAATTCCTTCCCCACCCCCACAGAATTTTGTTTACTTATAATAGCTTTTAATCCTTAAGGGATACAACATAACACAGATTCTGTGTCCTATGGCCTTCACAGAGAGGTGCTTCAGGATTTGGGACCAACCATGCTACTGTTTCCATGGGTGCCAGTGACCTTTTCCCAGATAACTCAGGCTTTGGTTTGCTGCCAGGATACACTGTATTATCCTTTGCTTTGTACACATGAACATATCTCTTGCCTAACTAAAATCCGGTTTCAGCTCAGGCATCTCAGGCACCTTCAATTTTAAGAAGAGCTGTGTGTTCCCTTTGGTTTGGAAGATGCTTCCAGCAAAAATGACCTTGGGCCATATCCTTCCAGACATATTTGGCATTTTAGAGATCCTGATCCCAGCAGGCCTCCACAGGTTCCACAATGGCAGAAGGAGAACTACTGGCTGATTCTTGAACATGCTATATTGGTCTACTCCTCTATACCTTGCACATTCTGTGCCCTTTGCTAGAAGTGCCCTCCCAACTTTACCTGTCCAGTGAAAAACTTTTTATGACCTATGTCTCCTTCAAGAGTCAGCGGATGTGTCCACTCCTCTCAGAGGCCTTCATTACAGTGTCTTGTCCTTTTAGGCCCTTCCCTCTCATACCCCGTGATGAGAGCAATTGCCTCAGAATCTCTAGGTATCAGTCAATGCGTGCTGTTTGGGTAGTTGATTGATGGGTTTTGTGTTGACTGATATATCAACTGTTCAATCATAGCCATGGCCCATAGTCTCTCAATAGATGAGATCTCCTTGTGGATATCTCTTACATATATGAATGTCTTCATCTGGGTGAAGAAAAAGTAGATTCAGGAGCCATATACCTTAGTCTCTATTTTTGGGAGGCATAATAATGGCTCTCCCAAATATGTCCATGCCCTAATCCCTAGAAGCTGTGAATATGTTAGGTTACAGATCAAAGGCAAATTAAGCTTGCAGGTGGAATTGATATTGCTAATAAGCTGACCTTAAAATAGGGACAGTATCCTGGATTATCAAGAAGGACCCAATGTAATTACAGAGGCCTTTAAAAGCAGAAGATGGAAGTGGAAGAGAGAGTCGGGGGAGATATAATGATGGAAGAATGATCAGAGAGAGGCAACATTACTGGCTTTGAAGATGGAGGAAGAGGCCATGAACATGGAAAGTTTCTAGAAGCTGGAAAAGTCAAGAAAATGGATTCTCCTCTAGGGCTCTAGAAAGGAACACAGCTCTCCTCATACTTTGATATTGGCCTAGTGAGACCTATGTCAGATTTCCAACTTGCAGAACTATAAGATAATAAATTTGTGTTGTTTGAAGTCGCTAAATGTGTGGTCATCTGTTACAGAAATAGAAAACATAGCCACTATTCTAAACAAATCCCTTCCAATCACTGTCCTCATGCTTTGATCCTATTTCATATTTGCTGGGGAGGGATACCTGAGCTCACCAGCATTTGGGGAGTTTCCTGATTCAATGGCCAGGGCCTCTAAAGATTTATGAGAACCCATGATTTTAATGCATTTAGTGAATTTTATTGAGAGTGCATTCTATGTGGACACTGTGATAAAAGCTATGTCATTTTACAGAGTCAAATATGTCCCAACTTGCTCAGCCTATAAGATAGATGAGGTATGTAGGTAGCAGCCAAGCAAGAGTGGGCAATTGTTCCTAACAGAGAGATCTGTTAGAACATAGTTACCAGGATCTCTTCATTTTGAAAAGCAACCCATCTTATGAGAACTTTCCAACTGGCTGTGAGTATGTACGAACTTAAGGGGCATGGTGCTCTTCTCTGTTCTATGTAGGACAAATTTCTGCAGAAAGTGAGACTGGCACTGAATAAAGTATAGAAAGCAGATCTTTCTTGTAGGAGAAAAGGCATGGAATGCCACGATGGCAGCACTCTACTGGAGGTGCACCTCAGGGATGCTAATCTTACAAAAACTAATGTGCAAGTTGACAGTAAATCTCTAGGAGAATGCAGTGCACAAAGACCCAAACACAGATCACCAGCAGGAGAGACTAAGAGAATCATGTCAAAGAAGGAGGACACCAGACAGACTTTGGAAAGCCCATTGGACAATAGGGAGCCATGACAGATTCTTGAGGAGAGGAGAGTTAGAGTGAGGAGAGAATGCAAGATGAGACAAAAAAGAACATTGAGCCAATTATCAGTGACATCCCGGAAGCCAGACTATCAGCTTTTCTTACAATTCCCAACTCCTTGAGTCTGAGAGATCTTATGTAGTTTTTTTATTAACATTGACAATATTGTGAACTTTATTCACTTAATCTCCATTAAAGTCATTGAGGATGGTGCACTGACTTTTTAAACTAAAAAAAAAAAAAAAAAGAAAAATCCTGAAAATAGATTCTCAAAACTCAGTCCAACCATCCAAATACCATCCAAACACGCCGTTAAAGGTTAATAAAAAGTGCATAAACATTGAGGGATTTTTATTCGTATTCTCTATGAATGGCCTGAAAGATTAATTATATTTTAACAAAAATAAATTGTCACACTCTTGAAGCCTGTCATTAACATGTGAGTCTTGGTCTATAGATTGGAAGGTAATAAATAAAACTGTAAATAATATCTATACAACTCTTTGCATTTTGCATGACATTTTCACATGCATTATGTTATTGGACTTCACAAAACTCCTGAGGACTTGGTATCATAGAGACTCAGAGAGGCTGCAAGTCAGAAGACAACCTCAGGCAGCCTCACTCAAAACTCTGCTCTTTCCACAGAATCACTGTACTTCTTATGTTTGAACAAATGGCACGACATATGTGAGATGAAACATGACATGAAGCCAGATAATATCATAACCAAGCTGAAACACCAGGCAAGGCCAGGGTATAACACAGACTTGCCACAAAGCCAAAGCAAGGATGGGCTCTCTCTCTTATTCCAGGTCCAGAAATGCTAAAATAAAAGCTTCCAGTGAAGAATAGGCCTAGATCATCTGAAAAATGTATCTGGTGTGAAGAATGCAATTTCCATTCCCTAAATGGTAAGGCATCATGGACTATTTCACACTGGGTTCAATCGCAGCATCAAGGATTATTGTCCAAAGCCTGGATCAGGCAGATCCTACCACATCCTGTAGCCAGGTACATTCTAGACCAGCAAAACCAGGGAAGGAAGCAGGCTAGAGGTTTCCTGATATGAAATAAAGGAACAAGCTTTGAAATGAACTCTTTCAAACCCTTATCCTGCTCCAATAAAAATCTCCACATCTCCCAGCCAGGTTAATTGGACACACAGCCACCCATGGCTGCCAACAACCTTCAGTGCCCACGATGCAAATACAAAACAGACACTCCCACTGGCCACTGCGCTGCAACTAGCTTGCCTGTTCATTTAGGGAAATGACCTCTCTCCATCAGGAACCTCAGGGAAGAGGAATCAACAGGTTTGGATGCAGCCATATGCCAGGTACCATGCTAGGCCCTTACTAATATTTTCTTACTGGCTTCTCATGAACATTATGCCAAGTTGATACAAAAGCTCTGCTGTGCAGAGAAAGAAACTGAGGACCCAAGAATTTAATAAATTCCCCTGTGGTCATAGCTCCCCTATCATTTGCAGGTTAAAAGCTTTGCTCATTTGTGACATCCACAGGATGCGATGATGTGACCCCTGCCTATATGCATACCCCACACAGCTGGGATTAAACCCAAGGCCACCTCACACCAAATCCATGTTCCAGTGTTTTCCAAATAAACAAGTGAATCAAGATATTTCTACCACACCATGCTACCTTTTAATGATGAGATAAACAGGGAGGAAAAGGCCAGGTATGGTGGCTCACACCTGTAATCTCAGGACTTTGGGAGGCCAAGGCAGAAGGACAGCTTGAGGCTAGGAGTTTGAGACGAGCCTGGGCAACATAGAGAAATCCTGTACCTACCAAAAAAAAAAAATCTTAAAAATTGATAGGCACAGAGACATACAACTGTAGTCCTAACTACTCTGGAGGCTGAGGTGGGAGGATCACTGGAGCCCAGGAGTTCAAGGCTTTAGTGAGCTATAATCATACCACCACACTCCAACCTGGGTGACAGAGCAAGACCCAGGAAAGAAGGAAGGAAGGAAGGAAGGAAGGAAGGAAGGAAGGAAGGAAGGAAGGAAGGAAGGAAGGAAGGAAAGGAGGAAAGGAGGAAAGGAGGAAGGGAGGGATGGGGAGGGGAGGGGGAAGAGGAAGGATTTACATTAGGATGAGAAAAAGAATAAAAACAATTGGAATAATTGAACCAAGTTTGGAAACAACCAGAGTATTACTAATATCAGTTGCCTGGACCCAGACTGTCCCTGGAGAATTATCCGAGGAAAGCAACTACACCATTTGAAATGTGTCCGGGATGCTGACACCTCATGGAAAATATGGCTCCAGTGAGACTTAACATCGTGGTCTGATGAGGGAATGTGGAGAAGAACACAGAAGCTACCATCCTCCTTGGTCACCGGGCAGCCCTGTTTGACATGACTTTCACTGTGGGAGACACTCCCCTCTCCTGACAAAGAGCAGCCCGTGTCAAGGCTGAGTCCTGCTGCATAGCACCGCTGATGGTTGTGACTTGAATCCTGTGCAAAGGCCAATCGCCAGTCCCCAGACACATAGTCACAGCCTCAGGAAGCTCAGTGCCCACATGAGGGTGAGTGACATGTACAGCAGGTGACTTGTTGGCTCTTTGGAATCCAGAGTGGAACTGGCCATTATGAAGTGCCTACAGGGGGTGGGGCCAGCATGGGCAGATTGATGCTTGGCTATCATTTTGGTACACGTCAACATTTCATATGAGACTCGGTCCCAGTTTTATCCCCTTCCTCTCCAGCCTAACCACTGCCATTATCCTAAGGGACATGCATAGAGTAGACCTAGCCAACTGCTGTTAGGGTGCTAAGAGCAGCAATTGGGAGTGGAAGACACCACCTGGTTTCACATCCCAGCTGTTAACAATGACTAATCATGGTGCCCTGAGCAAGTTGCTTCTTCCCTCTATGCCTCAGTGTCCCATCTTTAAAATAGGGATTGGTATAAGATTTAAGGAGAGAATCCATCTAAAGCATTGAGTGTTGTACTTAGAATCACGTTCATAGTCATTTTCACTTCTACTCTGCTGTCAACCACCAACATCCTGGACCTCAAGATCACCCAGAAGTTTCTGGCTCTAAAATCTTAAAATCTAATGCCTGACTCCAGCCTACTTCCTCTCAGCTCCTTTAATCATGAGGCATCCTTTGTCTGACTTTATCATGATGTCTAGTCCCCCAGGTTGTTCTCTAAATACATCAGCTCCCAGCCTAATCCTCCCTTCATGCCGCTGCTATCATCCATCACTCAGTCATTCTTTGAGCTCTTGCTCTGTAGCGCCTCTGCCGCAATTTCCAAGAGCACCCAACCATCTGCCCCTGTTGCTGCCCCACTGGCCCCTCCTCATGCTGGAGAAAATGACCCAGCCATGCCCTCTCCTGGGTCCCATCCCAGCTGTGACATTGGCACACCTCGGTCTCCAGGCAGATCCCCTCCATTGTTCTAAGCAGACTTGCTCCATCCACTGTCCTCAAGCCTCCAGCCCCAGCTCCATGCCCAGCTTACAGCAGATGGCCTCACTTTCTACCCTAAAGTGATCATTAGAGGGGTTGGGTATAAACTTCTCCAACATTTTGCTTCACTGCCCACACATTGAGGAGCCGCCACATCTCTTCTTACCATATCCTCCTCATTGGAAGATGTGTCTGCTGCCACCTTGCTCTGTGCCTGGGCATCACTCAGGATTTTTGCTCATCAATTGTCACTTCTGCATTCTGTATGGCCCGGCTTCCCTCCACCAGGAAGAACATTTCCCTTCAGCATATCAATGTGCTCAGAAGGCTGGGCACAGTGGCTCACGCCTATAATCCCAGCACTTTGGGAGGCCAAGATGGGTGGATCACTTGAAGTCAGGAGTTTGAGACCACCCTGACCAACATGGTGAAACCTCATCTCTACTAAAAACACAAAAATTAGCTGGACGTGGTGGCGCACACCTGTTATCCCAGCTACTCGAGAGGCTGAGGCAGGAGAGTCACTTGAACACAGGCAGCAGAAGCTGCAGTGAGCCAAGATTGCACCACTGGGTGACAGAGGGAGACTCCATCTCAAAAAAAAAAAATTAAAATTAAACAAAAAAACTAAAAATAAAAAAAATATGTTCAGAGCTCCTACAGCTCAAAAATAAAACAAAAAATCTCCCTTGGCCTTCTCTCTCCTTCTGGCTCCAACACACAGACAAGCTTCTTCAAATAGTTATCTATACTTCCCTCTCTGCTCCCTCACCCTCTACTAGCCCTGCAGTCTGTCTTTCCATGAAATTGCTCTAACGTCAGTAACAAATGTGGAGTTGCACTCGACTCCCTTCTCTTCCTCACTTCTGTCCAATCATTAAAAGTTCCATCAATCCAGACTTTATCTGCTTAATAGCTTTTAAATCCTTTCCATCTCTCCATGCATCAGTGATGTGTTCTGGCCTTCCAAGCTCATCCACAGACATCTACTTAATACCCTCAACTCGGGCCCCCACTCCATGCCAAAGAAAGAAAATAGAAATGTGATTCTCCTTGCTCAGCATTCTAAAATAGTCCCCACTGCATAGCAGGACAAAAATCTACTCTCCTCTGCATGGTGGCCAAGGAAGACCCTTGTTGGCCTAGCAGTAGTGAACATGTCACCAAAAGGAATAACTGAAGTATGAAAACTAAGAATCTAACTGGACATAACTGCCCCTCAGCCACAGGCATATCCCCCTTTCATAAAATGCTTTTAGTAGGAGATAAAAAGTTTTTCAGAAATTTCAGAGAAAATTTATCAAATATGGCCCAAATTGAAATTTTTATGGCATAATAGAAATATCCTTTTTTCAGGAATTATTTTTATGTAGTTATTTCTCTAGACAGTTCTTCCTACCACAGAGGGTGCCACCCAACAGAGAAGTTGCTATAAGAGGCAATTTTCATATGATCTGGATGTTACCTCATGTGGTATTTGCAAGTTCAGGATCAAAGTGTCCTTCTTTCCTTCTGCCCACAGAATAACCAACAATTTGTTCCAATGCTCAACTCTCAAATTCCAGCATTCTGATTTAGAAATACAGGACAGTCATTATTATCCTCCTTTCCAGATGAGAGCCTTGAAATTCAAAAAAAAAAAAAGGATTTTCCTTAGGTTTCATGTACAGTGCCCATAGCAGAGTTGGGACCAAAGCCTGGTTCTTCACCACTGTGGGGTGGGGTGTCTGCCCCCAGGAGCCTGGGGTCCACAAGGTCCCATATGAGAAACCCCTTAGGATTGGGGACCCCATGTGAGTTAGCACAGAGGGTGTGAAAGATATAAAGTCCTGGTTAACCATACAGTTATGTGATGAGGAGGACAGGACGGAAGAGGAGACAACAGAAGAGGATCCAAAAAAAAGAGTAGGGAAGAGATGTGCCAGCCCCAGGAATCCCAGGACAGAGAGGAAGCAGGACATGCTGAACTCTCGACTTTGGCCCCACCAGGAAACAGAGCCCTGTGCTCACTGCTCTGACTGGGGGAAGCACTGTGTTGCCTCAGAGTCAGAAATCATTTCACCAGTGCATTTGGTCCTCACCCTAGAATACCAAACAGAAGGTAGTCAGATAATCACACTTTCATTTTTGTTTCCTTCCCATCAGCATTCTACTAAGCCAGTTAGCCATTCTAAATTACTTCAGACCTCTGGTGGCCAGGCCAACTCCATGCTGAATTGCCCTGCCATTCAAGCCAAATGTACAACACCATTGACATTACTACACAGTCTGCTATGCAGCAAGGATTCACTTCCTTTGCTAGTGTATGTGCACACACACACACGTTTTCACAACATGTTTTCCATAACCACAATCTCAGAGTCAATTAATGACCAGATTCTCCACCCAGTTGCTCAGCTTCAAAGTGAGGGATCTGCTTCAGTTCTCCCTTCTAGGCATCCCATAGCATCAAGTCTATCTAATCCCATTGATGTCTCCCTCTCCCCAATCCCCACACTCCCTGCCTTGCCCTAGAACCTCCTTCCTCCTCATCCCTCACCTGGATTGTGTCTTCCTGATCCTCTTCTCCCTTCCACACAACCACTGGACGAGCATCTCTGAAACAAAATATGACCACATAATTCCTCTGCTTAACTTCCTTCAATTCCATTGCCCACAACAACAAATCCCAAGCTGATGTCATCAGCCACATCAATGAAGTCCAACTCTTCAGCTTGCTCATAATTGAAGGGCAAATATTCATTAATTCATCTACTCAACGAATATGCACTCAGTGTCTACTCCTTGCCAGTGCTGTTCTAGGTACTTGGATAAATCAGAGGCAATGATCCCTGCCTTTATGGAGCTTACATTCCAGCTGAAGGAGAAAGCCATGATTAATAACCCTATAAGGAGGTATATTACAAAGTATGTTAGAAGATGGTAAGTGCTATGGAAAAAGGAAGAAGTAGGACAGGGGAAAAAGGATCTAGAGTTCTGGAGATGGGGTGGGAGGGTTGCAAAACTAGGTGGTCCAAATCAGCCTAAATAACACTGGAGTAGACTTGGAAGAAGTGGGATTGTTAGTGTCAAGGTTCTCAAAGCAAAGATCACTCCTGGCAGTTTTCATTGGAAAAGCCAATGCAAAAGCCCTGAGGTGAGAGTTCAGCTGGGATACTGGAGGAACAGCATAGAAACCAGTGTGGCCAAAGTGAACAAGAAGGAGAGGATAAGGAGACACCATGAGAGAGGGAAAGGGCCGCATCATGATCCTCTGTCATTCCCCAGCCTGACCCTCATGTGTCTTTTCTCTAACACTTGTCAATGCTGCAACTCCCCCAAAGATTGGCTTTCCTCATGCCTTAGAGCCTGTGCCTATGTCCTGATGCCATGGTTGTCTGACCACAATCCCCTTCCCCAGCCCAGAGCCCTGACCATCGCATTCTCTATGTTCCCATATTCCTTGACCATAATGTTATTATATACTAAATGCACTGAATGCAATTACCCCACTCACTCCCTGGCTATATTACCCACTGGACAGAGCTCCTGCAGGAAAGAAATTCCATCATCTCATGCCTCTCTTTTTTCTTAGGAAGGACCACCTGGCTGGCTAAAGAATGAGTGGATGGAAAGAGAATGGGCAGTAGAAGGTTAGGTAGAGGTTAAGTTGAAAAATGCTGCTTTGCCTGAAAACTGAGATTATCTTGGCCAGATATGACACTGAACCTCTTTGAATCTCAGTTTCCCTATATGTAAAATGAATATAGCAATCCTGGCTTTGCCTGCATTCCAGAGTGATTCTGTACATCAAAAAAGAGACTAGGGCCAGGCTTGGTGGCTCACATCTATAATCCCAGCCCTTGGGGAGGCTGATGAGGGAGAATCACTGGGGGTTAGGGGTTTGAGACCAGCTTACCCAACATAACAAGACCCCAAATCTATAAAAAGTAAAAAATAAAAAATAAAATTAGCCTGGGCATGGTGGCTTGTGCCTGTAGTCCCAGCTACCAGGAAGGCTGAAATGTGGGAGGATCAGATCACTTGTTCCCAGGAGTTTGAAACTGCAGTGAAGTGTGATCGCACCACTGCACTCTTCCCTGGGCAACAAGTCAAGACCCTATCTCTAAAAAGAGAGAGATTCCATATGCATACCTTATAGATTTGGGGTGGGGGAGCCCAAGGGCAGAAGATCATCACTATTGTTCTCATTGCTGTTAATTACAAAATCCTGTGTGCCTGTTTATAAAAATTATAAAATCCTGGATGCCTCTGGTTCCAATTATAACCCAGTGATGTGTCCTTGGTTCCAGCAGAGGCAATGCTGGGGTAAAGTTTATCTTGTGTCACATGCAATTTGTTCTCAAAATGGAGCAAGGAGAGCCTGACTCTCCATGGAAAAGAGCCCTTGGGTGATAAATTAGGAAGATCTTTCAATGCATCCCAACCCTTTTCTGTGCAGGCAGGGCTGGCAGGCACCAGCTGTCTGAGCCACACCTGCCGTGGGAACGCCAACCAGCCCTCCTCCCCCAACAAATCCTACCCTCACAAATTGTCAAAAAGGCATCATGACAGATAGAGCTCCCGCATGCCACAAGGTAAGTGTTTAAATCTTTTATAAGACAGTCAATGGCCTTTATAAACCCTCAGACGAGAATTACAGTGTCTGAGACAGAGCTGAAAGTCAATGGGAAATTGATTCTGTCTAGCTGGTGCTGTTTCAAAAAGGAGGCTTGCTGGGTGCCTTCGGGACCAAACGTGCCATCTCCAATCTGCCCCCAGGGCCCGGCGTGTCACATGCTGAGAATGCTGTGATGCCAAGGCCCATTTCTGGGCAGAGGAACACCAACTAGGCAGCCGCAGGCTCCCACCACAGGAAGGCCCTGGAGAGCATTGACGAGCACCGGGGATGGTTACAAAGTGTGTTTACCTTCCCAGAAATTGATGTCAGTACCAATCTGATGTCATTGCCTGCACCCCAGGCAGGGAATCCAGAGGATGATAAACAGCCATTGATCTGGTGGCCACCATCGGCAGGGCACACCTAAAATTACTCTCCTTTGCTAATGACGCCATTAGCCATTGGATCAAACACAGTTACAGGGTGTGATGATGCTGTGGTTATTTCTTTGCCAATACCTATCAGCCTGATCCATACCATCTGCCAGGGGATGCCAAATCTGGCAGCAAAAACCCTCTGTTTGGGATGAGGGAAGACCAAGGGTCACAGCCTGGTCACTGCCTAGTCACGACAAGGATGTCTCTGGGGCCAAGGTGAGTGCATGGACTTTGACAGATAAATTAAGGCTGGGTGCGGTGGCTCACACCTCTAATCCCAGCACTTTGGAAGGCTGAGGCAGGCGGATGACTTGAGGTCAGGAGTTCAAGACCAGCCTGGCTAACATGGTGAAACCCCATCTCTAAGAAAAATACAGAAATTAGCGGGGCATGGTGGTGGGTGCCTGTAATCCCAGCTGGTCCACAGGCTGAGGCAGGAGAATCGTTGGAACCCAGGAAGCGGAGGTTGCAGTGAGCCAAGATCGCACCACTGTACTCCAGCCTGGGTGACAGAGCAAGATTCCATCTTGAATGAATGAATGAATGACAGGTAAATCAAACAGCCACAGTCCTGTGAGGTGGCAGCATGGAAAGAGCACTCACTTTGGAGTCAGGTAGACTTGAGTGGAGCTCTGCTTACCATCCTGTGCTAAAACCAGAATATGAGAAAGCAGATAGTGCTCTCTCACAGAAGCAGACAGCCTGAATCAAGCAATGAAAATGGTAACTCAGTCTTGAGTACTGACCAGGTGCCAGATTCTGGAGCCACCACTTGTCATCCGTCACCTCGATCCTTCCCTACCATCTTGAGATGTACAAGGTATTATCTCCATTTTCTAAGTAAGGACACTGGAGCCCAAGGGATTTCAAGAGATCGATTCTTCCAATGAGAGCAAACACTGAGCTTATATTTATTGCAGGCCTGTTCTGTGCTGGGCACCCTCCAAGGGACCCAGCTATGAGCCATGCAAGACAGACGCAACTCCAAGGTCAGGCTTGTGGCAAAACCCAGACTGGAGTCAAGGTCTCCTGAAGTCATGTGCTGTATCCCCTCCCCTGCAATTTTCCCCAATAGGAAGGACTTCTCAGTCCTTCCCCAGCTCAAGGTGCCCTTTGTATTTCTCCAGACTCTTCACCTTAGTTTTCGGATGAGGTCAAGGGAAGTTCTGATACTTTCCCAAGGCCACACAGTGGGCAGGAAAAGAAGCTGCAATCTTGAAATGAGATCAGTAGAATTTCAGGTCAAGTCTGTTTTCTTCATGGCTGCTTGTTTCCTGAAATATTGCACTTTATCCCCCCACCCCAGGTCTAAAAGAAGCCAGCAGTGCACAATGTGCCATAGACAGTGGTAGACAGGCAGAAGGTGAAGGTCTCTGTGCACTGCTCAGAAATATTTGCATGGCCTACAAGGAGAACCATCTTATCAGATCAGCTAAAGGGGTGGAATGGATTAGCACCCCAGCATACCGCTTTTGGTTAAGTAACACCATTGGTACTACATGGTCAGGTGTCTTTAAACTGCAATAAAGGAGCTTTATTTGAAAACCCTTCAGGGTGACAGAAAAACAGTCATTTCTCACAACAGCTGTCTACCCAAGGCAGGCTTGGCGAAGAAAAGCAAGTATCACTGGCTGTTATGAAGGGGTGGGAGCAGGAGCAGTGTGGTGGTAGGATTATTAAGGATGAGGTCAGGCAGGAAGGGACAGCAAAGGCGAACTTCCCTGTTGTCAGACAGAGACACAAATAAACACTTGCTGGCAGCTGGAAATTCAGTTCGTAAACCCTGCAAAATGAGAAAAACCTAGTATGCTCAGAAAAGGCATATTTTCTGACAGGATGAGACAACACAGAGCTGGATTCAAGCCAAGAGCCACTCAGCTGTTTGAGTACACAGTGAGAGGCTCAGAGCTCAACTTCAGTCTTTCCTTCCTGGAAAATGGGCATAAAGCAAAGACCTACATGTTTAGGGGTCTGATAGATCTTTTCATCTATCAGACAAGTATCCAACACCAGCACTATGCCAGGCACTGGGAAATCAGTTCAGAATGGGACAGGCTTGTTCCCTGCTTTCATGGAATTTATCATTTAGCAGCGAAACCAAACATGGAAAAATGCAATTACAAGAGGGCACCCTTGCTTTGACGACTCCTGGGACAATATCATTCAGACCAAACCAATGAAGATGTTTGAAGCCAAATGTAATGAAGCCAATGAAGGTGTTTAGTTCTTTTGACTTCTAGAAGGAGTAAATTGGTGGATCAAGGCGACATTGTCCCCCACAGCTTACAATTGCAACACTTCTTAGAGTCTCGTATTCACACTTGTGGCCAAGGAAACCAGCTGTGTGGGTGGTCACTTCTTCCAAGACTAGCCAACACACATGTCCCCAGGAGCCAGCGGTGACATAGCTTCATTATTTATTTGGTTAAAAATAAATTGTTCTTATTTATTAAATTATGTTTTAAAAACCTTAAGACACTACACATGAAATGAAAAAGCCATTTCCACCTATTAAATTGCTTAAAATGAGATCTTCTCTTTGACTTTTGCTATTACGGCAATCGTATAAGCATTCCAAGTGTACAGAAAAGATGAATAAATCTGCCAAAATGAAAAAAATTCTACATGGTAGTATGAGGGTCTTCACTAAACCTCAGTGTTTTTATTCTATGGGTCCCTTTTGTTAGAAATGAAGTGAGAGGCAAACAATATACATGGAGTATTAAGATTACATAATGTTAGCGCTACTAGGGACATAAAAGGCAGTAGAGACCGGGCACAGTGGCTCACGCCTGTAATCCCAGCACTTTGGGAGGCTGGGGTGGGTGGATCTGGAAATTCAGTTCTTAAACCCTGCAAAATGAGAAAAACCTAGGAGAGGTCAGGAGTTCGAGATCAGCCTGACCAACATGGCGAAACCCCATCTCTACTAAAAAATACAAAAAATTAGCCAGGCGTGGTGGTGGGTACCTACAATCCCAGCTACTTGAGAGAGTGAGGCAGGAAAATCATTTGAACGTGGGAGGCAGAGGTTGCAGTGAGCCGAGATCATGCCATTGCACTACAACCTGGGCAACAAGAGTGAAACTCTGTCTCAAAAAAATAAAAAGGCAGCAGAGTCCAACCATGTCATTTGAAGCAGGAGAAAACAAGTCTTGGAGAGCTGACACACCTTGTTCAATGTCACACAGCCACTTTGTGGTCCAACTGGGACTCCAATTCATAAACCTTGAACCATCAGGACTCAGAATTCCTCAGACTGAAATCAATTCCCTAACAGAGTTGGTAGCCATTAGACAATAAGATCATTGAGGGCAAGATATTGACTCCTGGGACGATATCATTCAGAGAAAACCAGTGAAGATGTTTGAAGCCAAATGTAATGAAGCCAGAGTCCAGTTGCTGATTTACATTCCCACCCAATGTTCTGGCACTTGGAGTCTCATTGTGCCTATGACCCTTGTAAGTACCGGGTAGGCATTTCTTAAGCAAAGAAATACATCATTTTCAACATCATTTTAGTGGAATTCTATAAACATTTATAAAGGTATCTATTTTAAAACATTTTTATTTGCATTTTAAGTAAAATTTCTATATGGCCAAGCCCCAGACGGGTCCCATGCACGTGTTTTCTAAACAAAAGATGACTAGTGCTGTGATAATTAATCGGTTGGCATTGACTGAAGCGCTTAATGAAATGAAGCATGAACTGTTTGAGAAAGCAATTGAAAGTCATCATACATGCCATGAATCATCTCTTGAATGCACATTTATTAAATCGGAATTCATAACTTTGATATTTTATCTAACAGGTTTGTTACCCTTTTGAGATTCTATTGGTGGATAAAAAAGAGAGATGTTTCCAGAGCTAAATTGAAGAGGCGTGGGGGAGAAACCAGCCAGACATCAATTAAATAGAGCAGGCAGCAAAATGCCATCACCCAATGTCTGGGTTTTTTGCTATTGTCTTGAGATAAAATCCAAAGATAACCTTTGCAAGTGAGTAGGCATTGAAGCAGGGTGCACTGCTGAAGGTTTTGGGGGTCTGCCTGACAACAGGTAGATTTTGTGATGGCTTAGGAGGCAGTGATGAATTTGGGGCTTGCAGACATGATTGCCATTAGGGAAAACTTCAGTCAAGCAAGAGCCAGATTGATGCAAAACACTATTTTTACTTCCTCAGGGTGCCAGGGAGCTCGAGGGGAATCAGAATCCTCTCCTAGTTTCAAGCTCTTCAAAGGCACCTGCTCCTTTTAGTTGAAGCAAATATATATCACATCAATGTCACATCCCAGGACTATTGTCCCAGGCACCTCTTTGGGTGATCAAATGAAAGTGGACTGAGAAGCGTGTGAAGATGTTTAGCTCTTTTGACTGCTGGCAGCAGTAAATTGGTGGATCAAGGTGACACTGTCCCCCATGGCTTACAATTGCAACACTTCTTAGGGTCTCATATTCATAAAAGCAGACCTGGAACCCTTATAGGCAGCCCTCTTGTGCTGAAAGTAAAGGAGACCTTCCCTTTTAACTGCTTTGACACAATATGACCATTCTCCTCCAAAGCCTTTGAAACCCACCTTTTTACCAGCCAGAATCGGAGTCCAGTTGCTGATTTACATTCCCACCCAATGTTCTGGCACTTTCTTTGCACAGAACAACACACCCATATAATGACTTTTCTCCATCATAATCTAAGTAGACCGCTAGAACATGCAACAATAGGATCATCACAAGAGTGAACCTGAGCACTGACACATTTTGAGAAAATTATATAATGTCTTAGTCATCCTATATGGTAACAGTGCCTCTTCCCCTTTATCTATGTTAAGCAAAGGATATGCAATTTCATTTCAAAACCAAAGCAAGTAGAAGAAAATGTATATAATTTGAGCAAGGCAAAAATTGCCAATGAATGTAACAAACACAGGCTGCCGAACTCTCTTCCATTTTTTTTTTTTAAAGCAAAACTGGACAACAAGGTATTCTACAGAGACACACAAAGTTTGCAATTAAGGTCAACTCCTTGTACTCAATTGGGAGTGAGGGTGAGGAGGGGCTCCCTGCCCGGGAGGGAGCAGCATTTCTCCAGCACAGAGCTTCTCACACTGAAGGTCTCTCACAACCACCTGATTGCTGGGCCCCAACCCTAAAGTTCCTGATTTGGTGGGTCTAGGGTGGGGCTCAAGAATTTGCATTTCTAAAAAGTCTCCAGGGAATGTTGATGTTGCCAAACCAGGTACAACAGTTTGAGAACCACTACTGTAGGCAAAGAAAACTTCATTGGCAAAACTTTGGCTTCATTGGCTACTTTCTCCAAGGCAAGATGGATGAGTTGGAATTCATGGGCCCTCGAGCCTGTGTTGTCACCTGGTGTTATGCCTCCAAATAACCAGGTTCATTGTTTTGTTTTGTTTTTTTACTTTTCCTTCATCATTTGCAGTAATATGCCAACCCTTAAGTTTATTAATCTCTGCAGTGAGACAGGAATTCATCCTCACATCATTAGAGTCATCACTGTAGAAGAGGGAGAGACACTGAAATCCTCCAGACCTGCCATATCCCTGGGCCTCTGAGGAAACTGAGATCAGAGAGGCTAAGACATTTGCCTGAGGCCACAAAGCAGAGACGGAACAAAAACCCAGGGCTGCTGACACCCAGTTCAATCCCTTCCCTCTAACTCAGCCCAACCACTTCCCTGAGGAAGCTGTTTGAAATATCCTGCTGCTTCTAAAAGGCGATTTTCTGTTTATAAGACTGTTCTTCCCTGGACCAGTGGTTCTCAACCTTGGATGGCTACACATTAGCATCCCCTGGGGAGCTAACAAATGATAACAATACTAGGCCCCACTTCAGAGATTTTAATCAATTGCTCTGGGATGGGACCAGGCATATAATTTTCTAAAGCTCCCTAGATGATTCTATAACATGTGCTGAGCTTGCGAATTACTACCTAGACTGTGGGATTCTCAAAGGTAGTGTCCATTCCCTATTCTGTTAGTAGCAAGATCTTAGGAGATTCTTAGTAAGCGTGTATTGAGGGAAAGACTAGAACAATGCTAAAAAAAAAAAAAAAAAAAAAAAAAAAAACCATCCTCATCAGCATCACCTGGTGTGTTAGCCCATTTTCTTGCCTCTGATAAATACATATCCACAACTGGGCAATTTACAAAAGAAAGAGGTTTAATGGACTCACAGTTCTACGTGGCTGGGGAGGCCTCACAATCATGGCAGAAGGCGAAAGGCATGTCTTACATGGCGATAGACAAGACAGAATGAAAGCCAAGCGAAAGGGATTTCCCTTTATAAAACCGTCAGATCTCATGAGACTTATTCACTATCATGAAAACAGTATGGGGGAAACTGCCCCTCCACGATTCAATTATCTCCTACCGGATCCCTCCCACAACATGAGGGAATTATGGGAGCTACAATTCAAGATGAGATTGAGTGGGGACACAGTGCAACCATATCACCTGGGAACCTCTTAGAAATACAAGCTCTCAGTCTCCACTCCAGATGCACTGATTCAGAGGCTCTAGGGGTAGAGCACGGCAAACTGTTTTAACCATCCCACTAGAAACTAGATCATTCTAATGAATGCTATCACTGAGAATCTCTAGAACAGAGGAATCCAAATATGCATGGAAATATTTAGTTAGAAACATAAAACTAAAATTAGAGTCTATGGGAAGATAATGAAGCATTGCCCCCAAAAGGTGGTGTGATAATTGTGTTAGGAATTCAGGGTTGGTGAAAGAAAAGGGAGAAGCACAGGTACATTATGGATGCTGTGAAAGGAGGGGTGGAGATGAGGTTGGAGAAGTCACTGGGACCTTGAATAGCAGACTTGGGAACTGAGAACCTTGAATAGTGGACTCAGGAACTGAGAGTTACTGTTTGTCTAAGGGAGCAAGGGATTGGGGACAGCGGTCATCTCACTGGACAGTAGAAGGCCATCCCCAAAGGTGCAGGTCCCAGGGAGGTCCTCTGATCCTCACAACAGTGCTGTGGGTGAAATCCTGCAGGTAAATGGTGCAGATACCCAATGTGGGATCATGGAAAACATGGACTTAGAAACCCCCAAAATCCTAGCTTTGTAGCATACTAGCCAGAAGTCCTTGAGCAAGGGACTTATGTTTTCTGAACTTTAGGTTCATCATCTCTAAAGTGAGTACAATATACTTGGCAAGGTGGTTATAAAGTTTAAATTATAAAGACTTGTAAGCAGCTGGTGCAGTGCCTGGAAAGTGAGTGTTGTTCACACCTGATAGCTAGAATCCTGTTTCAGATGAGAAAGCATAAACCCCCAACCCGTTGCTCTTCTAGTACTGACCATAAAGAAAGCTGGAGAGGTACACAGCTCGCCAAACTGCAAGAAAGGAAGTGGCCCCTTTAGTGAGAAAAGGACAGGTTTAAGTGTGTTTCTTCTAGAACCCTTCCTGAATTTGGTGGGTGAGTTCCCAGGCCAGCTCGCAAAACCCACTTTAACTTGGACTCTCTGAATTCAGGTCCACAACCCTGAGAGGAGAAAGCCATTGGGCAAAGAGAGAGCAGTATATGACCCATGCTCTGTAGTACCTCTGGCCTCTCTCCAGGCCAGGGCCAAGGCCACCAACACCATTGAGTTAAGAGATTGAAAATGTCATGAGTGTTTCCCAGCCTGGTGTTTACCCAGTGTTTGTGCCCAAGAATGCTGAACTTAAAGTGACTGGCAGGAAATAAAACCAAGGGAGACATTTCTTTGTAGTGTTCTTTAAAAAAATACAAAAGTAAAAGAACTCCACCTAAAGTAATTAACTTACAAGCATATGGAAGCCACAGAAAAACTGAAAGGGCACAATCTGGCTTGAAAATGAGCACATGCAGCAGGTAAGCACCATTCAGTGAAATACAAGATGGTTCTTCTTCCACCGTTCACTGATCATGTCCCTTGGGAAAGCGTCACTCCTAGGTGCATTCTATGCATCCCACTTCAGGAGAGTCCTTTCCCATAATCAGGTATTGTTTATTTGTTCAGTAATCAACAAGTGCTTATTGTGCGCCTAGCACTGTGCTGAAAACTAAAGAGCAAAGATGAATAATGTGAACTGTGGTTGGGGGGGGCGGTACTTCATCCATCCTTCAAGGGGTTTACTGACTAGATTGCTAGAGGCAATTGTTCTCATTTAATCCCAATAATAACACTACTAGGTGGGCATTACAATCTTTCCCATTCTATAAATAAGAAAATTTAGACTCAGAGGAAAGAAAAATACTACCTTGATGATTATTAAGTAGAGGAGATGGGATGTGAACCCAGGACTTTATGTCTCCAATAACAGGGCTCATGCCATATATAGTGGAGGTGAAGGACAAGTCTGTTGTCCTCTTTCTAACCCTCAGGAATCCCACGTGTAAAAGTAATGACTTGAGGAAATAAATAAGAGATGGGCTGTTGCTCTGTCACCCAAGCTGGAGTACACTGGCGCAAACACAGCTCAGTGCAGCCTCAACCTTCTGGGCTCAGGCAACTCTCCAGCCTCAGTTCCCCAAGTAGCTGGGACTACAGGCATGTGCCACCATACCCGGCTGATTTTCATTTTTTTGTAGAGATGAGGTTTCGCCATGTTGCCCAGGCTGGTCTCGAATTCCTGAGCTCAGCAATTCACCCGCCTCACCCTCCCAAAGTGTTGGGATTACAGGCATGAGCCACTGCGCCCGGCCATGTTTCTTATCAGACTAATGCCAGAGAGGTATAATGAGACATGTTCCACGCCCGCTTTGCATTATAGCTTGAAACAGTCTCTCAGGTTAAATTTTAAGAGCCCTGGCTGAGGAGGAAGTCCATTCAGATGGTTGGCGGGGGGCTTCGAATTTTATTTTTGATTTACAAGGTCCATTCATCTAATGCTTTGGTCTATTTTTAAGCACACAGACATACACAAGTTGACAAAACATGCCAAACTGTAAAATAGATTGATGACGTTTATTCTGAGCCAAATATGAGTGGCCATAGCCCATGACACAGCCTGAGCAGGTCCTGGGAACATGTGCCCAGTGTGGATTGGTTACATCTTTTGATGTTGTGCATTTTAGGGAGACAGAAGTTACAGCAAAAGACATTTATAAGTCAATATATGCAAGGTATACATTGGTTCTACCAGAAAAGGCCAGACATCTCAAGCAGGGCAAGGATTCAAAGGTTGCTTCTTGGCAGTTGGGTGAAAGAGGTAAGCAATGCCTGCAGAATTAAAGTCAGCATAAAGACATGCTTGAGTTAAGATGGAGGGAGGTTGTGGAAGCCAAGATTCTTGTTATGTAATTGAAGCCTCTAAGTAGCAGGCTTCAAAGAGGAAAGATGGTAAACATCTCTTATCAGAACTTAGACCTTAAAAGGTGTCAGATTCTCCAGAAAAGACAGTAAGAGAAGGAGATTCTCTACAGAATGCAACTTCCTCCCCCCTCCAAAAAAAAAAAAGGCTTTGCAGGACCATTTCAAAGTATGTCAAAGAAATATATTTTGGGGTAAAATACTTTGATTTCCTCCAGGGCCTGCTATCTGTCATACAATGCTATCCCAGGGTCAGGTTGTAACTGGGTATCTTGTTACAAGGAGTCTGTTTTGTCAGTCAAGAGCTCTAGTCTAATGATAACGCTGGTCAGCTGTGTCTAAACTCCAGCGGGAGGAGGTACAATGAGGCACATCTGACCTCCTTTCCCATCATATTATGGCCTGAACTAGTTTTTTAAGTTTTCTTTGGGATCCCCTTGGCCAAAAGGAGGGTCCATTTGGTCGGCTGTGGGGCAGAGGGGCTTATAATTTTACTTTGATTTACACACAGACATGAAGAATGTCATTTGTCATCATTAGTTTCTTGGGTTTTTTTTTTTTTTTTGCCTTGTTGTTTTTTTTTTTTTTTTTTTTTTGAGACGGAGTCTCACTCTGTCGCCCAGGCTGGAGTGCAGTGGCGTGATCTCGGCTCACTGCAAGCTCCGCCTCCCGGGTTCACGCCATTCTCCTGCCTCAGTCTCGCGAGTAGCTGGGACTACAGGCGCCCGCTACCACGCCCGGCTAATTTTTTGTATTTTTAGTAGAGACGGGGTTTCACCGTGTTAGCCAGGATGGTCTCGATCTCCTGACCTCGTGATCCGCCCGCCTCGGCCTCCCAAAGTGCTGGGATTACAGGCGTGAGCCACCGCGCCCGGCCTTGCCTTGTTTTTTGAGATAGCTTCTTGCTGTGTTGCCCAGGCCAGTGGTATGATCTCAGCTCACTACAGCCTCAACCTCCTAGGTTCAAGTGATACTCCCACCTCAGCCTCCTGAGTACCTGGGACTACAGGCATGCACCAACACACCCAGCCAATTTTTGTATTTTTTGTAGAGACAGGGTTTTCCCATGTTGCCCAGGCTGGTCTTGAACTCCTGAGCTCAAGTGATCTTCCTGCCTCAGCCTCCAAAAGTACTAGGATTACAGGCATGAGCCACCACACCACACCTGGCCTAGTTTTTACTGCTAAGAAAAGAAAACCTAGGAGAAGAGACACTATCTTCCCCTGCAGCTAGGGTGCCAAGGATGCTTTCTGCTTTGGGAAGAGGAATCTCTGGAAAGCTTCATCCAATTCACAAGAATTCTAGCTCTGCCCAAGGCAGGCAAAGGGACCCAGGGGCTCATGGAAGTCTAACAGATAAAGACTGGCTCTTTCATCCTCCAGCCACAGGCAGAGATGAAATAAAGAAGAATGCTGTAAATCAACCACCACATAATCACACATTTTTGGAGTTTGCTTGTAATTAGTCTATATTCATAGTGTTGTGTGGGTAGAGAAATCTGCACCCAAGGAAACTCTGAAAACCAACATGTTTGTTTCAACTGACTGATCTACAGGAACCATATGCCAAGTGGCAGACAGCTGAATCCCTCCCCTGTCTGCGGACCTAGGGCCATGCATATACAAAATACACCTCAGGGCAGCATTTCCTGCTCCTGTCCCCCAGGCTCACATCCCAGGTCATCTCATCTGACTCTGCTTTATCTTGTTTGCATTTGCCAAGATTTCCCCTCAAGAAAGCAAGTTTTTTATTATCATGCTGACTTCTGAGGGACAGTCAGTGACATCAGTCAGGGAATGGGGACAAATGGCCACTGACCTGTGTTGAAATAATTTCACACCAGGAGCAGTGCCAGATGTTTCACCCATCTTCAGCCCTCCCAGAAGCCCTGCAAAGGAGGCATTCTACCACCTGAACCTCTTATGACTTAGGCTGGGTCCACACGCTGCGTGGACTGGAGATCCTGGACTAAGATTGAATTCACAGGACCATCTTATTTCATGCAGTAATAATAACTTAAAAACATGAAAACTAAAGTACAGAGGATTTGCAGTTTCCAAATTATATGCACATCCAACATTTCATTTGAGCCACATAAAGACTTGAAGTTTGACTTTGTCTTTACCTAGTGATTTTGGCCTCCTGTTGACAACATGACTGTGTTGCATCATCTAGGAAAAGTCACGAAACCTTCATCTGATCTGGCTGGATTTCCACATATAACAAACCCCAAATGTCTTTTTCTCCTTTCTAGCAGGCCTTAGCAAAGCACTTAGTGTAGAAACTATAGCAGTATGACCCACATACAAGGTTTATATATGTACAGGAGAAGGGGTGAGTTCCTCCCATCTTGAAGAAGCGTTGTTCATCTGATCAGCTTTCACAGTGTGTCGACTCCCTGTCTGCAGACTAGTTGCATTGCCCCTGTTCAGCCAGACCCAGAAAGACCCTAGGACACTATGCAAACAGCAGAGGGGTTCGTTAAGAATGGATGAGCTCAAATTATGTGATGATATATACAGGTATGTTAGACATTTAATTCTGAAAGTATCTCCTGCAACTAACAATGTCCCCCACAACACACTGCCCCCACCCCCACACCGCAATTTACTATGGTGATGTCTGTGGTCTGCTTCGTTTTTCTTCCTCCAGTGCTGACCCCAATTCCTGGCACACAATGCATGCTCAGTAAATATTTACCATCTGACTTGTTGAATCAAACAAAAGAATTAGAAAAACTATATCTGTTTTGTAGGTTTATTTTGCTGGATTTTTGCCCCCTGCTGTGGTCAAAGACAGTAATTCTCAACCTTGCCATCAACAAATCAGAAGCTTATTGGATGAATGGGGGCACTGAGATGGTGTGTTTGTAGACTGATACAGTGGAGTAAACTGGGGAGCTTTGGCCATGTACCACGAGGGTCTGGTGTGCATGATAGCAACAGAGGCCAGATACTGGTTTCTTGTGGCTTTGGGCCCAGCATGGGAAGATGGGGTGTGATGCCTTCCTTCAGCTCGGAGCCTGAGATACAGAATCTACTGCTGAAGAAGGCAGAAGCTGCAGTAGCCTCAGGGTATATGTCACTATTCTCTTGTTCTAAAAATTGCTACATCTGTACATGCACAAGCTAATAAAAACCTCTGTGCCACATGGTTGAGAGCTTTATTACCCACTGTTGAGCGCCTCGATTGTTTGGGGTGCTCTCTTTCCAGCCTAAGCACTTGCTCACTGAGGGCAGGCTAGTGCCCAAGTGGGTGCTCTTGCATCCAGGTTCTGAACCAAGTGGACATCCCATGAAGGCTCCATTTTCTGCTGGCTCTCCCGGGGTCTTCCTTTGTCCTTGGGGTCCTGCCTGCTTCACCTGTTCTCTTTACTCACAGTCTTGCTCCCTCACCCTCATGTCCATGCAGCCTCTATCTGGAACTTTCCAAAGGCCAATCCCCATGAAGAGACAATGTCCTACCTGCCCAGCCTCAGGCAGAAGCCTCAGGACAGCTCAAGGACTTGGAATAGGGACAAAGGGGAGAAAGGAAAGGGCCCCTCAGAAAGACCAAACAGAAAATCAAGGCGACAAGAGGAGACAGTAGCAGCTTACTGACCTGTGAGGGCGACTGCGTGAGAGGGGAGTGAGGTCAGGGTTTCAGCACCACAGACTTGCTGCCATCCCCGCTTCCCTCCAGTGAGCTGCATGACCTAATCACATTCTGTAGCTTGGTGTAATGTGCACATCTGTACAACTAGAGGAAACTACCATCAGTGATCTGTGAAAATATTTGATGCTATGTTGCTGCTTTCCTAGGCCCTTACATAAGGAAGGAAGGGGAAGAGAGAGGGAGGCAAAGAGGGAGGAAAGGAGGGAGGGAGAGGGAGGAAAGGAGGGAGGGAGAGGGAGGAAAGGAGGGAGAGAGGGAGGGAGGGAGGCAGGGAGGGAGAGAGGGAGAAAGGGAGGGAGAGAGGGAAGAAAGGAGGGAGAGAGGGAGGAAGGGAGAAAGAGGGAGGGAGGAAAGGAGGGAGAGAGGGAGGAAAGGAGGGAGGGAGAGAGGGAGGGAGGGAGGCAGGGAGGGAGAGAAGAAGGGAGGGAAGGAGGCAGGGAGGGAGGGAGGGAGGCCATACTCTGGGATACATTAAAAAGTAGACAAATTTCTCTACCCTCTTGACACCTCCTTCTGAGTCCATTGTGGGATCTTGGGAAGAACATAAACATGATATACACCTAACAAACCTGGTGTGATTGGAGAGTCTTTTCAAAACATTGTGCTTAGGGGACCCCCAAGCCAATAGTGAAAGCCCCTGGGCTGGAAAAGGAGTAAAGAGAGGAGACAGAGAAGGAAAGGAAAGTAAGAAAGAAGACAAAAAGTTGGTGTGACAATGATAGTTGCAGCAAAAAGAGTAACAACTGCCCAGGGCCTCTATGTGCCGTGCACGTGCTTCCTGTGGGCCATCTCATTCTTCCTCTAACAGCCCAGTGAGGGGCTTTCTAGGAGGTGATCACCAGGGCTCCGAGAGACCTGACCAAGCACACACAGCGGTAGGTGGCAGGGCTTAATCCCTGGCGGAATGCCTGGGGACAGTCCGTGATGGCGGCACTGCTCCCGCACCCGATTGTGCCTGCCTGTTCTCTTGTCACTGTCTCTCACTGAAATGAGCCCTTCTGTGGCCCAAGTCCTTAGGAGTAAAACAGTAGTGAGGACCCCCACCCCTGTGGTGGTGTTGTAAGGATTAAATGCATTGATTGACTTGCAGAACGTAACAGAAAGCCTGAAACCTAACAAGAGCTCAATAAATGGTGGTTGTGATGAGAAGGCCACTGAGGACCACGAGGGAGAGGTGTCAGGATGTTTCCGTTCACCTGTGAAGCCTCAACGTGCAGCCAGACCTAGCACCTGACTGGCATTCAGAAAGTGTGCTTGGTTGAAGGCAGGCATGCAGGAACACAAGTCTAAAGTCTGAGGCCCCCCAGCTGGCCCAGTCCTGAGTCAATCCCAGCCTTCCTCACTCAGGGACCCCCAAGTTCCATCATGGCCTGGCCAGTGTCAGAGCACAGCTAGCAACCCCTGCTGCTAGCAGGACCCAAGTTAACACTCTCATCTCCTCTGTGCAGGAGTCCTCTCCCTCTGCCTGCCCTTTTCTGGAGCCCTGTTCTTCTTCCACTAAGGAGTCAGCAAGGAGCTACTTCTTACTGCACTGGAGGCTTTCAATCACAGGACAAGGCAGAATCAAATTGCAGGAGTCTGGGGGAGCCTCTCCCCCACTGGAAATGCCCGCAGACTCTGCACCTGGCTGAGATGATTGACTGGAAAGTCCAGCTGTCAGTCTCTCTAGCCTCCATTTCCTCTCCTGCAAAATGGAAGTAGCAAAGTCTACAGGGCCAGGTATTGTGGAAAGTAAAGTCAGTTCCTGCTTTGAAGCACCAGAAACAGAGGTTCATTCTCCTTTTTTTTTTTTTTTTTTTTTTTTTGAGATGGAGTCTCACTCTGTGGCCCAGGCAGGAGTGCAGTGGCATGATCTCAGTTCACTCTAACCTCCACCTCCCAGGTTCAAGCAATTCTCCTGTCTCAGCCTCCCAAGTAGCTGGGATTACAGGTGCCCACCACCACACCCAGCTAATTTTTGTATTTTTAGTAGAGACTGGGTTTCACCCTGTTGGTCAGGCTGGTCTCAAACTCCTGATCTCAAGTGATTCGCCTGCCTCAGACTCCCAAAGTGCTGGGATAACAGGCGTGAGCCACTGCCCCTGGCCCAGAGGCTCATTTTCCCTTCTCTTTAACCACACAGATGTTTGCACAGACACAGTCTCTCTCAGTTCCTGTGCCTGTCCTATTCAGTGTGCTGCCTCTCTTCATTCGCCCCTCCAGATCTGAGCCCTGGGCTGCTGGGTTGTGTGAATGACATTGGCAGGCTCCTTTCCCTGGAGCTGTCACTTGGGTCCATCTGGGAGGCACTGACAAGAGACCAGAGGCTGGAAAGGGAGCAAGGTATTCACTCTGGGGCTCACCCTTCCAGCTGCAGGTCCATGGCAGGTTCTGGGAACCCTTCCTTGCCCTACTATTGAGGCCTAGGGGTGGTCACTGCCCCCCAGTGTTGCTACCCCCAAAAGTGCTTCACCATCCCTTGCTGATTTTCCCTTCACCTTCCCAGACTGTTACAAATAGTTTATTTATTGACCTCTCCTCAATTCCCCCATTTGAGGGCACTATCTGTCTCCTTCTGGGACCCCGATATATACCCCAGGCTCCTTTCTAGGTTCATAATGTTCTCTGTTATTGGAAGCACATTCTCAAGGCCCACTTTTTCCAAGAACCATCCCCAGCTCAGCCATAAGGTAGATCTCTGTGCTGACTTTCCACCTACCATTTGGCCCTCTTCCTCTCACTGTCAGACCTCGGTCCATGAACACAACCTCTCCCTCGCAACCATTCAAAAGGAACTCAGGCTCTCTCGAGCACCTCTTCATCCCCGCTCAGCACCCGGCACAAGCCCTGTGCGCTCTGGGGAGTTTTAAGAGACCGATAAGCATTTCCTCCCTCACTCCCACTCTGGCGACATCGCATTAGCATTTCTGTTTTAAACACCAGTGATCTTTTATGCTGACCTTTTCTCGGTCCATGACTCATAGGAAGGTCTGGCACAGGGATGCACCTGTCCTATCCTCTACCCCTGACTACCTGCAGAGGGATGCCTTCCTGGAACCCCAGAACATTGAGCCTGAAGAGCCCCTAAAGACCTGTTCCCATCCCCTCATTCTGCTGATGGGGAAGTGGAGAACCAGATTTTGTAAGGGACTTCCCAAAAGCTGCAAGATGAGTTTGTGAGGAGGGAGACCAATCTAACCCACTGCCTTCAGGGTGTAGCATTTACAGAGAGCCCGAGGGCACCTGGCCTTGTGTCAGATGCCTCACGCATCTAGGTGCCTCTTCAATGCAAGTGCCCGGCCAGGTGTGACCACATGGGGGCCACAAGAATAACACACAGCATCTTCCTGAGGGTCTATCGTCTTCCAAGTTTTGGGGGAGAAAGGTGAAGAAGGGTTAAGTACACTAGGGTGAGGCAAGGGAGGCCCCTACCTCAGAGCAAAACTTAAAAGATGTCCAAAAACTCAGTAATCAAGATAAATTATATTTAAATGCAGTACTTTTTTAAAATCCAAATTAATGCCCCGAAATTCATTATGAACAAAACATCAAAACTGTAAGTAAAAATGGCATTCCATCCTGTATTTGCACAACTCTGCCTCACTTGCTTCCCCCTAATCCCAGTGCTGGTTCCAATAAAGCTTTATTTACAAACAGGAGTGGCCAGTTTGCCAATTTGAGTCTTTAAAATATTGCATCCGAATGTTATCTTGATCACTGAGGTTTTTTATTTTTATTTTTTTTTTTTGGATCCTTAAGGTGAGGGCCTCACTCTCCTCACCTTTTTCCTGGCTGGCTCACTAGTAAGTCATTTAAAATATGCACAAATAAAGCAAACCAAGTTATACCGACAAGTAGAATGCAAAAGCTCTGTGATTTTTTAAGATAAAACAACAGACTTGTGCTTTGGGCGATATTGTCAAACTCCTGGAGCTCTGCATTCACCCTCTCCTCATTTAGGGGTGTTTCACAGCAACAGAATTGGACGGGATTATCCTGATAAATTAGGTGAGCCATTCTGTTCCACTTTCGAGATGAGGGAGCTGAACCTGAGAGCTGTTGGGTGAATTGTCACACGTCACCAAGTTAATGAATGATGAGAACCCAGGTAAACTGCTGGCTGGCTGGTTGAGTAAAGACACACTTGCGTCTGAATCCCTTTCTTCATGTTAATAAAAACAGACAAGGGAGTGACCTGAATATGCCTCATTGAACTTGTCAACCCACTTCTCCCCAGACAAGCACACCAACCCTCTGGAAGAACAGGTTAGGTGACGTAATTGTTACTTTGGTTTAAAAAAAAAAAAATTGGCCGGACATGGTGGTTCACTCCTGTAATCCCAGCACTTTGGGAGGCCAAAGTGGGTGGATCACCTGAGGTCAGGAGTTCGAGACCAGCCTGACCAACACGGTGAAAACCCGCCTCTACTAAATACAAAAAAAATTAGCAGGGCATGGTGGCACATGCCTATAATCCCAGCTACTTGGGAGGCTGAGGCAGGAGAATCGCTTGATCCTGGGAGGCGGAGGTTGCAGTGAGCTGAGATCTCACCATTGCACTCCAGCCTGGGCAACAGAGTGAAATTCCATCTCAAAAAATAAAAAACAAACAAACAAACAAAAAATCCAGGGGATTGGCAGATATCAAATACTGTCACAGTTATAGAGACTGTCAGCATTTTGGAAGCTCCATGTAAGTTCCAAATCTGATCCAGTTATGTCCTAAAGGTGGCCTAGAAATGAAAGCTGGAGCTGTATCAGGGGACCTTGGTGCCACCTGTGCCAAATTCATCACCCTCCATTCTTCCTCTGATGGCTTCTCTCTCTGGACTGACATCCTCCTTCTCTCCAGTCCAGGCCAACTTCACACAAATTTCAAGACTCAATGTCACCCACCCTTTGCATAAGCCTTCCTTGACACCTCTTTGGCATTTGTGCTGCCTCTTTTGCATTCATTCATTCATTCATCCAATTCATAAATATCTCAGGAATTTCTTTAGCTCAGCACAGTGCAAGGATCTGAGGACACAGTGGAGAATAAAGAGACCTTGTCTGTGCTCTCATGGAGCTCATGGTATTGTTCCCATGGATCCAGTATCTCCCTCTCTCTTGTGGTGGGGTGGGCTCAAACTGAACTCCACTGGCCTGCTTCCCTCTTGTTCTCCCCAGCTTGACTGGAGCACCTCAAAACCATGTACTATTTATCTATAAATCCTCGGGGCATAGCTGGACTCAGCCCAGAATAGATGCTCAATATAAACGTGAGTGAGTGAGAGACCCAAATTGGTGTTGATCTTGCACTGGTGTTGCAGGTTGTCTGATCATCATGCCCATGAGCTCTGCCCTCTGGCCATTTCTATCATCACCCAAATTCCCACTGGGGACATCTACAAGAAACAGAGCTGCTTTTCCATCTAAGGGAGTCAGCTTCAACTGGCTGGGGCAGGAAATTTCCCCGTAGCTCCAGTCAGTGCACATCTTGAGCCAATGGTCCAGCAGGCTGTTGAAGGGTCTCAAAGACAGCATGCCTAATGCAATGCTTTTGATTGGAAAGTGGGCAAAGAGCTCTCAACGACCCACTTTCCCTAAATTACATGAAGCAAACACCTCCTCAAGTACAGCCACAGAAGCCTGTTTGAATCTTTTCCCCCCAGCCCTCCCATTCTGCCCACTGACCAGCATAGAGCAGTTGAAAAGCCAATAGCTGCTGAATGAATTGGGAAAAGGATGCACCAGTCCATCTGCTTGGGGCAATGGGTTCACGTGTGAGTCTGTAGCATCACATCCAGATTTCTGCTCTTGTTCCCAGATTCCTTATGTAAATCTGTAGACTGAGTTCACCTCGAAATTTTAATGTGCTTATAAAACCCTAAACCTTGTAATGAGTCATGGATCAACTCAGAAGGGGTCAGGCCATGCCAACAAGCCCCCAGCTAGCTTAAGAGGGATGAGTCAAGTCTGAAAAGCCACTGATCTTACAAGGGAGGCCCCAGGGGGTGGAGGGCCAGAACCCCAGATCTTCACACGGAAACACAGGGCAGCAGTGTCCACTCCTTTTCCTCCACTGGCTCGACCCTGCTTCTTCCTGGCCTCCTCCCTGGCTGCTTCTCTGACCTCTCAGCCTCCAAGCAGACAATTAAGCCTTTGCAAAGCACTCCTTCCCTCTGCTCTAGCACTCCATGCCCTGACCTTGACTTGTAGGCTGACCTTGGTATTTGAGGCCTTCCCTAACCTCATTCCCTCACTCCCAAACCAGCTGTGTTTCAGAATGTTCTCCAAATTTAAATCTCTGCATAGATTCAGGGACATTTGTGGGCAGACCACAGACCTCTTTTCTAGCAAAACCCTCCTCCAACCCCTGGGTATTCTCTCTCTCTTATATATGTGTCATATATATATATGTGTGTGTGTGTATATATATGTATATATACACACACACATATACATACACACACATGTACATATGTGTGTATTTATGTAACATCAGTTGAATGCATAGCATGTGCCAGGGGAGAGAACTAATGCTTCATTGAGAACCTACCACAGGAAAGAACTTTATCTTGAATTTCATTCCATTTTGGGGGCCAGATATTATTATTGTTCCCATTTTCAGTTGAAGTTACAGAGATGGAGACAGACTCAACCACTTGCCCAAGGACCCACAGATAAGTGGTGCTTGCACTCACATCTTAGCGTCTTGACTCCCATCGAGTCATCTGCCCACCTGCCCAGGTTCTGCCCATCTAGATCCCACCCTATGTCTGTGAGGCTGCCAGCTGCTTTAGTCAGGGCCTGGTGGGAAAGGGTGATGGCTCACTCCAAAGGATATTTGAGGAGAGTTTGATAAAGCCCCTATTCACCTATGTGTGGGTAGGAAAAGCCACTGGGACTGTTCAGGGTGAGATCCCAAGGCTTGGGACAGGAGGAAGCCATCACCACTGCAGCCCAGAAAAGGGAAGGGGAGATAATGGCCAGAACCAGAACTAAGAGGGCTGTGTGGTGAGGGGTCTGTGGCTTTGTGCCAATAGGTGCAGCCAGCTCGTGGGCACCCCCAAGAAAGGATCATAGGGTATAAACACCCCAACACCCTCTTCCCCAGGCCCCACTTTAACCTTTGAACTCCTGTACTCGCCATTGACCAAAACCAATAGTAAGCCAGAGGGCAAGGGGGCCGGATGCGACGCCAGAAAGATCAGCATCCCAAGACAAAAAGCCAGAGGCATCCACCCTTGTCTAGGTGAAAATTCCACATCTTAAGTGTAAGACAACACGTAATGTCCCATCAGCCACTGAATGTCAGTCTGATCATACTCACACCAGTCCTCTGATCACAAGGTTTTAGTTTGCAATCATAGTTTCATCTTCCACTATGCATTCCACATTCCCCTTAGCCTCTGCTTGGGGGAGCTTCTTTACCTTGGGGGAGAACCAAGCCTTTATTTCTATGAGGTGTGAATCCTCGGTAGACTTGTTTTTATTGGGTTGCCACAGTTGGATTTACTAGGACTTTGGGAAGGGAGTATTAAGAGTAAGACGTGTCCCTGCAAATATCCGGAGTTACAAATATAATCCTCTTTGCCCACTCCCCCAGTTCGCCTTGGTAATCGGGACCCCTTCCTGGGACCAATTCAGTAGCACTCTTCTTTGCTTGTTGGTTGAGTGGCATGAGGAACCCCAATTATCCAGAAGATGTTTTGCCTTTCAATTGCACCAGCGTTTCTCACTGTAAAATATTAGGAATAACCTCTGTTTGGAATGGTGCGATGCTGTTTACATAAATCATCACATCTAACTCTCAGTACAAACTTGTGAGATTAACATTCATTATCCCAGTCTATAGATGAGAAAAGGGAGGCTCAGAAAAGTAGACTAATTTTCCCAGTATTACACAGAGTTAGTGTCTGAATACCGGTACTGAATGCTAAAGCCTGGGCACCTTCCCTTGCCCCAGGCTGCTGCCTGCAGGAGTGCGTGGGCCAAGATTGTCCCAGGGGTGTTAGATATGTTATGTCCAGACAGATAGCCCTTTGGGCTTTTAGAAAATATCATTTATTACCCTTCATGCCCCTTTCTTCTGCAAGCCCCAAACATCACAGAGCTGGTGGGAGCAAAATGCTCTTTTCATATTTTGCAGAGTACCTGATGTGGTTTTCTTGTCTTGACTGTCCAGGCTCAAGACAAAAAAAAAAAAAAAAAAAAAAAAAGTCACCTAGAAAAGCCCCCTCTTATAACCGCTGCAGCCCCTGACAACTGATTTCTAGGCCTTTCCTTGAGGGGTAGAGACTGATAACAGCAGACACATCTCTGGAGGCTGGATTTTTGAGGTTAATTAATTTATCTTTAATTGACAAATAATAATTATGTACATTTGTGTGGTACAATGTGCTGTTTTGACCTATGTATATGCTGTAGAAAGATGCAATCAAGGTAATTAATGACTCTATCACATTGCCCACTTAACATTTTTTTGTGGCAAGGATATTAAAAATCTAGCCTTTTAGCAGTTTTGAAATATGCATTATTATTCACTGCAGTCACCACGCAGTGCAACAGAGCAGCAAAACTTCTTCCTCCAGTCTAACTGAAACTTTCTACTCTTTGATGAACATCTCCTCTTTGCCCATCCCTCCCCCTACCCCCACCCCTGCCCCATCTCTGGTATCCACATATCTACTATTTCTATGAGATTGAATTTTAGATTCTACAAATAAGTGAGATCATAGAGTATTTGTCTTTCTGTGCCAGGCTTATTCACTTAACATAACGTCCCCCAGTTCCATACAAGTTGTCACAAATGACAGCATTTGTTTCTTTGTTAAGGCTGTATAGTATTCCATTGTGTACATATACCACATTTTCTTTATCCATTCATCCCTTGATGGACACTTAGGTTGTTTCCACATCTTGGCTATTGTGAATAAAGCTGAAATGAGCATGGGAGTACCGATATCCCTTCGGCAAACCAATTTCAATTCCTTTGGATGTCTACCCAGTAGTGGGATTGCTGGATCATACGAGAGTTCCGTCTTTAGTTTTTTGAAGAACCTCCATACTATTTTCCAAAATGGCTGTACCAATTTACAGTCTTGCTAGCAGGGTACAAGAGTTCCCTCTTCTTCACATCCACACCAACACTTGCTATCACTTGTATTTTTGATAATAGCCGTTCTAACAGGTATCAGGTGATATCTCATCGTGGCTTCAATTTGCATTCCCATGATGATTAGAGATGTTGAGAAATTTTTTCATAAATCTGTTGACCATTTATATCTCTTCTTTTGAGAAATGTCTTGTTCCTGCTCTTAGATCCCTTGCCTATTTTGAATTGGGTTATTTGTTTTCTCACTGCTGATTTCTTTGAGCTCCTTATATATTCTGGATATTAGCCACTTATCAGATGTGTAGCTTGCTAATATTTTCTCCCAATACATAGCATAACCCATCACTCTGTGGATTTTTTCTATGGTAATGCAGATGCTTTTTCATTTGATGCAATCTCCTTGTCTATTTTTGTTTTTGTTCCCATGCTTTTGGAGTCCTATCCATGAAATCATTGCCCAGGCCAATGTCATGGAGCTTTTCTCCTTTTACTTCTAGTAGCCTTACAGTTTCGGGTCTTGTAGTGAAGTCTTTTATCTATTTTGAGTTGCTTTTTGTACATGGTATAAGTATCCAATTTCATTTTGTGCATGTGGATATCCAGTTTTCCCAAGACCATTTATTTAAAAAATCGTCCTTTCTCCATAGTGTGTTCTTGGCACCTTTGTCAAAAGTCAGCCCAAATGTCCCCAAATCAAAAAGTGGATAAAGAAATTGTGGGGGGTGTGTGTGTGTGTGTGTGTGTGTGTGTGTGTGTGTATCATAAAGAAATTATATATATGAAAATATATATATTTCATATATATGAAACATATATACATGAAATATATATGTCATATATATGAAATATATATGTCATATATATGAAATATATGTCATATATATGACATATATATGTCATATATATGACATATATATGTCATATATATGAAATATATATGTCATATATATGAAATATATATGAAAATATATCTTCATATCTATATGAACATATAGGACTTCACATATATATGAAATATATATATATAAAACATATATTTTCACATATATCTATATATGAAGGAATACAACTTGGCCACAAAAAAGGAACGAATTAATGGAATTAGCAGCAATCTGGATGGAACTGGGGACTATTATTCTAAGTGATGAACTCAGGAATGGAAAACCAAACATCATATGTCCTCAGTCATAAGTGGGAGCTAAGCTATGAGGATGCAAAGGCATAAGAATGATACAATGGATTTTGGGGACTCGGGGGAAAGGGTGAGAGGGGTGTGAGGGATAAAAGACTACAAATTGGGTTCAGTGTATACTGCTCAAGTAACAGGTGCACCAAAATCTCAGAAATCACCACTAAAGAACTTACTCATGTAACCAAATACCACCTGTTCCCCAAAAACCTATGGAAATAAAAATTTTAAATTATCAATAGTAAATACTTGGGTTTATTTCTGGGCTTTCTATCATGTGCCATTGGTCAATGTGTCTGTTTTTATGCCAGTACCATGCTCTTTTGATTACAATAGCTTTATAATATATTTTGAAATCAGAGTGTGTGATACCTCCACCTTTGTTCTTTTTCCTCAAAAGATCCCTTTGACTATTTGGGGTCTTTTCTGTTTCATGCAAATTCTTAAATTGTTTTTTCTATTTCTGTGAAAAATGACATTGGAATTTTCACAGAGATTGCACTGAATCTGTAAATCTCTTCAGGTAGTTTGGAAATTTCAACAATATTAATTCTTCGAATCCATGAACATGAGATATCTTTCCATTTGTTTTTCTTCTTCAGTTTCTTTCATCAATGTTTTATAGTTCTCAGTGTACAGATGTTTTACCTCTTCAGTTATTTTATTGTATTTGAATGCTATGGTAAACTGAATTGTATTCTTAATTTCTTATTCAGAGAGTTTATTTTTTGTTTGTTTCGTTGTTTGTTTCTGAGATGGAGTTTCACTCTGTTGGCCAGGCTGGAAAACAGTGGCATGATCTCAGCTCACTGCAACCTCCATCTCCCAGTTCAAGCGATTCTCCTGCCTCAGCTTCCCAAGGAGAGTTTGTTGTTAATGTATAGAAGCACTACTGATTTTTGAATGTTGATTTTGTAACCTGCAACTTTAATAAGTTTGTCAGCTCTAACAGTTTTTTGATGGACTATTTATGGTTTTTTATACATAAGGTCATATAATCAGCAAATATATACAATTTCACTTCTTCCTTTACTATATGTATACCTTTTTTTTTTCTTGCCTAATTGCCCTGACTAGGACTTTCACTACTATGTTGAAAAGAAGTGGCAAAGTGGGCATCCTTGTCTTGTATCTGATCTTAGAAGAAGGGCTTTCAACTTTTCACTGTTTAGAATGTTAGTTGTGGGTTTTTGACATATGGCCTTTATTGTGTTGAGGTACATTCTTTCTATATCTATTTTGCTGGGAGTGTTTATCATAAATAGATGTTGAATTTTTTCAAGTGCTTTTTCTCCATCTATTGAGATGACCACGTGGTTTTTTCCTTCATTTTGTTACTATGGTGTATCACATCTATTGATTTATATGTATGCCAAACCATCCTTGCATCCTGGGGATAAATTCCACTTGATCGTGGAGAATTATCTTTTTAATGTGCTGTTGAATTCAGCTTATAAGTATTTTGTTGAGGATTTTTATGTCTGTGTTCATCAGGGATATTGCCCTGTCATTTTCTTTTCTTTTCTTACAGGGTTCTTGTCTGGCTTTAGTATCAGGGTAATGCTGGCCTGGTAAAATGAGTTAAGAAGTACTTCTCCTCTTCCAGGTTTTGCAAGAGTTTGAGAAGGATTGCTGTTAGTTTTTTCTTCAAATATTTCATAGAATTCAGCAGTGAAATCATCAGAAGAAATTAAAAGGGAAATTTAAAAATATCTTAAAAATGGAAACATAACATACCAGAACTTGTGAGATGCAACAAAAGCAGTCCTGAGAGGGAAGTTTATAGCAATAAATGCCCACATCAAAAAAAAAGAAAGATCTCAAACAAGCAACCTAACGTTACAACTCAAGGAACAAGAAAAAAAGCAAAAAAGGCCAAACTTAGCAGAGGGAAGGAAATAAAAAAACATCAGAGCAGAAATAAACAAAATAGAAACTAGAAAAACAAAAAATCAGCTAAACTAAAAGTTGGCTTTTTGAAAAGATAAAATCAACAAACCTTTAGCTAAACTAACAAAGAAAAAAGAAGACTCAAGTAAACAAAATTAGAAAGAGAAGATATTACAACTGATACCACAGAAAGAGATTCATAAGAGACTACAACGCACAACTATACACCAACACATCCCAGCACTCTGGGAGGCCGAGGCAGGAGGATTGCTTGAGCCCAGAAGTTCAAGACCAGCCTGAGCAACAGAATGAGACCCCATCTCTATTAAAAACACAAAAAATTAGCAAGGTGTGATAGTGCACATCTGTAGTCCCAACTACTCCAGAGGTTGAGATGGGAGGATCACTTGAGCCCGGGAGGTCAAGTCTGCAGTGAGCCATGATCATGCCACTGCACTCCAGTCTGGGTGACACAGTAAGACCCTGTCTCAAAAAAAAAAAAAAAATGCTGCCGCACACATTGGATAACCTAGAAGAAATGAGTAGAAACATGCAACCTACCAAGGCGGAATCAGGAAGAAATAGAAAATCTAAACAGACCAATGAGTAAGGAGATTGAATCAATAAAAAAAGTCTCCCATCGAAGAAAAGCCCAAGACCTGTTTAATGGGAGATGGAGCCACCAGATAAAGCATCTTTGCAAAACTCCAAAGCCTCCTTTCCATGCCCCTTCAAATTAAAAGAGTTCCCTCTACTAATATATTAACTAAAATGAAATATTAATGGCTGTCCTCTATTATTTATTGGCTGTTTTTGGAGAATAAAATATTGAGACCCAAAGAGGAATCAATTTCTATGAAACCTCCCTTTCCTGAGAGGGCTTGATTCGTGCCACATAATAAAGAGACAAGCTTATCAGCCGCATCAGTTCAAAGACATGTGCTGTAAATGTTGATTTTGAACCA
Organism: Homo sapiens; assembly: GCF_000001405.40. Classification (NCBI taxonomy): domain Eukaryota; kingdom Metazoa; phylum Chordata; class Mammalia; order Primates; family Hominidae; genus Homo; species Homo sapiens. The sequence goes on from NC_000016.10 coordinate 65,974,792, forward strand.
ATAAGAAGATTATAAGCACTGTCATAAAATATCCTTTCAGGATGTAAATTATTCAAAGCCCTTCGTGGGCAGACACAGTATCTCATGCCTCAGTGATCCCACTCTATTCAACACATCTCATTTATTAAAGCCAGAGAGGCTCTCTGTTGATAAAGCCCCCTAAATAAATGATAACCTTCATCTCCTTCTTCCAAATTATTTCCACGATTAGAATTTGAAAGGTTCATGCTGGAGGTGTCATGTCAAAAAGTATGGCCTCTGTAAACCATGCACGCATCTTCATTGGCAAGCTCAGCTTCACGTGACAGTCAAGCCCCAAGCCCCCATTTGTTAGAGCAGGGCAATGGGTCTAGCAGTGCAGACAAGCTCTGAGGGCTCATCTTTACAATGCTCATCTGCGAGATGCAGGGTGTAACGGAATGAAAGGGCTTGGGCTGCAAATCTGCCTTGCCGCTCAGTCTCATTATGACCCTGCATGACTCAGCATTACCCTGCATGACTCAGCATTACCCTGCATGACTCAGCACAATGCAGCATGCCCTGAGCAAATCACTCAACCTTTCTAGAACTGAGTTTCTCTTACAGGTAGGTAGGAAATAATATGTGCACCCCCCAGGCACAGAGTCTGGCCAATAGTAGGTTCTCAGTAAATACTTTTCACTGGATCACCAACCATAGTATAGACCCCTTGGGGCAGGCTTCTTCTTATTTCCTCAAGGCATCTCAGAAGCCATGGAGTATCCTGAGCAGCTGTGCCTGCCTCAAAAGGTTCCAAGAGACGGCCCATCCTGGACTCATCTCTGACCTTCGTTCACAGAAACCCTACCCAACTTTGAGGGTCCAATTCAAATGCTATCTCCTCCTTGAAGTATTTCATGATTCCTTCACTTGAATTCTATCTTTCCTTTCATCCATTCCCAAGTATTCATACAGTGCCCCCCATGTGTCAAGCATCGCTCTGGGCTCTTTACAGAGGGTAGCTTGTGTAATCTTCATTACAATCCTGCAAGACAAGTCTTCTTGCTTCTATTTGATAGAAGAAGGAATTAGGCCCAGGGAAATTATCTTGCTCAACATCACACATGAGTAAGAGATGGGACCAAGATCTGAACCAGGTTTGACTTGATTCCAAAGCCCATGCTCTTTTCTTTCAGCTCCACTGGCCACCCTGCTGTTGCTGGACCCACAGCTCAATGCTTTCTATCTGGGATTCACTTACCTTGTTGAGCATGCCTCAGTTCTGCTGAGAATAGGTCTCAGAGCTTGTCATGGATGCTACAGCTCCATCTGCCTGGCTTCCAGCTGGAATAGCATCCATTTACTCATGATACCTCCAATCCCTACAAGACTTCCTCAGCCAGACCTAGAAAGACAGCACTGACTTATATCCATTTCTCCCATTTCTCCATTAACCATTCTGTTCCTCAATTTCTTCATCGATAAAATGGGATCAGAATGGTACCTATCTCAGGCAATAGCTATGAAGATCAGATGAGGTCATGAATACAGAATGTTTTGCACAAGCCTACCACAGTTGATGCTCAATAAATGTTAACTACTATTTGTTGGTATCTTAAAGGTTTCTGGCTAAGTCATTCTGACTCCAAATCCATGCTCTCCCTGGTATTGCAGATAATTTTTCATGCCCATAGCAAAAACTTGGCATATAATGGTCAGCAAGTCATGAATTGCTGGCGAATTCTCTAATGTTTTCCAAAGAACATGCTAATTAGTGTCGAGAGCAGCTACATAGGACAATGAAGGGTACACAGGCTACGGAATCAGACAGGCTAGAGTTTAAGTCTTGGCTATGATACTTTCTAGTGGGTAGTCCTGGGTGAAGTCACTCAATCCTTCTGGAGCCTGTGCTTTCATGTCTGTAAAATAGGGGGTGGGGGACAGTCTAGATACCAAAGCTGCTAAGTGAAAAAAGAAACTGTCATCAGGAATACCATAAATGCTCATTTCCTTCCTCCCTTCCACCTTTTCCTTTCATTTTTCCTCTTTCCTCTCCCAACTCTCTACCTCCCAGTTTCCTGCCTCTGCATCTTATGAATGTCACCACCAGGACTGTGCTCCATCTCCTGCCTGTTCTTGTGTTTTTGGTGGGAGTCTGGTGTGGACCCATTCATTAGTTTGACCTCATCTCTCTGGAGGGATATAATAAATTCTTCAGCAACAAGGACCAGAGCCTTCCTCATCTTGAGTGACAGTAGCTGCTTAGACATGTTCCACAAATGCCCATGAAAGGAATCATTCCCATCAACAATGAAAGGGAACTGCTGGCAAAAAGAAAGGCCCTCAAACCAATCCTTAAAACTCACCATCTTTCTCCATGCTATAGGTTATATCACAGCAAGGACCCATTATTCTAACACAATAGTAAGAAGACAAAATGGTGGTTCATTGTTATGGTGCCCAAACCAAGCTGTACTATTTACAATAGCAAAGACATGGAATCAACCTAGATGCCCAGCAATAGTGGACTGGATAATGAAAATGTGGCACATGGCACATATGCACCGTGGAATACTACATAGCTTTTTTTTTTTTTTTTTGAGATGGAGTTTCGCTCTTGTTGCCCAGGCTGGAGTGCAGTGGTGCAATCTCAGCTCACTGCAACCTCCACCTCCTGTGTTCAAGCGATTCTCCTGCCTCAGCCTCCCAAGTAGCTGGGATTACAGGCATACGCCACCATGCCCAGCTAATTCTTTGTATTTTTAGTAGAGACGGGGTTTTGCCATGTTGGTCAGGCTGGTTTCGAACTCCTGACCTCAGGTGATCTGCCCTCCTTGGCCTCTCAAAGTGCTGGGATTACGGTCATGAGCCACTGCGCCCAGCCACAGCTATTTTTTAAAATAAGATCATCGCCTTTGTAGCAACATGGATGGAAGGAGAGGCTATAATCCTAAGTGAATTAATGCAGGAACTGAAAACCAAATCCCACATGTTCTCACTTATAAGTAGGAGCTAAACATTATGTACGAATGGACACAAAGAAGGAACAATAGACACTAGGGTCTATTCGAGAGTGGAGGGTGGGAGGAGGGTAAGGATTGGAAAACCACCTATTGAGTATTTTGCTAATTACCTGGATGATGAAATAATCTGTACACCAAACCCCCAAGCAATTTATCCATGTAACAAACCTGCCCGTGTAACCCTTGAACCTAAAAGTTAGAGAGAAAAAAATTTAATGCTCCCATGTGTACAACAAAATACACACAAACATAAACACAATGAAACAATGCAAGAATTACTAAGTGTTCTTCGCATGGATATTGCAAAGTTCCTTGCAAATTCTTCATAAGGAATGGATTCTCTGAATTACTACTACCCAGAACACAGAAACCATTTGATTCATTTTGTTCACACAGCAGTTCTGCCTTGTCAAGAGCTGACAATCAGACATGCAAAACAAGTGCTATATATCAATTTTGCAAAAGTGTCACTTTGGGAAAACAGAACCAAAACAAATTGAAAAATCATACAAATAATTACTCGGAGTCTCAGCTCTAACATGAAAAAGAAGGTACAAAGGCAGAAGTGCTAATTAATATGACTGTGTAATTACACGGGCCCACATTAATAAACTGGAATTACTCCAGATTTCCAGCAGGCAGCCCATCTTCATGTGTGATCTCAGAGGTGTGGGCACAGAAGGGAAAATGCTTGGGTTTCCTTTGCCAGGTGCCCAGCTGGAAAGGCATCAGGAAAAGGGAATGTGAGGCCTCCATGCAGGAGAACTAGGCCCTCCTAGCCTCACCTCTCTGCTCAGACATGTTGAGCCCTTGTCTACATCAGCAGGTACAAGCTTCCACCAAGACATCTTCTCTAATTAGGAAGTCATTCCTCATGCAGCTACAACAGCCCAACCACAACATGCTAAGGACAAAATTAAACCCAACACAAGCAAGGGATGGGATTTATGAAGCAGCCAGTACATGCTCTTCTCCCTTCTCTCCCTGTCTTTCTATATCTATGTCTCTCTCCCTGCCTCCTAGTTCCCCCACTTCTCTCTCAATTTGTTTTGGTTTCTGTTTTCCCAAACTAATACTTTTGCAAAATTCATACGTATCACTTGTTTTGTATGTCTGATTGTCAGCTCTTGACAAGATAGAATTGCTGTAGGAAGAAAATGTATCAGACTCAGTCAGGTAGACGGTATCATCTATAAAAAAGTAATTATCTCACTCTATAGCAGTGAAAACCAAGCCTCCAAAGGTCAGCTAATCTGATTTTGCCAAAGCCACATAACTGGAAAACAGAAGCTTCTGAATTCAAAACTCTGGGTGTCTGAGTTCAAAGTCTTTTAATTACAGTAAGCTTCTTTCTAGAAATTAAAAATGCTTCCACCTCCCCTACTTAGAGCTACAGCATTCATTTGATCATGCATTTATCCAATAAAGTCGATCATGTGCCCATTATGTGCCAGCTTTGGGCTATGTCCTGAGAATACAATATTGAGCAAAAATTGACCCAGACCCCACTTTCAAGGAACAAAGACAGTGAGAGAGAATGTCATAAATAAAATGATCACACAAATAAATATGTTTCCATTGTCTTTGATCACAGCTACATAGCAGAAAGAAATAGGGCTATAAGAACTTATAAAAGTGAGGGTCAAGTGATCAGGAAAAGCTCTGGTGAAGAATGGTTGAAGTGTGATCTGAAAGATAAGTGCAAATGTGTAATATGTAAAGAGAAAATAATTTATATGAATATAGAAGAGTGTTCTGTACTTGCTCCGTTTTCTTCCTGTCCATTGACTTCTTAACCTGCTCCAACCTAACCTGGCTTCTGCTCCCATCATTCTGTCATTGAAGTTCATACAATAAATTTTATGGACGTGTTCAATCCTCAGCTTGAGCCTTCAGGCATTTTGGACAGCATTGCTACTTCCTTCTCCTTGAAATCACCTCCTCCTTGACTTCTGAGCCAGAACTTTTCTGGTTTTCCTCCTGCCTTTCTGGATCCTCTTTGAAAATTGTTATGACTTCATCAATCTCCTCTTTTGTAAGTGTCCTTCAGGGCTTGGTCATGGGCCCTTCTCTCTCTTGTTTTGTTTTCTTTCCCTGGGCAATCTCATCCATGCCACAGCATTACTTATACTTTACTATGGTGACTCTCAAAGTTATATCTCTAGCCCCTTCTTCTGGACTCTAGATCTCTATTTCCAAGTTGCCTGATAGACCACTGTTCTTAGGTGCCTCAGAGGTACCTCAAACTTAGCAGAATCAAAACTGAGTTCATCTTGTGACCCCCAACTCCATCTCAGCACCATCCATCCAAGTTGCAAACCAGAATCCCAGGCAATATCTGTGATCTCTTTCCCTTCTTGTCTTATAAGGAAGAATGAATAATGGCCCCCAAAGATGTCCAGGCCCTAATCCAGGGAACCTGTGATGTTACTCTATTGGCAGAAGAGAACATTAAATACATGATTAACTTAAGGTTCTTGAGATGGAGAGATTATCCTAGATTATCAGGGTAGATCCTAAATGTAATCACAGGATCCCTTACGAGAGGGAGGCAGAGGAAGATTTGATGGCAGAAGAGGAGAAGGCCATGTGGTGGCAAAAGAAGAGATTAGAGCGGTGCAGCGACAAGCCAAAAAATGTCAGTAGCCACTGGATGCTGGAAGAAGCAAGCGATGGAGTCTCCCTTGGAGCTTCCAGAAGGAACTAGTCCTGTCAACACTTTTATTTTCAGCCCTGTAAGACTCATTCCTGACTTCTGGCCACCAGAACTGTAAGACAATACATTGCTGTTGGTTTAAGCCATGAGTCTGTAGCAATTGGTTACAGCAGCAATAGGGAACTAGTACACCCTACTAATCTATCCTAACCAGTACTTTTGATTTTGCTATCTCAATAACTCCCAGATGCATCTACTTTTCTCCATCTCCCCACCTCCTTCCCTTCCAATATCTCTCAAATGAGTGGGTTCCACAGTTTCTGGCTTCCCATGACTCCTAATATAGAGAGCAAAATCTTTGGCATGACCCCCAAGAACTTGCTTGTCCTGGTCCTTGTCTGCCTTCCCAGGCTTTTCTCACACTCAGGACACACATAAGCTTTCTTTCAGATCCTGGAGTGTTCTAATCCCCATCCCCTACATGGCCTTTGCATGTCTTTCTTATTTGGTTTAGGATGCTTGTTAATTTCAGATCATAGCTGAAGTGGCACAACTACAACATATTCCTTCTGATCTCCCAGACTGGGTTCATCTGGCACATAGAAGACTAAAGACTACAATTTTACATTAATTTTTAGGATTGTTTGGTGTGTGTCTAACTCCCTAGGTGGCCTTCAGAGAATAGGGAGAGAATGGGACTATGACTGGTTTTGTCCACCACTATATTCCCAGCATCTAGCAAAGTACCTAGCACACAGCAAGCGTCAACAAATATTGTTTGGATAACTCCCAGAGTCCAGGGAAGTGTCTTTGAGTGTGTGTGTGCATAGGGTTAGCAGTCTTAGTATTTGGCTTTGTCCCAGCACATCTAGGCAAGTGGTTAGAGGAAGGGAGGTAACAGGAGAAGAACTTGATTGCACACAGCAATGGCCAAGGAATCTCCAGAATTAGAATTTCATCTTCCTCAGTGTCATCTTCAAAGGATGGGTGCTGGGTGGGGTTATTGTTCATTTACGATTCACAACCATCAATGCATTGGGATTTTCTCCACCACATAGCCTACTCCCCCAATTTTTAGGCCTGTATAGTCGCCTTGGCCATCTTCCCTTGGGTTTCTTAAAGCACTTTGGAAATTGTCTATAAGAGGGCAGGGTCTTCAAATAGCTCCTCCAAGTCCTAGGTTTTAAGTGAAGGCATTCATAGCCCAGCCCAGCTGGGATAAGAATGGTTCTGAGTTAATCAGAGAAGCCCCTCTTTATCTATTTTGTGTACTAGGATTCCAAATAGGATTTTTTTAATAAAATGTTTTTGTGACTAGAAAGAAAGAAAAAAGTTTGTAGACCATTATTATTATACTTATTTGCACCACACTTTATACATTTCAGAGTATTTGTTGATTTGTTTCATTTGGTTCTCACATGAACCCTTCAAGCTAGAAGGAGATCATTAACTTCAGTGGACAGATAACAAAATGACTCAAGGAGCTTAAATAACCTGCCCAAGATCACGCATCTCTTACAGGACAGAGCTGGGACTCAATCCTCTGACACGGGACTTCATGCAGGCCACAGAATGGTGGTTGGAGCCAATTTTATCTATTCATTAAGGCACCAGATGACTTCAATGAACATTTAGGTTTCTTATGCCTGGAGAGAAAATAGCATACCATTTTCACACTGTTTTCCTCCAGGTGGCAAGATTGTGAGTAAATTTATTGTCTTCTTTATGCTTCTCTGTAACATCCACAATGTGCATGCATTAATTTTATAATTAGAAAACATTAGAAAATAAGGAAGTATGATTATAAAGTAAGTCAAGGGAATAATGGAAAACAGGAAGATCTCCTACTCACCCTGGGAGGGGACAAGGGGACATGACTGATCATTTGGTGCTGGCTCGAAGCTTGCTTTGCCAATTACCATTTGTTTAATCCTCAAGTCTCTTAACCTCTCTGAGTCTCAGTGTAGCTACTTGTAAAAAGGAGAAAATAAACCTACCTGCATTGGTCAAAGCTCTTAGCAGTAAATGGCAGAAATACAACTTAAGCCAGCTTAGAGTGAGGAAGGAATTCACTGAGTCTTATGAATGAGGGGCTGAGGAATTTCATTGCAGACATGGCCACCTCTCCATCTGTGAGATTTGCCTTCCCATTCTTCCGTCTTAAGCACTCTCTCACCCTGTGCCTGGAAAGACGGGAAAGGCTTGCTCTTACCCACCCACATTAGCAAGTCTGGTGGAAATAAAAACCACTCTCAGAGCTCATATACCAAGCCCAAGGATGGTTTTGATAGGTAGCCCACACTTAGATCTTTCACCCTCCCCAAAACCAATCATGGTGGCCAGGTAATAACCAATCCCATGTACTTACCCGAGTACCCAGTAGCCTCCTTCCTGGAGAACTGTCTGTCACGTGCTAAATGCTGAATGAGACAAACTCCTGGCCAGTCCAGATGAGGTGGGCATTTCCATTAGCCAGGAGGTCTAATTTATATGTGCTGCTTGAGGGTTTAATTAGCTTGTGAAATGCATTTAAATGATAAGTTTTGCTTTAAAAAATTTCAGTACTTGGCAGGGAAAAGAGAAAAACCTTAAAATCAAGGTGACAACACAGAAACAAAGAAACGTTTTGTCAGAAAAAAAGAATATAAACATAAGAAACTGGGTTTGGAAGAAAATTGTCACGGCCCCGGGTTCAGAGACAACATGTATGTAGCCCATTACGTAGACTAAACCCTGTGTGCCCACCAAGTCCTCTGCTGTGAGCTCCTTTTTGGAGGGCGGGGGCCTTAACTACGCTTTGAAAATTGGAGACAAGCATTGCAGAAGATGCTCCTCTCTCGATAAAACTCCAAATAAATTAGATATTGAACAAGATGCTGAGATCCTGGCAAGAATGCACAAAAAATTGGGCCTCAGGCTGTTGGGAGATGATAAATTGTCAGTTTTCTCTTTAATAAGATTGTGTCTCATCACCATCTCCTGTAAGGGATTTGATAGCTTTTGTTTTTAACCTGTGAAGATTAAAATCAATTCCCAACTACAGCTGGGAGCCCCAAGTCATAGAGGCACAAAGATACCAATTAATCAATCAATCAGTCGGTCAATAGATCAGCATGTCCATATTGAGGCCAGTTTTTGCTGGTCATCTGGGGCAGGAAGAAGAATTAGAAAAATGACCCTGCAGATGCTGCCTGAGGGAAGCCACGCTTCAGAAGGCACTGTTTACAACTTTTAGGGGAAGAGGAAACCTATTTCCATTAGAATTACACTGGGTAGGCAGGGTCCTGTCTTCTCATCCGTCTTATTTTATGGACATACTTGATTTTGGATCCTGGATTAACCACAGACTTTGACCTAGCCTTTTGACCTGCTCAGATGCCCACACTGGAAATGTCACTCTTCATGTATCAGCTGGGTTTCTGGGTCCTACCTCGCTCCCAGGGCATTGCAAAAGAGGCAGAAATGAGAAAGAGGCGTCAGACAGAGGCTCAAATTCCACCGCCGCCATTTTCTACTTTTGTGACTTTGCATAAGATATTCAGCCCCTCTTAGCCCTAGTATGTTTAACCACCAAAGCAGAAATATGGACTTTATATATTTATAAAGTCCATACTTTAAAAAGTCCATATTTTTATAAAGTCCATTTAAATAATATGGACTTTGAAGCCCTGCAAGGATTAAATGAGATCACGTATGTGGAATGCTTAAAATGAGACACAGTTAATGGTAGTTTGTTAACATTACAATCAATTGTCATTGGTGGTAGTAATGTTCTTTCCCCTAGCAGGTTACTCCTAGATTAGATTTTTTTATTTTTTTTGTTAATTTTTAGTGTTGATAAAAAATGTATATTGGCATGTTTTGCTTCTCTGTTTTTTATTGTTTTTCCCCACCTCCAAATGGACTTTCTTACTCTACCATAATCCTATTAAATTCTACAGACTTCCACTTACATGACACAAATACCCCTCTGGCTTCAGCCCAAACAGAAACTAATTGTCCCCTTGTTCGCCTATATGTGAGTTTGTTTTTCCAGATGAAACATTTCAGACTCTGTTTTCTTGTCCCTTGGCATTTTTTAACAGCCAACACTGTACGAGTTAGCCACAAAGACAGGGTTTCCTGGAGCAAGGAAGTAGGAGTGTGTGAAGCAAGTGCCTGTGTTTGAAGCCACATTTCTTAATTTCAGCTGAGAAACAGCTGAAAGAGCATGATATAGAGCAGAGCATACAAACTTGGAGATCAGAAAAGGCAACGTCTTCATTAGCCCTGCCTCTACCTCTGTGAGCTATGTGTCTCTGGGTTTATTACTAAACCAGTGTAACATCAACAATCGTTCTTTCCCCTCGAAGAATGAAACTGGCATGATTAATTGACACCATTTCCTTAAATATTTTGCAAAATAACATTAACAAGCCTTGAGAGTCATCACTCCCCTTGAGGTGAGGAAATAAAGGGAAAGATTTCTATGGGAGGCTCCAGAGAAAGGAGACTAAGACAGAAAAGTGGGAAACACAAGTTCAAGTCCTGGTCCTACCATCAGGGTATGCGTGACCTCGAACAAACGTCCTTTCCACTCTGGCCTCAGTTTACTCATTAGAACATGAAGAGATTTAGAGAAAAGGATCAATTAGGTATCCCTCCAGCTCTGGCAGTCAGTCACATTCTGGTCTGAGACTTCTCATGCTATAAAATCTTATTGCTATGATCTCTCCCCTCTGTCTTAACAGCCACACAACTGTTACCTCTTGCTTGTCAACAGTAATAATCACCAGTATTTATTGAATGACAAATATGAATCAGAGACTGTGCCAAATGCTGTACACACCTTTTCTTATTTAATTCTCACCACAACTCTCTGAGGCACACTCAATTGTTATCCCCAGGTGAGGGCTGAGGAACCCCAGGCTATGAAAGGTAGCAGGACTTCTTACTTACAAAACATTTCTGGGGCTTGAAGTCCTGAATCCACGTTGTGTACCACCTCTCAACAATTATGACTGTAGGAGCTAAACTTTTCCTTTGCCCTCTTGAAGTCTCACTGAAAAACCAACTCACAAATGGCAGATTAATAAGAGAAAAGGCATTTCTCAAGGAGCTAAAAGTAGAACTGACACTCTATCGAGCCATCCTACTACAGGGTATCTTCTCAAAGAAAAAGAAGTTATGATATCAGAAAGACACCTGTATGCACACATTTATCACAGCACAATTCACAACTACAAAAACATGGAACCAACCTAAGTGTCCAGCAACCGAGTAGATAAAGAAAATGTGGTATATCTCCACCACAGAATACTAATCAGCCATAAAAAGAACAAAATAATGTATTTTGCAGCAACTTGGATGGAACTGGAGGCCATTATTCTAAATGAAGTAACTCAGGGATGGAAAACCAAATACTGTATGTTCTCACAAGTGGAAGCTAAACTATGGGTATGCAAAGGCATATAGAGTGGTATAAAGCAGGGATCCCCAACCCTTTGGCCACAGATTGGTACCAGTCTGTGGCCTGTTAGGAACTGGGCCGTACAGCAGGAGGTGAGCAGCCAGTGAGCATTACCACCTGGGCTCTGCCTCCTGTCAGATCAGTGGCAGCATCAGATTCTCACAGGAGCCCAAACCCTATTGTGAACTGTGCATGCGAGGGATCTAGGTTGTGGGCTCCTATGAGAATCTAATGCCTGATGATCTGAGGTGAAACAGTTTCATCCTGATAGCATCCATTCCCAGCCCTGGTTCTGTGGGAAAATTGTCTTCCATGATACTGGTCCCTGGTGCCAAAAAGGTTAGGGACTGCTGGTATAATGGGCATTGGAGACTCAGAAGGGAAAAGGATGGGAGGAAGATAAAAGATTAAAAACTACATATGGGTACAATGTATACTACTCAGGTGACAAGTGCATTAAAATTTCAGACTTTACCACTATACAATTCATTTACAGGTACACAAATGTATTAATATGTATACAGGGAGAACCACAGGTGATCACCTCCCCTCACCCCCACCATGGGGTTCAGAAGCTTATAAACCATCCTAGCAAAACAGGTTATGGGAGGGAGAAAAGAGGAATTCTGTTAAGGGGCAATAAAGGATCAGTAAGGAGATTAATGGATCCTGGAACAGGATTAATTTGTAAACAGTTTTCTTGGGAATTTGAATGAGCCCGAGAGACAGATATTATTTCGTGAAAGGGTCTGTTCAGGTGTGGTTACATTCTTGGCATTACAGAGAGCTGAAGGAAAAACAATTTTTCCTTTTGGTGGGTCTGGGTCTTAGGCAGGTAAAGGAACTTCAACTTCATCCTGTGCTTTGGGAGAGACAGTGGTACAGGGTTTTGGAAAGGTAAGAGGGACTTTGAGGCTTCTTCATTTCAGCATGTCAAAGAGCTATACTTTGGGGTATTGCTTTCTGAGCCCCAACATGATCTGGGCTTCCAAGATACAGAACTTGCCAAGGTCGCCTCTACCATCCAAGGTGTCTCTAAAGCATCTTCCTTTCTTCTCAGGTCTTCCTGCTCCCCCCATCCCACCCTATTGTTTGGGCTTTGACTTAGGTATTTGACAAGAGGAAACATGGGGCAAGGGATAGTTTACCCATGGAGATGGGCTGAACAGAGTTAGAATCCCTCTCTGCCACACAGAATGTGTACTCTTAGAAGACCTCCCCAAGCCTAGCTGTTATCCTATGGAGCACTCCTGTCCATGAAGCTATTGGGAGAGTTAAGTAGGATTCTGTAAATTAAAGTGATACCAACCAGAATACCACTGAGCATTGGCTCTGTCTCCCCCTACTTATATCCCACTGTCTGTTAAGACCCAACCCTTGAAAATTGCTTTCCTTATTTTTGGAATTTACCTATTCCTCCTTGAATCAGTCCAGATCCCAAAAAGTAAGAAATCACACACTGAAAATAGAGTGACTCAAAAAGTTTCTTTCTGAAGGGCTGGGTAGGAAAATGTGGGTAGAGGATACTAAAGGGATAAGAAAATATCTGGGGCTTGGTAGAAGCAGAACTTTACCATCCCTAGGACCAAAAGGCTAAGAGGCAGGAGTAGTTACCAGGAACCAGGGAATGAGAGGCATGGAGAGTCAGCTTCCTCGGGAGGAGCCATGGTCTTCAGTCGAAGGACACAGCCGGCCAAGAGGGGACTTTGCAGGGAGATTGTTAGGGGATAAATACTCTGACTTCATCCTTGGATATGAAAATTAATTCCTGAAATATAGAATTGACCCAAGCTATTTTGATAAAGTACCACGATGACATTGACCCTTAGTCAAGCCATGAAATGTAGTGATTAATAATGTTGTTTTGTAACTATCAGCCCAAGGAAATTGGAACTGGTTTGCACGAGTTTGTTAGCATGGTTTACTGACAACGGTGAGATGGATGATTTGCATTCTCTGACCTCCCTCCAAACTCTTTGTGTGGCTCCACATTGGCTGGACCCAGTTGGAAGCAGCAGGCAAACGAACCCATTGATATCATTCATACAATTCAGCTTCTGGGGCAGAAAATAGACAGGAAAATGGTAGGGAGTAGATCTTCCCATTGCTCCGCTGTCACAAAGTCTATGTCCCTTGCATCACACTTGCTGGGCCCTTCTTTACATGGGATATCACACATGTGGGTATGCTGGCCTCACCTACCTAATGGTGAGCCGCCTAAGGGCATGCATCCCCCTTCCTTCCCATGAGCATCTCCCACCACCCATCTCAGTGGCTGGCATAGAGGAGGTGCAAGGCTACGTGTAACTGAATCTCCAGGAGAAGGATCAAGCATCATGGGCAACCAGCCAGCTGCTTGCTTTCCCTAACGCTGGTTCCAAAAATTGCTGCTAAAGACCTTGCCAGTTGCTGAGCAGCTACAGAGACATTCCAGAAGGTAGAGAGAGATCGCTGAGGGGAGACAGTGGGTTTGCGGGTTGATGCCTGGTCGTAACAATTCTCCAAGTGCCTCCTCCAGTGACTTTAGATAAATAGAGATGGGAATCACATTTCAGTGTGACAGCTTAAATGGCATGTCAAGAAACAATTAAAAAGATCTAGTGCAACATGGTCCTGAGAGATTTTTGTCAGACTGAATATGCTTCCCGCCAGGGCTGATGTGGGGGTGATATAGCCCGTGAGCCCATGTTCAGGGCCTTGAATTCTCAAAGGCAGGCTCCTGTGAGACCTGGGACTGGAGACTATGTAAGCCTGGAGAATTTGACCCTTTACTGCTTGTCAGTGTTTTCTAAATCACCTGTAATCAGCAGCACAAAACATCCACCTGGCAAATCTCCACCAGAACATGCTAACTTCCAATCCCAGTCGAAACCCCAACTGCGAGAAACAATAGAGTATTGCCTGAAGGACATGTTGTCCATCACTCCTTTAGATCAGCAGTTTTTCAGATTACCTTCCCCAGAGCCCTGGAATTCCCGAGGGTATCCCTGAGGTTCCCTAGAAACCAATTCCCTATCTCTACCCCAACGCAGAGAATGGGAGGTATGATCTGTTGCGTAGTAGGTACTGGAGTTGCATATAAGAAATCAGCTTTTTAAAAAAAGGATGCTTATCCCTTGAAAAAACAAAAGCCATCACTTTTGCATAAATTTTTTTTTCTGCGATCAAGTCAGATGGTGAGAATTCTGCAAGCCTCGGTCATGTTACTTTGCTCTGCTGCCCTTAGAATTTCTGGAAATAAAATAAGCGTCAGTGGAATCCCATCAGCCCACATTGTGGGACCCCAAAGGAAACAGCCTGTTGAAATTCCTGATATGTCTCTTGAAGGGCTCCTTTTGGTGAATCCATGGCAGCATTTCCTCTTCTGTATCAGGAAAGGTTGATTCCAGTTTGATTGTGTCATGCATCCACTATGGGCTGGGAAATTCAACTTGTTTCCCTCTTAGCCTTGGCCTCTGGGACTCTCAGTGCTATTTCGGCAGCAACTTGCAATGGTACAGAACTTGTGCTCTTACAGATTCTAATCCCTGCCCCAGCTCCCTCAGTAATATATTTTGTTATTTTCAATTGCATTTATTTGTATGAGTTAATTCAGAATATATGCATTACCACTCATTTGTTAAAAAAAAAAAAGAGAGAGAATATAAATAAATAAGCGTAGGTGGCTCTTGAAGCAAAAGAAAGCAACTTCCTTCATTTGGTGGGGCTTTTGTCCCCCACTCCCACCCCAGACATACTCTAATTCTGATCTGTGGAATACACTGGCTTTTCTCATTGCCTGCTGACAAATCTCTCAGCTCCCTACGGGTGGAAGGACCACACCTTAGATTCAAGTCTACACTGGGGATGGAGCATAGAGAGGGCAGGCAAAGAGGAGCTAGGGCCTTGGCTCATGTCAGGAAAGACAGGCAGGGCCAGGCACACTGGCTCAAGTCTGTAATCCCAACACATTGGGAGGCTGAAGTAGAAGGATCGTTTGAGCCCAGGAGTTCAAGACCAGCCTAGGCAACGTAGTGAGACCCCATCTCTACAAAAAATAGAAAAATTAACTGGGCATGGTGGCACATGCCTGTAGTCCCAGCTCCTCAGTAGGCTGAGGCAGGAGGATACCTTGAGCCCAGGAGGTCAAGGCTGCAGTGAACTTTGATCACACCACTGCACTCTAGCCTATGAGAACTCTAGCCAAGTTCTGTTGTTGTTAGAAACATGCTCTCCACCTAACCTCCATGTCCCTGCCAAAGGCTCTTGCAACATCCTCTGACTAGATTGAGACCCTGTAGAAAAAGAAAGAAAGAAAAAAAGAAAGAAAGAAAGAAAGAGAGAGAGAGAAAGAGAGAAAGGGAGAAAGAGAGAAAGAAAGAGAGAATGAAAGAAAGAGAGAGAGAGAGAAATAGAGAAAGAGAGGAAGGAAGGAAAGGAAAAAGAAAGACCCAGAGATATTTTATTACTCACTTTCAACACAAGTTTTAGAAATAGAGACAGAGCCAGGGTCACTCCCAGCTTCCCCCGGTCCTGCATTCCCCAGGATCATCATGTCTGACCCTAGGATATGTCCGCAGACAGGAGGTCTGGAATTTGTTTTGCTGCCATTGACCCAGTCTCAGGCTTTGATATTTTTAAATTTCTGCATTGAAGAATCCTTGTTTTGCTAAGACGAGAGAACATAACCTGGGGCCTCCCAGAAGCTACATTTGTTTCCACGATTCTGCTGTCTTGATTGATGACATGGAGTGAGCCTCCTGTGATAGCAGGGTACCCAAGAGGGCTGCTTCTTTGTGTTTGGACGTGCATGGCACACGCACAAACACATATACCCATGTGCTGAGACTTGCATGAATTTGGAGTCAGAAAGACTTGAGCTCAAACATTGGTTCAGCCACTTACCAAATGTATGTGTGTGCCTTTGGGCAGGTTTTCTAACCTCTGTAAGCCACACTTTCCTTTTGACCATAGGTAATACTGTTTTATTTCCCCTACAAGCCAAGGAGGTAAACATTAGTATTAATAACAGCTCCAGTTTAACTGGTTGCTTAAGCTCTCTGTGCCTCAGTTTCTTACATATAGAGTGGGGATTATATCCATGCTTACTTCACTGGGCTGCTACGAGAACTGAATAAGAAAATGTATGTAGAGAACTCAGTGTGCAGCCTGGACAAAAAGTCTGTTTATTGTGTGCATATCTGCAGAAGATAAAAACTTACAGCCTTTTGGTATGTTTTCCTTGATCCAGGGGGAATGTGACCTATGGTCGTGACATGTGCTGTGCCTGATGGCCATATGGATACTCCAGGGAAGGAGCCTCTTACTGCCGGTTTGGGCAGGTCCTTTTGATTTAGCTGTGGACTAAAGCCATGGTCATTGTCTGCCAATCAGTGCCTTAATGTCTGTGTACTTCTGAAGCCTTATTGCCAGGTGATGCCCCCTTGCCAAGTTCTGTTGTTGTTGGAAAGATGCTCTCCACCTAACCTCCATGCCCCTGCCAAAGGCTCTTGCAACATCCTCTGACTAGAGTGTTGGGCACCACTAGTACTGCAGTCCACCTGCCAACCCCCAGTCCCTCTCTCATCTTCTGCTGTGGCTGCTGACATCCCCTCCTCATCACCTCTCCAGTAGGTGGCTCTAGAATCAGGGGCTGTCCTTCCCTATGGGCTCTATCCCACCACAACCCACTGCAGCATGCACAGCCATTCTTGTGAAGTGACAAGCATGGATGCATTCAGAACAGCTTCACTGTACTGGAGCCCAGTGGAAGAAGGAATGTGCCTGCAGCCAGACCTGGGGAGGCTGCCATTTTTCTTCCTGAACCCTCCCCTCTCCCAAAGGGGCTATATTTAATTCATAATACTGGAGCTGGCACCGTTGCCAGATATATTTCCTTGCTGATTAAACATTAAACACACTAGTATTTCAAAGCATTTGAAATAACTCAGAACTACGGAAGGACTAATTGCTTCACTCTGTATATTCAAATTGTGATGTTACTTTTTTAAAAACGCATTCTTAAGTCAACTGTTGCATCAATTAATTGCAAATTTTCCAACAGTTAGCTGTAGTGTGATTAAAGCATATGAAAATAATCTTTTAATTAGCTTTCATTTTGAAACAAATAGACAATTAAACCAAAGAAGTAAGTGTGAAAATTCTGTTGATCTGCTCTTCTTGGGGAGGGAATGCTTGTACAAATAATGACCATATCATTGGAAATTATTTCCTTGGCTAGCCCGATGGTTGTTCAGTAACTTCATCTTTTCCCTTTTACATCTCTTCTATTTCTTACAACCCTGGTACCCCTACTGTTTTCCCCCAGAAGCCTAAAATATATAACTAGATGAATAATAGCCTTTCTCAAGCATGTATTTTTGAGCAGAGCTATTCCAAGTATCAGCCAATTCTTATTAAAAATATCATTGCTCACATCCCTAGCATTTAAAAAGAGAAAAAAAAATAAATCTGTTTTTGGCCACTAAAGTCATTAATTCTTTCACCCACCCTGTGGATCAGGGCTGAGATGATGGAGAGAGGAGAGGTGCCTCGGGCACAAGATTTAAGGAGGACATGCTCTCAGAGCCCCAGCCTGCACATACACCACCCTCAGGTCACGTGCCTTCTCAAATCTGGAACCTAGGCATATTGCTGGCCTCACCCCAGTCCCAGCCTTAGTAGTAAGAGTCATATGTAGGATACCTACTATGTGCTTCGTGCTATTCTAGAACCTGTTAATTAGGCAAAAGGAGAATCTTTTTGGTCCAAACCCTCTTCTGCTACATGCAAGGAGACTGCGGCCCAGAGAAAGGGAAGGGATGCCTGATCTGCTACAGAGAAAACAGAGATGGAGATGACAAGGTTCTGGTCCTTGTCCATTCAGTCAAAATGCATTTGTTGGGTATCTCTTCTGTATGTGGCATGTGTGAGAGATCTCCAGCCTGAGATGGGCAGCATTGCCAGGAAAGGCACACTCTGTCAGGCAACACAAGGGAGCTGAACTTGAGGTAATGGAGATTGAAAGCCATTTTTTGAGCTGGGTGAACTTAGGCTACTGGCTTAACATCTCTTAGCCTATGGATCATTTATTTAAATATAGATAATACTTGGGTGTAAGCACCATGAATAATAATGTAACATGTATTGCATAGTGACTGGCATAGAATAAATCATAATAAGTAGCATTTTGTAAGTACTATGCGCCACTAGGTCAAATGCTTTCTTTGCATTGTATAATTCTATCTGTAGAAAAACCCATGAAATAGGTATTGCAAACTTCATTTTATAGGTAAGAAAACAGGTTCAGAGAAACAAAATGACTTGCCAGCATTTACAAAGCTGGTAAGTGGCAAGAGCCAGGACTTAAACCAGTTCCATCGTATTCAAATGTTCAAGCTCTTAACTGTTATGCTAAAAGAAAGGGAGAAAATGATGGAGCTCAAATTTGGGAACATACCCATGGTTACCAGGATTCTTAGGGAAAGACCTAAAGATTTTAAATTCATCATCCAATCCCTTTCAGCTACCATTGCAAACACAATTAAGGGTGCCTGTTGGCAACATCAGCAGCAAGAGTAGTATTATAATCTCACCATGACGGAAACAATGTGTAAGATGTGAAAAAATCAATTTCCACATGATGGTACAGTTGCATCCAGATATTTTTGGACCTCAAGAATAGAACTATGGCATGGAACCGAATCATAGAATTTAAGAGTTGGAAGCAATCCTGTCTGCTGTGTAATCCAACCTCCCTGGCACCCTTGGCACAGATGGCACAGTTTTGTTCAGCTCCAGTAAGAGGGATCCATCCATCTCATCAGAAAACTCCTTCATTCTATTGAACTGAAACCTGCCCTTCCGTCCCATGGACCCACACAGAAACATAGCACCCCTGGACCAGGCTCATGCTGCCTCTCCCTCAAGGTGAAAATCCTCAGTCTTCTACCCATTCTCTACAGGGCGCTTTCTATTTTCCTCATCATCTCAACAATTCTTCCTATGACCACTGGGAATTTGACAGATGTAAGGTTAAATCCAGCTCCACCACCACAGCTAACCTCAAGGAAGCCAATTAACCTCTCAGAAATTCTGTTTTTTCCTCTATAAAGTAATTAACAGCTACTATAGCCATTTAGGGTTGTTGTATTAAGTATCTAAAATGAGATGAAACATGTAAGCATATACCCGCCCTGTATATGTAATCAATAAATGCAAACCCCTGTAATCATTACTGTGATTATTTCAGAGAGGCCTGAAGCAATGGAGAAAAGGAGGGACCAGCCTGTCAACCTTAAAGGGACAGAGCAAAGGTGAGGTCAGATCCACTGTTCCAAAGGGTAATAAGTAAATGAATGGTTCTCTTTCATAAAGCCCCCTGTGGGAGTCCTTCAGCTCTGACGTCTCTGCAGCTCTATTCAAATATCATTTTGGTTCCCCTAAATCATCACCAGAATGTGTTATCACAAATCACTCTGTGACTTGGCAGAATTGAGTGAAATGTGATCTCAAATCCTAAATTAAAGGAGTGGGGCATTTGCAATAGCACATTCATTTACACCATTTCATTTTGTTATTTCAGCTGTTAAGATGTTCAAAGCTCCCAGCAGGGAGCATTGGCCACAACAGAAGGAGGACACTGAGTTATGACAAGTCCTTGTCAGTCTTCCTTGCAAAAGCAAGAGTGAGCATGTGTTGCTGATGTGTGGTGATTTGCAGAGGGATCGGGGCTCAGCATCGGAGCCAAGTTAAATACACAAGGGCTTTCACAGAGGTCAAAATGTAGAGAGCAAATTACAAGAACCCCAGGGTACCTCCTTTATGCATCAAGCATTGGTGAGTACACGGAGTAAATGGTGAATGGAATTTTGGAGTGATGTGGTCTAAATGTCTATGTCCTCCTAAAATGTCTATATTGAAATTCTTACCCTCAAAGTGATGGTGTTAAGAGGTAGGGCCTTTGGGCGGTGATTAGGTCATGAGGGTGGGACACTGATGAATGGAATTAGTGAACTTATAAAAGAAGACTGAGAAAGACCCCTCACCCCTTCTGCTATGTGAAGTTAGAGTGGGAAGATAGCTGTCTCTGGGGAAGAGGCACTCACCGACATTGAATCTGCCAGTGCCTTCATCTTTGACTTCCCAGCCTCTAGAACTATAAGAAATAAATTTCTGTTGTTATAAGCCAACCAGTCTATGGTATTTGGTTGTAGCAGCCCAACAGACCAAGGCAGGGAGTGTCTACTTCATTTCCCTCCCATCTAGTTTCTACTCTACCTGCTGGGATAAAAACTCTAATGCTCCCAGTCTTAGAGACAGCAAAAGCCAGGTCTGCTGGTAATGCAACAGGAACATCTTAAGAACCCAACATAGGGATCTGGAGAGTATTGTGTACCCAGTGATCTGAATCTCAGACCTTAAAACCATGGGGCCAGTTAAGACCCTGACCCCTCTAGATCCATCACCACCTACCCTATCACTCAAGCTCTGATTGAGATATTCCCTTGGGCTCATCCGGTCAGTCACACCTAATTGTTCTGTCTCTCCTATGCCAAGCCTACCTGATTTTACTGGCTTTCTGGAGCATCAAGTTAGAAAAGCTGGGGTGGTTTCATCTTGCTTTAGAGGGAAATCTACATTGACAACAAATCCCTGCTATGGGCAAGGGAGAAATCTAGATATAGAGTGACACGTATTTGCCAAACTTGTGTCTCTGCCCCCATAGTCTACTTGTTGACCTAATCCATAGCAAGTAGTTTGTATTTTATTACAAATACAATAGAAATCCTTGAAAGAATGAATGGGACATGGGAGAAAAGGAGGAGAGGAATCTGGGTGTTTTTAGCTTGAACACCGGGGTAACATTTACTGAAACGGGGAAGATGGGCATCTGGAGGTCTGGAGTGGATACTCAATAGTTCTATTCTCAACATGTTAACTTCCAAATGCAAATCAGTCAAACAAAAATGTTGAAAAGATATTTAGAAATAGCAGATCTGGATATTAAAATGTTGATGTCATGGGCACATGAATTCACAGAGGCCAAGGAAAAAAAGGGTTTCAAGTATAAAAGTGTGGGCAACTCTGCCAAATGCTACTTAGTGGTCAAGAGGAAGCAGAAAGAGAGACTTGTTGGAATTAGTTACATGGAGCTACTTGGTGACCTCAAAAGCTGTGGTCTCAGCAGGTCAGAAGGGGACCAATCGCCCTTGGAGGAAGCTGAGTAGAGACCGGAAGGTGGGAAAGTTCAGACCACAGAGGCAAATTCTGAGACAACTTGAATGAAAGGAACAGGAAAGTGGATGGTGTCAATGGGTCAAGGTTGCTTTTGCCCTTTTTTTTGTTAAGATGGGAGATATTAGGTCACATGTGTATGTTGATAAGAATGATTCCTTAGCAAAGAAAGAAAATAATGAAACAATGTTTAAAGGGATTATTAAATAGAAAGTATAGCTTTTGTTGTGAGAAGTTCTGTTTGTTCATTTATTCATTAAAACATTCACTTAAGTACTTTCTGAATGGCTGCCATGTCATGTACCAGACAGACCAGTGTGGGTAGCAAATGGGTTAATTAAATTACTCTTGGCCCCCTCAGTGGATGCCAGAAAAGTCATCTCTCTTGGATCTCAAGCTGGAAGAAATGTTTAAGTATTTAATTACTGGGCTGATTTTCAGTGTCTAGAAGGCATTTATCTATTGCAAAGGTTTTCAAAGGTTGTAAGTAGCATAGAATAAAACCGTGAGTCTTTTTAAAAATTACAACCACTATAGGGGATATAATTGGAGAATATATATAATTGGAAAATGTAATTGGAGAATTATAGCCACCAGAGAACGTAGGTCCTCACGTAGCTAAGGTGTATGGTTTATCCTCAGCTGTTCTACATGGGAACACTTGCAGAAAGCATTAACACGCTTCTCTTCTAATCTATGTCCATGCCTACTAGACTAAATCCCAGCAGGAAGTGGCTATTCCCCACCTACACCACCCTGTTTTGAAGAACCATCCATGCTGGGATACAAAATGTCACCACCATCTCCTGCTTTTCCTGACCACTGCATTCTGGAAGCAAGGATCTGAAAGCAGATATGGAGTGAGAGAAACTGACACAGGTGAGAAGACTCAAGGTACTTCCATAGCTGCTGGGTGCTCTGGACAGGGCATCGCATCTCAATGCCTACACACAAAATGGATTTAGGATGGAGCCTCTTACACGGCTTCACATCTGACCTTTGCAGAGGGTGAATGGCCATCTAGTTTTGTTCTGAAAATTCTACCTTCTCATTCATAACTGGTGGAATGCCTCCAAGACTGGCAAATGATTGGCTGCTTAAGTAACTAAGGGAGTTTGGTTTTTGATTGTATTTCAATATTTCACCCTCTTGTCTTCAAGTTTGCAGTAAGAATGACTAGCTTGGCATTTTCCTCAGTATGGAAAGAAATTTTTTTAAAAGAATTATTCTATGCACTACTTTACCTCCACAAAGGAAGTGCAAGTACTTTGAGGTAAGAACCAATATATTGTTTAATAAACAATAATATTCATAAGAAGCTTAGGAGACTTCAGAATAACAATTATTAGTTAAATAGGAAGAGACTGATTGGGGAACAGAGCAAGAATAAAATGAGATGAGTTGGATGGGAATTAAATACTGATGAGGAGAAGGAAACTCAAGGTTGTCCACTGGGATATCCTACTTTTAAACCAAACTGACCCCCTCACCACCCTCCATAGATGCCACAAAAGAATGCCCATCTCTGGCCTACAGTCTTCACCACACTCAGTGTCACTCATGTGCCTGCCTTGTTTCTGCCATTGCTGTTCCCCCCAACCCTTCTCTAGAGTCTACCTTGCTTTGAACATTTTTGGCTTTGTTTTGTTCTTTTTTTGCTGTGTTTCCAACTCCACTGTGATTCTCATCCTGGAGGTGAGAATACATCTGACTTGTTTAGCCATCAGCATTCTGAGCCTAAGTCATGGTTTGCATTCATCCTCTGGCTTCTCTCACTCTAGATTACTCATCATGAGACCCCAGGACAGTCCTCTCCCCAAGTCCATTGCCTACCTCATTGGCCCCTAACATAGGAACAGACACATGGGGGATCAACATAAGGAGGTTCTATTAAAAGATTGTAGTACCACCTCACCTATAAAGTAGAAAGCACAAGGTTCATAGATCTCAAAGATTCTTGCAGAGTCCTGAGTATATTTATGAGACACTGCTCCAGCTGCAATCCTGCATTTTGATAACATCTTATGGGAACTAATAGTATCAGCTGATTTGAACTCTGAGATATGCTCTGATCACCAGCAGAACAAAGTCATTAGAACTTTTTAATCCAGGGTTTATCTTATGAAGACATTCATTCAACAATATTTATGAGTGCCCAGCACTGTGATAGATTCTGAAGATATGATGGTAATCAACAACACAGAACAAGAGTGATCCCTGATAGCAGCAGTCCCCAGCCTTTTTGGCACCAGGGACTGGTTTCATGGAAGACAATTTTTCCATGGATGGTGGGCTGCAGGAATGGTTTTGGGATGAAACTGTTCCACCTCAGATCATCAGGCATTAGATTCTCACAAGAAGCGTCCACCCTAGATCCCTCACATGTGCAGTTCACAATAGGGTTCATGCTCCTGTGAGAATCTAATGCCACAGCTGATCTGACAGGAGGCGGAGCTCAGGTGGTAATGTGAGTGATGGGGAGCGGCTGTAAATACAGATGAAGCTTCACTGGCTTGCTCACCAGCCACTTACCTCCTGCTGTGTGGCCCGGTTCCTAACAGGCCATGCACCAGCACCAGTCCACAGCCTCAGGGTTGGGGACACCTGCAGCTTATAGAACTCATGATCTCGATGGAGAGGCATGGCACTAACCAAACAATACACTAGTAACTGTAAAGTTATAAGTTTGGTAAGGACTATGACCAAACACAGCATACTGTGCTGGTGAATAATATGGGAAACTGACCTAGTTTGAAAATCAGTAAAAGATTTATATGAGGAAGAAAATAATTTCTGAGGTCTGAAGAATGAGTTGGCATTAAATAGCCAAAGTGAGGTTAGAGGGCTGGGGACAAGGGA
This sequence comes from Homo sapiens, assembly GCF_000001405.40. Taxonomy (NCBI): domain Eukaryota; kingdom Metazoa; phylum Chordata; class Mammalia; order Primates; family Hominidae; genus Homo; species Homo sapiens. Next base: position 65,998,952 of record NC_000016.10, read on the forward strand.
GGCCAGTGTGTGCGGAAGCTCTGTTGCAAGAGGGAACCTGGTGAATAGAAGAAGTGAAGGAAATCTGTGAGTTGGAACCAAGAATGGATGGGAATTGGAAAATGAGGAAGGTGGAGATTGGGATGGGCCACACAGAGACCAGGTCATGGTGAGAGTTTTGGCTGGAATAACAGGTCAACATGATTAGATTTGAATTTTGAAAAAAAAAAAATAAGTACAATAAATCTTGCTCCTGTGCAGGGACTGGCCTGTAGGTTTTGTCAAGAGGGAGGGAAATAAATTGAATAGGAGTCTATTACAGTGGTCCCAGTGAGAGTGATGATATTCAGCTTGGAGTAGGATAGCAGCAGTGGAGATGGAGTGGAGAGGATATACCCCAGAGACATATTCTAGGAGGCAAAATCAGCTGAACTGGCAATGGATTGTCTAGAGTGGGTAAGGAAGACTATAGAGTTGGGTTTGGCCCTACTGTTCATCCAGTGCTCACTCATGCAAGGTAATTCAAAGCCAAATAAAACAGCTTCAGCCAGGCACAGTGGCTCACGTCTGTAATCCCAGCACTTTGGGAGGCCGATGTGGGCAGATTATGGGGTCAGGAGTTTGAGACCAGCCTGGCCAACATGCTGAAACCCCATCTCTAGTAAAAAAAAAAAAAAAATTAGCTAGGCATGGTGGCACGCGCCTGTAATCCCAGCTACTCAGGAGGCTGAGGCAGGAGAATTGCTTGAACCCGGGAGGTGGAGGTTGCAGTGAGCCGAGATGGTGCCATTGCACTCCAGCCTGGGCAACAGAGTGAGACTCCATATCAAAAACAAAACAAAACAAAGAAACAGGTTCATGAAAATAGATTTGGTCAAAAAGTAGGACTGGGGAAGGCTACTTGACTGAACAACATTGAAAAATGGTAGCTGTGCTGCTCTTTCCAGGATTCTCCATGTTGTGAATTGACCACTGCACTGGGTATCTTCAAACATATTTTGTCCTTAGCTCTGTTCTGGAATCTGTGTGATGCAAAAGTATTTTAACATTAGTCCATAGAAAAAGAACTATTGAATATCCAGTGAAATGGAAATTCAGAAACATGCATTTTTTTAAATCTCATCAAAAAGCTACATCAGGATACCTAAACCATTCCCAACTCTGCAATTAACTTGCTATGTGACCTTGGGCAATTTCCTTTCCCTCTCTGTGCTTCCATCTCTGCACTAAGTAATCTGTAAAGCAACTTCCAGCCCTAACATCTCTGCTCACATGGAGAAGAGCATGCCCATAATTGCAGGTAATTTAACTTCTGTTTAATGTTGAGTCTTGCATATCCAGCTCCGTATATTAACTTAGGAAGTTATTTCAAACAAAATACAACATAATCTACAGTCAATTTTGAAACACATTTGTTCTAATGAAAAATGTTCTAAGCAAAAACAACCTTGTATAAGAGTTACATTTTCCTAATGGGCAGTGGGCAAAGGGAAACATCAAAATATGTTCCAACTCAGCAAACCCTGAGAATGCACGCCACATAAACACGGCTGTTGGTTCCCAGTAAAATTAGCTACATGTTAACCTGCACAGTCAGACTCCTTGGATGATTTTTCAGTGTGCTACCAGTTTATATCTCAGGCTTCCCTAGTGCAGCACACCTGATTGCCTCCTCTGCCACATCCTGCAAAGGAACATCTGTTCATAATGTCTTGATGCCGCTTCCAGGAATATACCTGCACTCTAGGCACAGACTAGGTTAAATGCCCCCCCACCTTCCACCTCTGTTGCCAATTCCTTGCTTTAGATCATCATCATCCACTGCCTGGACCACGGCAACAGCAGAGTCACTGGTTAATCTGATTCCAGTTATCCTATCCCATTATTCTATGTTCTGTGCCAGTTTCCAGAATAACAAGCACACCTGTCTTCTCACCCCTTTCCTCTAAAGCCTCTCTGATACACAGGATTAAGCCAAATCTCCTAGACATGGCATTCCAGGTCCTTCAGGAACTGACTCCAGGCCACCTGTCCAGCCTTACCTGTCCAGATCCAGCCACATGTGCCCTTCCTCTGAGACACACTGGCTGTTTCCCTCTTCTCACAATATGACATTCTCCTCTGAACCAGCTCATCTTTACTGTGACTATTCCCTTTTCCTGCAATGTCCTCTTTCTCTTCTTAGTGTACACCCACTCATTCAACAAATGTCTAAGCAGCTACCATAACACAGGTGAGGTTATTCAATGATGCCTCCTCAAGGAGCTCTCAGACAAGTGGGAGTGACATGCAAATGGACAATTAAGGGATAGTGAGATGTGTGCTATTAGGGGGAGCTCAGAGGACTTTCAAAAGAATGCCATCCCTGATTTGAACGTTAAAAGGAGAATAGGAGCGAACCCATCTAAGCTGTGGGTAATTCTAGTGGAGTGAGCAGCCTTGCTAAGGAAAAAAGATGAGCAAGACAAAGAGGAGAGGAAAAATAACCTGGTTATATCTGCAGGAGAGAGTGCATGCTGGAAATAGGGAGGATTCGGACTAGAGGGGTAGGTGATGACTAAGTCATGATGGGGCTTGTATGTCACAAGGGGAGGTTAGCATCCCCTTGAGAACAAGGAACAAGGTGGAGCTACTGGGGACTTTAAGCAGAGGCGTGACCTGGGCAGATTTGTTTTTTAGTTTGATATCCTGTGCTGCCACATGGCAGGAGCCCGACAGGAGGAAAAGTGAGAGGAGGGAAAGTTGTTGCAGTGAAGGACTGGTCATGGGCTGTAAAAATGTTCTTTGAATAAATAAACAGGTGAATGAATGAATGAGTCATTGCCTTTCTTGTAATTCAGTGAATTCATTCTTAATATTATAAATAGTCCAATAATATAAACATTCCCGTCTCACTGATCCAAGTCCTGCTAAGCAAACCGTAAAAATATTAGGATTTAGTTTTACAAAATTTGTTTTTCATTACTAATATGGAACAGTACTCTAATTTTGCTAGTCTAGCTAGAGAGAAATTGGCAACATTGAAGAAAAAGTGGCTGCAAAATGGCAAGATTGTCAAATTTTGTCAAGCTCTTTACGCTAGCGGGAAAATATTTTTGCATGCTTCATCTAATGTCAATCATCTCTGCAGCCCTACCAGTAAGGAGTATGGATAGCTTCGCAGCAATATCCCCAGAACCCTAAAATCATGCTGTCTCCAAACACTCCTACACAGACTTGCAGCTGCTCCAAGAGAAGCTTTACATTGAAATGCAGCACATGAGGAAAATGAAGAGGTATTCATTAACTTTAATGGAGTTTCCTTTATTCCGAGATTATATACTTGATATCTAGTGGGTTGTGGTTAAAATGTCCTTCCTAATAGAAGGTGGAAGGTATTTCTTCTTGTTTTATGGCCCCTCGCTTTATGCCCTTACTTAGCTAAGGAAAAAGTTGGTTATTCTAATGTGCTCCAAAAATATTTAACATTTTAAAGGTTTATAAAATTTAAAAGTTTGAGGTCTACTCTTCTGTACCATTTGGAGGTCTTATGTGGGACACATTGGACCAAGTTCAGCCAATTTTATTGAACGAGTTTTATTCCATGAGCTAACACCAACTCATTGTACTGAAAAGGATCCTGAGCCTCATATGTGATCAAAAGTGGGGAAAATATGCTGGAATCCATTAATGAGGTCTGCTGTGGATGCGAAGGGGAAAATCGTGACCCATTTGCAGTGGTAAATATTTAACAACTACTCTCTAAAAAGAAGAAAAGCCCTGATTTGTGACATTGGCCAATTTCTATGGTGACAATGCTCTCACCACGGCCAGTTCCAAGCCACTAACACAGCATAACAAGGAAGAGCTGTGAAGAAATGCACATGATTGGCCTTCATGAGCTGGTACGAGCCAGGCTCAGAACACCCTGGCATACTTGCCGCATATTTTCAGCTCCAATTCTGTACAGTGGGAGCCATGGCATGCGTGTGCTTCAGTCTTCGATTCACAGACTGCAACTCTTCTTTCCCTTACCCATGTGTCCACATGATATTCCTTTGATGGGAGAACTGTCATATGTTTCTGGGTTTTATATTAATATGCTTAATTTATCTCTAGCATGAAATGAAATGGATGATCTCACAGATTCCTTGCTGGCAAGAACATTGGCACTAAAATGTGAGTGCTGACACGCAAACATCAAAACATGAACGACACTGAAACAAAGCTACTGAAGTCCATCACAGGGAACTGGCGTTAGGTGCTGAAACTGATGGAGGCCTAATTGGGATCTGCCTTCTTGCTATGGATGCCACAGAGACTAACACTTATTAAACAACTGGAGCTTGTTATGTAGTGTCCAAAATGAATGGACTCAAGACGCTATTTCTAGGCTGAGCAAGCAGCTTTCTGAAGAGCACTAAATCCTAATATTTACTAAACATTGAGTCATGTCATTAAGCCTGAGGTGCAGGGCCCAAGAAAGGCTTACAGTACTGAGTGCTGGTTTTGTCATCTGGCTTCATGCACATTCAACTCATGCCTTACTTCTCTGAGTGCTAGCCCAGCCTCCTCCTGCTTCACTCCGGAGCTCCAATTCCCTTGAAGAAAAGCCAGAAGGCTGGTTCAAACTGGGGTTTTAAAATCTAGGAGTCAATATAGGATTGGAAGAGTTTGGAACCTAGAGATTGGGTACTGTTGTCCAAAGCATAGGTCTATGCAGGCTCCAGTGTGTGGCTATGCAAGGTTCCAATGTGCAGTTGTACAAGCTGTGTACTGCACAATTCCAGGAGACACTATTTTATGTGAATATTTCAGCCCTACATCTATAGGGCCTGGAAGTAGGGTAGGATATGCAGCAAATGGTCAGTGATAATGAATAGGGAAGATTAATGAAAGGAGTTCAGGAAGGAAAAAAAATGTTGGGACTGTTATAGCTGAGCCCCTCTAGGGAGAAAACTGTCCTAGAAAAGCTGGCTTGAACTAGACTCAGCATTGTACAGATATGGAAACCAAGACACAGAGAGGGAACTGCTCATTGCTCAGAAAATGAGGGGATTGACAGGAAGAAAAAAGTTGTTGCTTGGGCTAACAACCTGGGGACAAGAAGCTCTTGCAACTCAAGCTCAGACGTGCTTGTAAACTCAACAAGTGAGTGGACATGCAGGTATGGGACCAGGGACAGAATCAGAAATTAGTTGGGAGCCCAGGGAATGCTCCAAGAGCAGGACAAGGGTGGGATGAAAAGATCCCAACCACTCCATAATTAGTGTAGATCACTGTGCATTGGCAGGTATTCCCCCATCACATCTGCACAACAATCTTGAGTTCTGTTCTACAGTCTCAATATCTAAGAACTGGAGTTCAGAAAAGTTAGGTAACTTGCCCAACTTCCCACAGCCAGGAAGCAGCAGAGCTGGGAATTGAATCTAGTTATGTCTAAGTCTAAAGGTAATCCAATTAAGTCTAAGTCTAAGGGCCTGGGACTGGAATCCAGTTAAGTCTAAAGACCTGTACCACTCAAAGTCCTTTGATGGGCATCACCAGCACCATCTTGGAACTTAATAGAAAATTCAGACTCCCTGGTTCGATCTGAGACCTACTGAATTAGAATCTGCATCTAAGCAAGATGGCCATGTCACTCAAGTTTAAATTTGAATAGCACTATTCTAGAAGAACCCTTTCCAAGTATCCTTCCAAGTGATTCTGCCTCCAGAGTATTAAATCCTGATTCATTTTTTTTTTTCCAGTATGGTTGGACCAAGATATTCTACCATTCCTAGCAGAGATTTACCCTGGAGCAAGAAAAATGTCAGGGGGTTGAAGCTGTTATTTCCTCTTCAATTTCTTTGCTAATGAGAGTGAAAACAGCACAGCCATGTGTGACTGCTCTCATGATGATGACACAGCCAAGATGAGGCTTGTTTTAAGGTAAAATAACTGTTCTGAGCTGGCCACTGTCCCAGGGATTCATCCAGCTTTATGTGACTTTTCATCGCCTTGGCTGTTGAGCAGAATGAAATTCAGTGTAGCTTGTGATGCAGATGCCAGGAAAAAGTAGGAGCAAGGCTGAGACTATCGGGTTTCACCTCTCTTCTCCTCAAGCTGTCAGAACAAACCGACTTCCATCACCCTAACCCACAGGAAATTATATAAAAGATTGACCACTCAAAATGGACTTTCCCCTCCCATAGGCCTTCATGGAACATAGGATCCCTCCTTCCTGGCCATAGCTGATCAGACCAAGGATGGAACAGAGATGACATGGGTCTCCCAGATTCATATACCCATTCTTATTTATTCTGTCTCCCTCTTTCTCTCCTCTCTTCCATCCCTTCCTCTCTTGCTCTCTATTCCCTCCTCACTTTCTTTCTTTATTTCCTCTCCTACACCTCATATCTGGAATTGCAGAAGAGAGAGACAAATTCTGAGTCAGCAATGAGGGGATTCTAGTATTACTCTAAATGTCCCCCCTCCCATGCCCTCTAGGTCCCCACCTTTATATGCTGAAAGCTGCTGTCTGCAAACACCTGCAACTCTGGCTGCAGGAGCACATTTGGCCAACATACAGAGGAAGCGGGAAGTGCCAAAGAATTAATGCCTCTACAAGCAAGAGTTAATGCAGCCCTGAAAGAGGACTAACTGCATTTGGTATATAAATCGCCCAAGCTCTCTTGTCCCTTACGTAGGCTATCTCAAGAGCACATATTCTACACTGATGTCTTGAGTTCCTCAAGAAAGATTAGGCTCCAGTTGCCCAGAATGGTAACTTGCTTAATAAAACATCCTTCACTGGCTTCCTTTTCTCCCTCTCGCCCACTTTTCCTTGCCTTTCTCGCTCCCCACCCACTTTCTGGTATTTCCCAGACTCATCTTCCAAATAACCACTTGTATTTGAATCTTCACATCAGGATCTGCTTCTGAAGTCTATCTCAAGGAGCCCTCTAAGGTGAAGGACGAGGTCATGGAGAGACATGGGGAACCAAGTTATGGGGAAGCAGGAGTGGCAGAGGCAGAGGAAGGGGTGAGGGAGTCAAAGGCCCAGAGTGGGTAAGGGGAGGCTGGGGGTTCCTCCCCTAAGCAGCCTCAGCACCACGTGGCTCTCCAGGTGCAGGCCTAGGTCCAAGATACCTTACAGAAAGCCCTCTTCTTCAAAGGCCAGAGAAAAGTCCTGGTCTTTGCACCCCGTGGAGAACCTAATTACATTGGCAAGCCAAACCAAGGCAAAAAATGGTGGGTTGGAGGCAGATGATGTTAAAAGAGCAACAGTACTAGCTAGCCCTTCTTGAGCGTTTCTGAGATGCCTAGCATTTTCCTAGGCACTTTGAGTGTGTTGACTCATGCAATCCTCACAACCACTTATGAGGTAGTTTCTATCATTATCATCAGTTTACTAATGAGGAAACTGAGTCACTGAAAGTTTGAGTGATTTGACACAGTTCTTGAGTGTGTCAGATTTAGGCTCAAACGCAGTCAGTTGAGCCCCTAAGCACCACACTAAACCAGTCCACATGGCACTAGCTGAGGTCTGCCCTCCTTTTAGAGGTGGGTCTTCACACCTTCAGAACTTATATCGCCAATGCAGTGTTGTTATGGTCTCCAAAAGTTTCTGGCCTTGGATCTCTTCGCTTCTTAAGGGGATTTTGTCCCAAGCAAAATACAGGTGCCTCAGGGGACTGGATGGAGCCTGAGAGAGGCTTGAGTGAGGCCGAGCCCCTGGCCCAGCACTCAGGCCAGAGGCGAGAGAGATCAGCTGCGATGCTTTTTATAGCCTCAGACAACAAGCCACTAACCACGAGCTGGCAATCACGTGATGAATGCAGAGCCAAGAGCTTTATCAGTTTTATAATTTACATGGTCTCCATCTCTGTTGAGTACATTATTCCCATTTCACTTTTGGGAAAACCGAAGCTCAGAGAAGATAAGTACTAGGGCCCGTTGGGTCAGTTTGCCCTACAGAGCTCGAGTCCTTGCCCAGAGGTTTTGGGCTGACTCTGGGCTTAGGTCGCCCAAGGAGCTCGAATGGGTGGGGTGGCTGGAGCATATGGACAGGACTATTCAGACAGTGGTGTGGCCAGCCATTAGACATGGAGGGCATGAGGAGCAGGGCCCAGAACTCAGGAATAATGCCTGGAGCAAACAGGTATCAGTGCCCCTGCTGGGGATCTCCAGGGTTGGGAAGGCTCTCATGAGACCAAGATTTTCCCAGAGACACTCCAGCGTCTCAGCGCACACTGTGTTCCCTCTAAGTCTGCTCTGCTCAGCCTAGGGAATCCTTTTCTGATGCTGTGGTGGGAAGCTTTGCTCAGATCCACCATGAATTCTCTCCAATCTGTCTCTAGTTGCTGCAGGGCCTACGTTTTGAAAACTCAAAAGCCAGTAACAAAATGATGACTGGAAAAGGAGTAAGGGGGAGCTAAGGAAATGGCAGGAACACTGGTTAAGTCTTCAAAATTGTATCACCACCACACCCCCCTCCACCAAGAAATATGTTACCTCGGTTGTTAAAAGCATTGATACATCCAGCATTTAGAAGTGCAAACCTCCAGTTGTTTTGGGGGGATACACTTCCTCATTTTTTTTCCTCTCCTTTATACTTTAAAGGTGAGGAAAGATCTATGCTAGTTTTTTCTTTCCTTCTTTCTTTCTTTTTTTTTTTATCCTCAGAGACCCGAGAAGTCAAGAAGGAGCCTGAACCAAAGTCCCTGATTAGAAGGTGCCCCTATAGGAGGAGCTGAAAAGAAGGTTTATAAGAAAATAAAAATAGCAAAAATAATACCAGTAGCATAGGATTTTTTTTTTTTTTTTTTTTTTTTTTTTTTTTTGGCCACTAAGAATAGCAGCAGTAGACTCCCTGTGCTCTGGGCCCATCTTCTGAAGCTCATTGTGGTGGGAGCTAGAATCCATTTTCTGTTTCAATTGACATTAATTTCATCCCAGCATATTTCGGGCCTCTCATCACAAGATGATTCATTGCTGCATGTAAGCGAGTACAATCAGCTCAAATATTTGTAGTCGTCATGCAATTGCTGTAAGAAAACAGGGGACTGTGAGCCGCAGATCGCTCCCCTCCCCACCAGCCCCTACCCTGAGCCGAGGTGTCAGGTTAAAATGACAGGCAGCTGCCTGGTTCATCCTCTTCTGCTTTGCTGACTTAGAGCCACACAAAGATCCATCCCCCTGGAGACCAGCAGCTTCTGTCAAGAAGATATTTTTGTGGAGAGGGTTATGCCCCCAACAGCCTAGCCAGGAATATTTCCAAAATCACTTTGGAGGAAAATCTTGTCAGACCTTCCCCTCACATGGTTTTCTAACCTTTATGTCCAAGAAACTCTTAGGGTAAGTTTTCTTAGTGATTATCTTAGCATCCTAGACTCACAGGGCATAGGTGGCCTCGGACCTCTTCCTCGCCCTTCCAATAATGCTACTGGGGAGGCGATTGAGAAACACAGATTACACAAGACTCATCAAGGGTGAAGTGGAAAGAGAATCAAGATTAGAATCCAGATCATCTCCCAATTCATAATCCAGTCCATATGCAGCTGTATTCTTTTGTTTCTTGAGATAGAGTCTTGCTTTGTTGCCCAGGCTGGAGTGCAGTGGCGTGATCTCATGTCACTTCAACCTCTACCTCCCAGGTTCAAGCAATTCTTGTGCCTCAGCCTCCCAAGTAGCTGGGATTACAGGCATGCGCCACCATGCCTGGCTAATTTTTGTATTTTTAGTCAAGACAGGATTTTGCCATTTTGGCCAGGCTGCTCTCAAACTCCTGGCCTCAAGTGATCCGCCCGCCTCGGCCTCCTGAAGCACTGGGATTACAGATATTAGCCACCATGCCCAGCCAGCCGTTCATATTCTATAGGTTTTATTATTTTTATTTTTTTGAGATGGAGTCTCACTCAGTCACCCAGGCTGGAGTGCAGTGGCATGATCTCAGCTCACTGCAATCTCTGCCTCCCAGGTTCAAGTGATTCTCCTGCCTCAGCCTCCCAGGTAGCTGGGATCACAGGCATGTGCCAACATGCCCAGCTAATTTTTGTATTTTCAGTAGAGATGGGGTTTCACCATGTTGGCCAGACTGGTCTTGAACTCCTGGCCTCAAGCAATCCACCCACCTCAGCCTCCCAAAGTGATGGGATTACAGGCATGAGCCACTGTGCCTGGCCATATAGGTTTTATTTTAAAAATAGCTTTCTTCTGATTAAAAGTATGTTCCTGATGCAGAATTTTTGAAATATGAAATACTTATTCCATAATCCCAGTCCTCAAAGATAATACCACCAAGACTAGCTTTGTGGACATCTAACCTGTACAGTCACAAAAACTTTGCACTCAGAAGGTTCCTATGCTTGGTTTAAGCCTCTGCTGTCATATCTTGAATTTCTTAATTTTTTGAATGAAGGTCCTGCATTTTTATTTTGCATTGGGTTCTGCTAATTAAGTAGCTGGTCCTAATCACTGTTAACATTTTAGTGCTATCTTTTCCAATGCCTTGAATCTTGCTTCATCCCATTCATTGGTCTATTCATTTGCTCACTCAACAAATGTTCATTGAGTGCCTAGGAGGCATAGAATCCCATGAAAATATCATTGAAAGGAGGGCTTGAGTGCATTATCCCATCAATACAAATTATTATGTTGGGATTGTGGGAGTTTGGTAGATGGCTAACTAGATGCAGCCAGGAAGAGCATCTCCCATGGAGAGATCAGATTAAAAGATTTAAATGACTATGCACAGAGAAAGAATGGACTAAAACTCGTTGGAGGCAGAACTCAGGCAAAGGGAAGAAGGTCAGGCATGGTTCTCTGTCATCAGTGGTAACTACTCTGCATGTGCACACGTGTGAGATGTTCTGATGCGGATAGTAAGGGCAGAGCTTGAGTGCAGACAGGTGTTACTGACATGTAAGCAATGGCTCACACAACACACCTGTAACTACAGACACTTTTACCACCTAGCTATAGGAAATAGGATTACTCTCTATCCAGTTCCTACAAAGTTCAGTTCCACAGCCATGGCCCAGCACTTCCAGTAAAAATTTAGTAATTGCTCTGCTGACCCTGCTCTTTCCTGAGTTTCCCAGCATTTTTATGGCCAGAGAATGGGAATGAATTTATTTGTCCTAAAGTCTAGAGAAAGTTGGCTTCAAAGCAATGGAGAGCTATTTCCTCCAAGCAGCAGGTAGAAAATGTAAAAGAAAGAGAAGAATTACCTCAATTACATGGTAAACATTGGAAACGCAAGGACAAAGCTCTGTAGGGTCTAAATGTTATTTCTCCACTAGAAAAAAAAGATGTAACCTTTCTTTCTCTGGACCAAAGGCATCTGATATGAATGCTCCACATTTATAGTAATATACCCCACAGGATATTTGAAAGCTCTGATTTAATCTTTAATTTCCCCCCAACAAAGTGTGGGCCTGAATTGTGCCACAGCAATAAGGTAGAAGTTCTGACCCTAAAACTAGGAGTTGTTCCAACTCTATAAATTTTTACCTGTCTTCCAGAAGTTCTAGAAAAGAGGAATGGTCAAAATTCCAATTGCCTTCTTGGTGTCTGACTGCACTTCTCTTGCTGTTGAACACCGCCAAGGAGAAAATTCTCAAGACCCAATGAGTTGAGAGAAAAACATCCTTTATCACAGACCAGGCTAACTTTGCCTTCACACCCTCCACCTTCCTCCTAGATAAACTTATTCTCACTACTTCCCTGGACATTTTCCTGTAGATGCACCAGGCTTGACACCAGTAAATATTCAAGTCAAATAGCTTTTATGAGATTTGAAATAACTACCGGAGGATATCTCACATAAAGTCAGTCTGCCTACCACTGGCCTTGCCCCCTCCAATTAACACTCCTTACTAAGACCAAAGTGACATTCTAAAAACTAAATCTGACCATATGCAGAACAGATGCCCCACATCTCCAAAGCCCACCTAAGTTGAAGGCAAGAGTGATGGGTAGTCCTGTCCACATACCCAGCATCCCACCACAAGGATGCACTGAGATGTCTCTCTGCTTTTCTAGCTCTAGGCTTTCTCTGAAGTTCCAGAAGCTATCTAATCCATGGGTAGATGCAGCCCAATGTGCAAGGAATTACTGCTTCTGCGGGCGCCCTTCTGCCAATGAAGGAGAGAAGTCAGTGCATCAATGTCCCCAGTTACCATTCTTCTGTAGGACAATTCAGAGACATGCTCCACATCATTCATTAAAGGACCTCCATCAAGATTAAGATCTTCCTGGCCCATGGTAGTTTCTAGCTCAATAACACTGTTGCATTGCTTTCCCATGCTCCCTCTGTTTCCTGGGATCACCTTCCACTTAAACCACTTGCACTTAAATCCTCATCTTAGTCTCTGCTTTCAGAGAAACCCAGACTAAGACACCATCTCATTCCCTCCCTTAAAACCTTTCAAAATCTTTGTGTTTCAGATGAACCTGAACCTGAAGCTCGTTAGCTTAATATTCAAGGCCCTTAAGAGTTTGCTTCTTTTTTTTCTCCCAAATTTTATTTTAGGTTCAGGGGGTACATGTGTGATGTCATATGGATGAATCTCCTATTGTGGGGGTTTGGTAGATGGCTGACTAGATGCAGCCAGGAAGAGCATCTCCCATGGAGATATCAGACCGTCAGGAAGAATGCACACTCTGAGCAACTCTTCTGAAGGAAGGCATTGACTGTTGTTGGAGGATGAATTTCCTTCTTGACTGTTACTCATGTGAACCCCGAATGCCAGCTGCACCTCCTTACCTACAGTTGAAACCCGCCACTCAGCTGCACACCCTCACATCTTCTCATGCTGAGCTCTCTCTTCTCCATCTCCTCATACCCATCTTGTTCCTACTCAGGCCTCAAGACCATGGTTTAATGCTCCCTTATCTGGGAATCCTTGCCCACTCCAACCTCCACACTCAGATGCATTTTCCTGGTGGCTCTTTCATGGCATCAACATTTGTGTATTGCCTAACCTCCCTGAAAGAATGTGAGTTCCTCAAGGGTAAGACCAGGTCTTCATCTGTCCGTGGAGCCCCAGGCTACATGCAGAGCTTGGCACACTGTAGAGGTGCATGTAGACATTTTTAAAGGGCCACATGGCTTTCCCTTCTATCCTTAGATGAGTCCTGGGCATTGTTGGTATTTTATGTTGGCAACAAAGAAAATTTTTTAAAGAAGTGGCATAGGTTGGGTGCGGTGGCTCACACTTGTAATCTCAGAACTTTGAGAAACCAAGGCGGGTGGATCACGAGGTCAGGAGTTCAAGACCAGCCTGGCCAACGTGGTGAAACCGCATCTCTACTAAAGATACAAAAATTAGCTGGGCATAGTGCTGCATGCCTGTAATCCCAGCTACTTGGCAGGCTGAAGCAGGAGAATTGTTTGAACCAGGACCCGGGAAGCAGAGGTTGCAATGAGCCAAGATCACACCACTGCACTCCAGCCTGGGCTACAGAGGGAGACTCTGTCTTAAAAAATTAAACGAAAAAATAAATAAATAAAAACTGGCATAAAGTGGCTCATCCAAACATTTACTGACATATCCACCTAGCAAAATCCCCCTTTCTGGAGTGAGGAGAGTGGATAATGTTGCCCCACAGATATTGACACACAGGCCAAGGCACACAGAGACCCCAAGTGGAAGGGTCTGAGGGCCTTAGAATGTTAGCGATGTCCAAACCTGAGAAATTATACAGCCCAGCCAAGAGTGGGGAAGTGACTTGTTTAACAGGACAAGACAAGGACTAGAAACCCAGGCTCCGAATTCCCAAGCGAGCATCCTTTCCACTCACCCACATTGCTGCTCAAAAAGGGTGAGCTGGAACCAGGCTGGCTGGGCCTTGGTCTTTTCTAGCAGGTCAGAATGCAATATTTTTTGAAGGGTAAGGAAGTAGCAGTGAAGCAGTACTTCAGGAAAACTAATTGTCCCATGCACCCCAATTCAAGCTGAATCCGGCAAATTTCCCCAAAGAAATTCTAGAACAAAGCTCCGGAAAAAAGAAAAAAAAAGAATAAGCAAGGATAATTGGGTTGATGGATCAGGTTTTCTGGTGTGCGCTATGTATTTTAAATATTTTTCCTTATTGTCTTGTTGCTACATGTACAGAACAAAAGCTTCCTTTCTGCACTGTGCAGTGTGCAAAATATAAAGTTGTGAAGTCTGTAATGTAGGAAAGGCCTTGTTTGGTTCATTTCCATTGCTCCAGCACTGACTAGTTAACCCTATTGCCACCTTAGGGCAATAGAACTGAATTATGTATTCAGCAAAGTGGACGGAAGAGAGGATGGATGAGTGGATGGCTGACAGAGGGGTGGTGCATGGGTGGGTGGAAGGGTGAGGTTTCTCCTCAGGACTTCACTTCTTTCCCTGTTCCTTCATGATCTCTTCTCTATTCTTAGCACCCCAGATTCATTACCCTTTTGCATTTTTCAAGACTACTCTTGGGACAGAATCTGATGTTTCTCCCCAGTAGGTAGAACGTCTCAGTTACTCAGAGGTTTCCCAGGCTCTCCTTGTCTCCCGGAGAAATGAGTTTCCTCCACTATGAAAAGCCTTTCTTTATATCCTTATCACCCAGTTGGGCTGGTCCTCAGAAGTCTGTTAAATGTCAAAGGCCATCACCCAGACATTTTTCAAGAGAGAAGTCCTGAGACCCTTCTGAAGGGAGGAGTCCACCCTGGTCCATGCTGAGTCCTGCTGTTCTTGTGCCCCGTGATCTGATGCCACCCTCCCCAGGCAGTTCACTCAGAAGCAGCCAGTGCCTCCCTTTACCATCACCTCCCCATTCATTTTAGCATTTTGCATAATGTGGTTTCCCCAGACAGTTTCCATCGTGTTTATTTCAGGAACTCCAGCAGTCACTAATAGCATGACCTACATATTTTTTGATGTCCTAGGTGTTCTCCAATTATCATTAACCCAGTATGTTTTAAAACCAGTCTTATAAGTAATTATAGCAGGGAACTAGTTTTGCTTCTTTCCAATCAACAGGAAGAAATAATAAGAGAAGGATTTCAATCATGAGCTGAGAAATCTGCTTCTTAAGCAAAAATCCAGGAGAAAAATTGGCCACTAGGGAAAGACAGAAGCACAGATTTCTTGATCCCTTCTTCTGCACTAGATATTTTCACCTGTTATTGCCCACAATCCTCCTAACATCTTACAAAATAAGTATTTCTATTACCACCTTTACAGACGGAGGAGCCGAAGCTTAGAGGAGTTGGAATTGTTTTCAAGGTAAAATGGCTAGTAAATAGAGAAGCACAGGTCTGAGCTGTGCAAACAAGCTTTGCAATTCCACAAGCTTACCCAGAGGTGGTCTCTGGTTCGGTCTGATCACCAGGCCCCACCACCACCTTCTCTGCAGAACAGCATCCTGTGGCTTGAGAGAAGGCAGCTGATATGGTTTGGCTGTGACCCTACCCAAGCCCCATCTTGAAGTGCAGCTCCCATAATTCCCATGTGTCATGGGAGGGACCTGGTGGGAGGTAATTGAGTCATCAGGGTGGGTCTTTCCCGTGCTGTTCTCATGGAAGTGAATAAGTCTCAGGAGATCTGGTGGTTTTATAAATGGGAGTTCCCCTGCACAAGCTCTCTCTTGCCCACCATCATGTAAGAAGTCCCTTTGCTCTTCCTTCATCTTCCTCCCTGATTGTGAGACACCCCCAGCCATGTGGAACTGTGAGCCCATTAAACTTCTTTCCTTTATAAATTACCAAGTCTCAGGTATGTCTTTATTAGCAGCCTGATAACAGACTAATACAGCAGCCATGTTCTTCCTCGGCTTTGGCCCTGCCCAGCCCCCCACTAAACACAGTTGATTGGTCCAGGGTTTGACATTCAATCCAAGCCTGATCAATCAGAATCCTTCTCTGGGATTTTTCACATTGGAACCGAAAATCAGAGCCAGACCCTCTCTGATATCTAGCAGCAGAAGACGTGAGACTGACATGAAAGCCAGGAGCAGTGGGCAGCCATTCTCAGGAGAAAGTGGAGATGACACAGGAGCAGAGAGGGATGGCAGTATCTGAGATCCGTGGTGTGGTCAGTGCCCAAAGTCCAGCTGGGTCTCCTCTCTTTCTGGGGCTTAGTTCTTCAATAAATTCTCCCTTGCAATCCACGAGCCAATAAATACCTCTCTGTCTAAGCCAGTAGTGGTTATATTTTAGTTTTTGACAATCAAAAAGAGTTCAGATGGATACGGAGGTCCTGTGTGCATATTTCCTAGTCCTTTGTTGGAGACCAGGTAAGTAAAACTGGGATCAGCTGAGCCTCTTTTACAATGATGCCTCTTCATTCTATAACAGGAAGGAGATTCAGCTGAAAAGTTTTCCATGCCTGAAGATTAGGCATTGGTTTCTAAGGAATCCAAAAGGCTGGTCCTAACTCAAAATAGCTCAGGATCTGAGGAAGAACACTAGCCAGAGAGTTGAGAGATGCAACCTCTCAGGCACACATGGAATGGGTGTGGCCCATCCCTCATCTTCCTTCCCTTGGCCTCAATCTCCTCATCTGTAGAACAAGAGAGCTGCCTAGATCATGGTTTCAGTCCCTTACCTGCCACCCTCACCATGGGAACCAGTGTTTATATAACACTTTTTAAAAATATGTTCTCTCTGTTGTCCTTTATCTGTGAATAATGAATTTGATGTGCCAGCCATCTCTTCCCAATGCATTTTAAAATGCATAATTGCTCAAATAGAACATGTTTGACTGTGTACCATCCAAATGCCCTTGGGTACCACAGTTGGAAAACAATGAAGCAGATGATCTCTAAGAAGCCAGCAACCATGTCATGGAAGGCAAGGTCAGAGGTCAGTCTGTTCAGCATTCATTCAACAAACATTTACAAATTTCCTGCTCCAGGATGACCACTCTGAGAAACCGTAACATACATTGTTTTAGCTGACAGTAGGTGAGCATTTATAATGGGCTGGGCACTGGGCTAAATGTTTTACAGATGGTCTCTCACTTTTATCCACGGAAAAATCCCACAAGATAGATAAAATGAATGTCTGAGTCTCAGAAAGGTGAATTATTCATCACTTAGACCCAAAGCTAGTGGGTTAGTTTTCTATAACTGCCATAACAAATCATAACAAATTTAGTGACTTAAAACATACATTTATCATCTTACAGTTCTGCAGGTCAGAAGTCCAACACAGTTCTCTCTGGGCTAAGATCAAGGTATTAGTAGGGCTTGTTCCTTCTGGAGGCTGTAAAGGAGAATCTGTTTCCTTGCTTTTTTTCAGCTTCCAGAGGCCACCCCATTCCTTGGTTCATGGCCCCTTCCTTCATCTTCAAAGCCAGCAATACAGGCTGTCCCTTCTCATGTTTCAGTCTCTCTGGTTCTCTGCAGCCAGGAAAAGTGCTTGACTTTTAAGTACCCATGTGATCAGGCCCTCTGGATAGTCCAGGATTCTCTCCCCCATCTCATGGTCCTTAGCCTTAATCACATCTTCAAAGCCCCTTATGCTATGTAAGGTAACATATTCACAGGTCCCAGGGGTTAGGACATGGACATCACTGGGGCCAGTGATCTGATCCCACCCAGCACAGGTAGTAAGGGGCAGAGGGGAGACTGAAACTTTCATTTGATGGTTTTAACCACTACCATAGACAGAAGCAGTCCTCAGGCGGCTTTGCTTTACAGGAGCAGGGAAGAGTGACATAGAAAGGGTGACCACTTGATATTATAGACCATATCATTGTGTTATAATCTCTCTCTCCAGCTAGAATGTAAACTCCATGAGGGGAATTCCATATACCCTGCTCACTGCTGAATCCCATCACCTAGAGCCCTACCATCTAATATGGTAGCCACCTGTGGTCATTGAGCACTTGACATGTGACTCAAGTATAGTATTCACAGTGATTTCAAAGCCAGTATAAAAAAGAAAAAAGAATTGTTACATATTGATGTTTTGGAAAATTTGGATTAAATAAAATAAATTCCTGAAATTTATTTCGCCATTTTTTAACCTTTCTTTTCTGGCTACCAGAAAATTTAAAATTACATAAGCAGCTTGCACATCTATTGGACAATGCTGATCTGAATGAATAGTTGGTGCATGGCAGACATCCAGTGCACATCAATCAAGTGAATAGAGGGACAAAATAGCAGGAGATAAGTGGAGAACAAAACGGAGTCTGGCATTTTCAAATACTGTCTGATTGGGAAAGTCGCGGGCTGTAAACCCGGAGAGGCAGGCAGTGGACGAGACATGGATTCCTACAGTGAGCCAATGTTTCCCGAATGCCTCATACAGGTTAAGTTGGAGTATATTTATTCTATTTGCCTGGGTAGAAGCAGCGAAGTATGCTAGGAAATGATATGGCTGAATTTCTGTTTGAGAAAGAAGATTCTTTTTTTTTTTCTTAATTTTTCTTTAGAGATGGGATCTTGCTATGCTGCCCAGGCTCGTCTCAAACTCTTGGTCTCAAACGATCCTCCCACCCTGGCCCTCTCAAAGTGCTGGGATTACAGGTATGAGCTACCATATCCAGCCCTGAGGAAGGGCATTCTTTAACTTAGGACAAGGCTGGACTGGGAAGAAGGCTCAGTCTTCTGGCAAACATGAAGCATGGGGAGATGGTGAAGCATGCCTTCTTTAAGATAAAGTAGCTGAGAAGCAACATGAAGGTGCTTGTAGAGAAGGGGGTAGCTTTATGTATCTTAGAACCAAATCGAGTAAGAAGCAATGAAATGAAATTGGGTAAAACTGTAAATGGAAAGGTCACATCACAGGGAGGGCTGCATCTAAGTTCTGCCCTGTGAGGATGATGGAACAAAGGGCGCCCAAGTCCAAAGCAGAGACAGGCAAATCGAGAGCAGACAGCAGGAAGGAATGTTTCATTCTGGACATCACAAACCCCGAGACAGCTTCAGCAGAAGTAACGTGGATGCCCGCAATCAGGGTCAGCCCAGCTCTGGGCAGCAGGTGCCGGGTGGATCAACTCCAACCTGACCGAGAGGAGAGGACACACCTCGCCAGGGCTGCCGAGCACCAGCCAGCCCTCCCAGCGCTTCTGAGCTCTTTGTTACAGAATCAGGGCAGCACACTTTAGAAGGGAGGCCAGTAGGTTCAGAGACCTTCTCAAGCCCTGTCTGCAACGTGCCTTCGTTAAATATTTCACAGAGCAGAAAGCCCACTTCAAAAGAGGAAAGCCTCTGCAGCCTGCAATGGGCTGGAAGCTCCCGAGTCAGGGTGACCAGCCCAGGGCTGCTGCAACTCCACACTTGTTTTTTTGTTTTTTTGTTTTGGTGGGGGAGGGCTTTGTTTTATTTCACCCTCTTGTCTAATCCCACTTAATTTCAAAACAGAAATACAACCCACAAATGTTGAATTCATTGAAGCACACAAAGGAATCATGATGTAGGTTCAAAGGGGAGGGTTGAAGCTGCATTCTGAGCACTGAGGAAAAGGAACAACAAGGAAGTAAGGGAATAGGAATGTCCCCAGGTGTGAGACAGAGCTCACCCTCTCTCTGCAGTTCAGGGAAGCCCACCAAGCCCTGTTCCTGGATCCAAAATCAGCCAGGGTATATATTTATGTCCCCATTCCCGAGTCGCCAAATGCCCTAAAAAGACAAGACTTTCCTGTACAAATGAGGTTACAACAAGGCCAGGAAAGGAGGAAAAAAAAAATTTTTTTTGAGATGGAGTCTCACTCTGTTGCCCAGGCTGGAGTACAGTGGCACATTCTCAGCTCACTGCAACCTCCACCTCCCAGGTTCAAGCGATTCTCTTGCCTCAGCCTCCAGAGTAGCTGGGACTACAGGCTCCTGCCACCACGCCCAGCTAATTTTTGTATTTTTAGTAGAGACGGGGTTTCACCATGTTGGCCAGGATGGTCTCGATCTCTTGAACTCATGATCCACCCACCTCGGCCTCCCAAAGTTCTGGGATTACAGGCGTAAGCCACCAAACCCGACTGGAAAAAGTTTTAAAAAGGGGAAACTTCAGGCCGAGCGTGTCCACTCACATCTGTAATCCCAGCATTTTGGGAGGCTGTGGTGAGAGGATCACTTGAACCAGGAAGGTCGAGGCTGCAATGAGCCATGATTACACCATTTCACTCCAGCCTGGGTGACAGAGATAGGCTCTGTCTTTATAAAAAAAAAAAAAGGGGGGGGCGGTGGGGAGAGGAATTTTACATTCACATGTACTTTTTCTCTCTCTCAAAATCTCATTGAAATGAAAATAAATGGATTTTTAAAAAGAAATCAGAAATAAACCAGCAAACATAAAGAGAGTGAGCAAGGAGACAATAACAATAAAATATGGGATACAGGGAAGCAAGTGGATGAGGAGTAAGTGACTTAGACCCCGAAACATACTCCTAAGTCTGCAGGGAGCTGAGAAGCAAATCCATTTACATAACGGGGTTCCCAAAAGACTCTGCACCAGGACCCTCTGGAATCCTTCACTAGTTCTCCCAGCTTGTGGAATAAAGTCCAACTTAGCACGTTAACCCAAGGGATGGAGCTCTGTAGATGTTGGTTGACTGTCCACTACTTCTCTCCCCAAGTAGCGGGAGATCACAGCCTGGCTCCTGGCTCACAGTGAATATTCTAAAATTCCAGATTCCCTTTAGTTCCCCCACACAGGAGTGGGGAGCTGATATGGTTTGGCTGTGTCCCCACTCAAATCTCATCTTGAATTGTAGCTCCCATAATTCCCACATGTCATGGGAGGGACCCTGTGGGGGGTAATTGAATCATGGGGGCAGGTCTTTCCCATGTGGTTCTTCTGATAATGAGTAAGTCTCATGAGATCTGGTGGCTTTACACGGGAAAGTTCCCCTGCACAAGCTCTCTTGCCTGCTGCCATGCACGATGTGACTTTGCTCCTCCTTTGCCTTCTACCATGATTGTGAGGCCTCCCCAACCATGTGGAACTGTGAGTCAGTTAAACCTATTTCCTTTAGAAATTACCCAGTCTCAGGTATGTCTTTATTCATAGCGTGAGAACAGACTAATACAGGAGCTATGGTTACTTTTTTTTAATTTGCACAACTTTTTTTATTTACCCCCCGATTTAATCATTGCTTTCTTTTCATGTGCTTAGTTTCTAGGTGTGAATTGTTAATTCTACCCCCAAATCCCTGCTAATTGTCTAAATTTCCTCTGTGCTCCTTCTGTGCTCAGATATATCTAGCATTTCATCTTTTAAAATAATTCTCTCCTGAAACTGTAGGCAAGAAAAAACAATCAGACCATAATGATGGCTCAGTTGTGGATATCATTTGCATGGTCAAAAGAATGCAAGCTCTGAAGGTCAATCCAATGGACATTATGATATAATCATGTTGACAGGATGAGGCACTGAAAGAATGCATGAGGGTGAGAGACAGCTACACCCACATCATTCACAGATGAGACAGCATCTGATAATGCTGAAAGCTGAGAAGTCAACAGACATGATATGGACAAGGGATTAGAGACATGGAGATGCATGCCGAAAGAATCAACTAAAAGAGTTGAAAGTGATTGTTCCGGGGAAGAAGAAATGAAGAAAAGGTGGAGGGTTGTAGTTTTTCGTGACCTATCTTGGAAAACAATGTAACCCTTTAAGTGTAGGAATAACTATGAAAAATATATATCTAATTAAGTTATCACCGATAAAAGTAGTGCCACGGGTAAGAGCAGATGATGGGAACAGCCCCAACACTTACCAGCTGGCAGGCTCACATGCTTAACTCATGTGTTCAGTAAGTGCGTATCAAGTCCCAGGTTGTGTCAAGTGCTCTCCTAGGTGTTGGGGACCCAGAGTGAACACCATCAATTCTGGCTACTGTTCAGTTCTAGTCCCTGCTCCTTTGGGTTCCTGATCTTAACCTAGCCCTTCTGGCTCTAGCCTTCACCTCCATCTGGTCACACTGGCTGAGTCATCTGTACCTGTTCTGACTCATTGCTTAACCTCTCCCAAGACTCACAAGATGAAGGGACCCATGACCCCATGACCTCCCTGGGGAACCCCACACCCTCTCATGGGCACCTCCCTTCCCCCTGAATGACTGCTAGGACATGGGACTGGCCCCTCCTTAAGTGTACCCCACAGCAGATGCAAAGACCAGCTGATAGAGAAGAGAAGCAGCCCCAATCATGTAAATGGTGAATCTGACCCTGTTCTTGTGCAATTGACCAGACACATCGACCCTTCCCTCTTGCCCCATCCCTGCTTCTGAGTGTCACCCCCCCCCCCCACCTTAAGGCATGCTTCCTCTAGGAGGCTTCGGCTACCCTGGGACGGTTAGAGGCCACGCAGTGAGCCCACCCAGCTCTGCCTACCCTCCCATGGTGG
Organism: Homo sapiens; assembly: GCF_000001405.40. Classification (NCBI taxonomy): domain Eukaryota; kingdom Metazoa; phylum Chordata; class Mammalia; order Primates; family Hominidae; genus Homo; species Homo sapiens. The sequence continues at coordinate 66,021,212 of NC_000016.10, forward strand.
CTCTCCCCACACTATGTAACAGCTCTTTACTTGATCTGTCATGTTTCCAGACTATACCTGAGCTCCCTGAGGCCAGGAGCAACACCTGCCTTGTCCACTCCACCTTCCCAATACCTTCCCTGGAGCCTGGTGTTCAACAAGTATTTGCCCAGTGGATTAATTTGTGGGCAGACCCTACTGGGGCCCTGTGAGTTGAGTTAGAGTGATGTGTGCCTGAAGGCCCACGCACGACCAGCCAGAGTCTGTCAGCTCCTGCCATAAACTCAGAACTCAGAACCCTCGAGACTGTCCTCAGCTACCAGTCCAGCGCCTGCCACTCCTCCACCCATCCTGCCCGCCCCTGAGTTCACCATCTGAACTCCTAGGCACATCTGCTCCCACCTCTCAGCAGTCCAAATAGGCATTCCTTACCTCCAACCTCATTTTCCCTAGGACTTTTCTTGAAAACATTCAGCCCAACAGAAAAACTGAAGAAAAGTACAACCAACTCCCATATCCTCTTCATTCGATCACTATTAATGTTCTACGCATTTTCTTTGTGTATGTGTGTGCTGGGCAAAGCATTTGAAAGTATTTTGGCCTTCATCCTAATAATACGGGCATTCCCCCATATAATCACATAAGAAATTTCACAGTAAATTGGTAATTCCATCTAATATATCATCCATGTTCAAATTTCCCCATTGCTCCAGCAGTGTCCTTCATAGTTTTATTTGAGTCTAAGACCAATGAAAGTCCATGCATTGAATCTGGTGGTGATGCTCTCCAACCTCTCTTAGTCCAGACCCCTGTACTCAAACTGTGGTCGTCACAACAGCAGCAGCAGTATCAGCTTCGATATTGTTAGAAAGGCACAACCCCAGTCCACCCCCTGACCTTCTGAACCAGAGTTTGCATTTTAACAAGATCTCCAGGGAAATTGTATACATCTTAAAGTGTAAGAGCTCTTCCTTGAAAAACACACACATACATATATATACACATACATACATGTACACTCATACCTACATGCATACACATGCATATGCCCACATACATGTATACACAAACATATGCATATACCCACATACCTATACATACATACATGCATATACACACATACATACACACATATACACACATATATACACCTACATATACACAAACACATATATACACATGCACATACCTACACACATCATACATATACACACACATAAACCTACACACACGACACACACATCTATACCCTTTTTATTTCTTGTGGCAGTGGCTTTTTTTGTTTTTTCGAAGAGTCCGAGCCAGTTGTCTCATGGAATGTCCCACATGGGAATCTGTCTACTTGTTTCCTTGTGATTAGATTCAGAGCAACATTTTTAGTGAGAAAACCATGTAGATGATGTCTTCAACTTATTACTGTATCATAGAAGAAAGCTCATAATGTCAGATGTCCTGACTTTTGGTGATGCTACATTTGATCATTTAGTTAAGATGGTGAATGTCAGGTCTCACCACTGGTAAAGGTCCATTTTTTTCCTTGTAATTTCTAGTTAACATGCGGGGTGATGCTTTGAAACCATAAGGATATACTGTTCCCCAGCACCTTTCACCTGACAGTTTCAGCATCCTTTATGCTCCTTGCTTGAAGATATTATTGCACTGGAGGTTGAAAAATGATAATTTTCTCATTCTGTCTACATTGATTAGTTGGCATTTTTCTGTAAAGAAGAGTTCCTCTCCTCCCCCATCCCTTCTCTCTCTCCCTTTTTCTCTTTCTCTTTCTCTCTCCCCTAGTCTATTACCAACCATAGACTCATGAATACAGTATTGTTCTGTTTGACACTCAAAAATTGATCTAAATTTGGCCTGTGGGAGCCCATGCAAGCTGGCAGCCATGTGCCTTATTCCTCTCTGCATGTCTAGTAGCTCTGCTACTCTGGGCAAGTGACTTCATCTCTTTCTCAGTCTCTTCTCTGGAAGTTAGATAATGTAACGATTGACCTTGATAGGTTTTTTGTAAGATGAAATGAGTGAGCACATGTGAAACATTTGGAACTGTGCCTGCCACGCGCTAAAGCCAATGTAAGTGCTTGTTATTACATATTCTTATCATCTTTATCATGATGATCATCACAACCACCACCATCACCACCTCCCAGCCCAGGCTTTGGCATGGCTAGAGCTCCACAGGCAGCCGAGGGAGGAAGGGATGGAGGAAGAGAGAAAGGGTAGAGTAAAAATCTTTAAGAGGAGAGATGATATGTCAGCAACCCCTGGAAGCCCCTTCCTTCCCACCCTTCCTCCCAACCCTTCCTCACTCCCCTGCTCATGACCACTTGTTTGCTAATATCCAGCCTCCAGAGTAGGTGTGAAGCCCACCCTATCCCCTCACCCATGGAGACATATTTGGTGAACTGAACTAACACAGGGCTGTTAGATAAACCCGAGTTCTGGCTGACAAGATGTGTGCTCTTTCCCATCTGCTGCCTTCTAAACAATGCTGGTCTTATTATTTCAAACGACACGCAGTTCTCTCTGTAAATCTGCTTGTCATGCCAATTCAGATTTTATGTAAGTGCATTTCTCATTTCATTTTCCTCTGCATACAAGTCACTGATGCAAGGCAGCTAAACCCCAGGTCTGCCACACTCCCTGAAGGATGACCTTGGCCTAGTCTTCACTTCCTTGACCCCAGAAGGCACCTTGGTTCTCATTACAGAGACCATGAGGAGTCTCTGAAAGTTCGGGGGTAGGGGTGGTAAATTATGAAACAAGAACAACAGGAAGTTGGTGCTTGTTGAAGCTGGCAATGAGTGTATGAGAGTTGGTTGTATTATTCTCCCTAATTGCATATGTTTGAAATTTTCCGTAATAAGAAGTTGAGAAGGAAAACCTCTAAGAGCTGGGCATCTGGGCTGAGTTTTGCAGGGTGAATAAGAGTTTCTGGTCAAATAAGGAGCAGAGGAACAATCCAGACAGAAAGGGATGTCACAAGAGTAGAGCCCAGAGCTGGGCAGTCTAGTGGAAGATTATTCTATTTCACCCTAAAATCGTGAAGTGTGATTCAGTTCTGGTACTAACCACCCATAGTGCAGACCCCAGAAGCTAAGGGCTCAGTCCTCCACAAGACTGTCTTTACCTCAGACACCAGCTCAAGTGGGGTCCCACATCACCTGCCCTTCTGACCAACTGGCTACAAATGTGAAGGCTCCTAGTATTCCCTTCAGATTTGATAATTCACTAAAATAGCTCACAGAACTCAGGAAAGCACTATACTTATTACTACAATTTTATTATAAAGGATACAAATCAGGACCAGCCAAACAACAAGGTGAGACCCAGGAAGGTCTTGAATATAGAGCTTTCGTGCCCTCTCCCTGTCCATCTGCCCACTCATCCATCTATCTGCCCACCTATCCATCCATCCATCCATCCATTCACTCATCTGTTCACCCATCCATCCATCCATCCATCCATGCATCTATTCACCAATCCATCCATCCATCCATCCACCTATCCATCCATCCATCCACCTATCCATCCATCTATCCACCTATCCATCCACCTATCCATCCATCCCTCCATCCATCCATGCATCTATTCACCAATCCATCCATCCATCCATCCACCTATCCATCCATCCATCCACCTATCCATACCTCCATCCATCCCTCCATCCGTCCCTCCATCCATCCCTCCATCCATCCATCCATCCATCCATCCGTGCCTTCTCCCTGTAGAATCAGGGCCTGTCACTCTCTGGCCCATCAGTGTATTCACCAACAAGGAAGCTCCACTGAGCTTCAGTGTCTACAGTTTTTATTGGGGTTTCATTACATAGACATGATTGATAACTCAATCTCCAGCCTCCCTCACCTTACTGGAAGTAAGGCTGGCTCCAAGCTCCAATCTAACCACCTGATTGGTCTTCCTGGTGACCAGCCTCCAGCCCAAGTCATCTCATCTCAGCATAAACTCATGTGTGATCCAAGGGGATCCTGCGTAACAAAGATACTCCTATCACTAAAGAAATCCAAGAGTTGGCCAGGCACGGTGGCTCATGCCTATAATCCCAGCACTTTGGTAGGCTGAGGCAGGTCCATCACGAGGTCAGGATATTGAGACCATCCTGGCCAACATGGTGAAACCCTGTCTCTACTAAAAAATACAAAAAAATTAGCCAGGCATGGTGGTATGTGCCTGTAGTCCCAGCTACTCAGGAGGCTGAGGCAGGGGAATCACTTGAACCTGGGAGGCAGAGGTTGCAGTGAGCTGAGATTGCACCACTGCACTCCAGTCTGCCGACAGGCAAGACTCTGTCTCAAAAAAGAAAGAAAGAAAGAAAGAAAGAAAGAAAGAAAGAAAGAAAGAAAGAAAGAAAGAAAGAAAGAAAGAAAGAAAGAAAGAAAGAAGGAAGGAAGGAAGGAAGGAAGGAAGGAAGGAAGGAAGGAAGGAAGGAAGGAAGGAAAGAAGGAAGGAAGGAAGGAAGGAATCCAAGAGTTTTACAAGCTCTGTACCAGGCACCTAGGGCTAAGTCCAGACAAATGTTGTTTTACACAACAAAGGTACAAGGCAACAGAGAACACTAGGCAACAGGCACATGCTGAGTTTCCCATCTACACCTCTGCTTCTCTGGGTGCTCTGATTTGTGCTATCACCTGATTCTCAAGACATCACTGTAGAGTATATGTGCAGGGGAGGGAGAGAGGAAGGGAGGAGAGAGAGAGAAATGGAGAAAGAGAAGTGGAGAAAGTGACAGAAAGTAGAAGAGAGGGGAGAATGAAAGGAATGAAGATAAGGGAGATGGCAGAGAGAGGGAAAGTGGGGGAGATAGAGTGGAAGAGAATGAAAAGAGAGCAGGAGGAAAGAGACGGAGGAGGGAGAGAAGAGAAAGATTTTAACTGCACTTTACAAGAAACTGAGCTCCAGAGAGGATGAATGTCCAATTCAAAATCATATGAAAGAAGCAGCAAGACTCAAATCCAGGTGAATCATATTCCAACATGTGCTTATTCTGGTCTGGAGAAGAGGGCAAAGTAAGGATTTTATATGAAAATAATGAAGTTTCTGAGACTTTATTCTGATGGGTAATAAGAATCCGCAGAGGCTTGTAAACAGGGGAACGCAGTAACAGCTGTGCCTGCAGCTCCATAGGACATGGACAGGAGGGAGGCAGAGAGAGGTGGCATGCCAGAAAAGAAGAGCCAGGTCTAAAGGGGCAGAGATGAGGCCCCACCTAGAGGATTCATAGGGAAAGGCAATGGGAGACAGAGCAGGGACAAGGGATGCGCTGCTGGCTGACCCGTTTCCATTTAGAAGCATGAGCCCTGGCCGGGCATGGTGGTTCACACCTGTAATTCCAGCACTTTGAGAGGCTGAGGCAGCTGGATCACCTGAGGTCAGGGGTTCAAGACCAGCCTGGCCAACATGGTGAAACCCTGTCTCCACTAAAAATACAAAAGAATTAGCCAGGTGTGGTGGTGTGTGCCACCTGTAATCCCAGCTACTCAGGAGTCTGAGGCAGGAGAATCCCTTGAGCCCAGGAGGCAGAGGTTGCAGTGAGCCAAGATCATGCCAATGCACTCTAGCCTATGCGACAGAGTGACATTCTGTCTTAAAACAAAACAAAACAAAACAACCACAATAAAAAACAAAGAAGCATGAGGCCTTCCCCAGCCATGTAAACACAAGTTGGCTTATTATGTTATACAATATCCAGCCTCTGCTTTCTGCACATGTGTATGTCAGACAATTCTGCTTTTATGCAAATTGCTGTGTAATCCTTTCATCATCTAAGACATCACTGCTGCTGAATCCACCTGGTCCTCCTATCCCCCTGACAGTCTATACTAGTCATCCTACAGCAAAGAGGTCTATGGGCATATCCCCCCACCTTGAATTGCCAAATGAAATCTACCACGAACCAAGTGGCTTGAGGATTTTGCACACTGTCCCAGGCAGGTCAGGCAGAGCATTCAGGGGCAGCCCAGCCTGTCTCCTTTAGAGAGCCACACCTCCCTCATGCTGCTGGGTTCTGGAGAGAATGTTGGGGACAGCACACCCCACACACGCTTGCTACAGTGCAAGGCTCACATCCAGCCACAGCCACATGTGGCTCTTCATCCTCCAGCAACAGTGATGGGTCCAAGGGCAGCCAATCAGAATCATTGCTTGGAAGGAAAGCTGTCCTATTTCGGTTTGGGTTCATGCCAATCACATTCTATAAAGGTATGAAGGGCATCCTCCAGGCAAAGGCAAGAAGGGACTGGGGGTGAAAGCAGAGGGAAATAGAGAAGGAAAGTGAGAGAGATCACAATGTATATGAGGCCCTGGCTCAACCCCTGACGTTTCAAGTTATGTGAATCAATTATTCTGTTTTTCTTCAAGATAGTTATAAGCAAGTTTATTTCACTGGAGACGGTCATGCTAATCTATGGCATTGCTTTGAAATCGGTCATTTTCCATCTACTATTGTTGTTAGTAATTATCAGTAGCGGGCAGTGGCTCACACCTGTAACCCCAGCACTTTAGAAGACTGAGGCAAGAGGACTGCTTGAGGTAGCAGTTCAAGACCAACCTGGATAACATAGTGAGACCTCATCTCTACAAAAAAAAAATGTTTTAATTAGCCAGGTTTGGTGATGCATGCCTGTGGTCCCAGCTAGCCAAAAGGCTGAGATGAGAGGATGGCTTGAGCCCAGGAGTTGGGCACTGCAGTGTGCTATGATTATGCCACCATACTCCAGCCTGGATGACAGAGGAGACCCTGCCTCAGAAATAAACAACAACAACAAAAAACTATCAGCAGCATCCACTGGACTGTGCATCCAGGCAGCGAACTATTGGCTGCATTTGTCATTTTATTCCATCCTTGTTTAACCTGGAGAGATGAGCAGCAGTATTTCTTTTTTTTTTTTTTTTTTTTTTTTTTTTTTTTTTTTTTTTTTTTGAGAGAGAGAGTTTTGCTTTTGTTGCCCAGGCTGGAGTGCAGTGGTGTGAACTCGTCTCACCGCAACCTCCCCCTGCCAGGTTCAAGCGATTCTCCTGCCTTAGCCTCCCGGGTAGCTGGGACTCCAGGCACATACTACCACGCCCAGCTAATTTTCATATTTTTAGTAGGGACAGGGTTTCATCATGTTGACCAGGCTGGTCTTGAACTCCTTGCCTCAAGTGATCCACCCGCCTCAGCCTCCCAAAGTGCTGGGATTACAGGTGTCAGCCACCACACCTGGCCAGTATTTCATTTTATAGATGAGGATACTAACACTTGGACAGGTTTAGTGAATTGTTCTCAGATTCTTACCTTCTCAGCTTGTAAGTGATAAAGCCACTATGCAGATGGGAAAACTAAGGACTGGGGGAGAAAGTGATCTACTCAGTGTCACAGAGTAAGTCAAACTAGCAGCAGGATGCAAACTCAAAACCCTGAGTTCTCAGTCTAGTGCTCTGTTGGTCAGATCTGAACTATTTCAACAGACCAAAGGAGCTCTCCAAGGAACAGGATATGCCATTAGGCTGACTGCTATTCTGCCTTCCTGGATCCTCCCATTCACGTTTTAACCAATGTCAGGGGCTTAGAGGAAGGGCACATTCAGGATCCATGGACTGGACAGAAGTGTTTTTACTTTGTTTGTAGAGTGGCATAACAATTTGATTCAATACCTTACAACTGTGAGATTGCACACACAAATCTGGGCTATATCTTGGCAGCAGATTCCACTGGGCTTGGTGATGGATTGAATGTGGGAGTCTGACCCAGACTGAGAGCAGAGTGTCAACCAAACACAGTAAGTCCACCAGAGTCCCTCCCTCCCTGTCCCTGTTTCCATTCAGCAAATTGTTTCTGGCATTTCTACTACATGCCTAAGATCTGAGACAGCCAGAAACAAAGATGACACAGCCCTAGCTCCCAGATGATGCCTATGACAGGCAGATGTTTTTCTCCAATACTGCCATGTAACAAGTCCAAACTCTCAGTGGTGCAACATCATTTATTGCTTTTAAGTCTGTAGATTTACCGTTCTGGCTTTGGGGAAGTGGGGCAGGTTTGGGTGTGCTCCATGTCTCTCTCCAAGACCAGCAGCAAATACGGGCATTGTCTTCTCATAGCAAATAGCAGAATTGCAAGAGTCTGAGCAAAACTCCACAAATACAATTAAGCCAGACACAGTGGCTCATCCTGTAATTCCAGCACTTTGGGAGGCCAACGTGGGAGGATCTCTTGAGCCCAGGAGTTCAAGACCAGCCTAAGCAACATAGCAAGACACCATCTCTACAAAACAATACAAAAATTAACCAGGTGTGGTGGCTCACACCTGTAGTCCCAGCTACTTGGGAGGCTAAGGTGGGAAGATCATTTGAACCTGGGAGGTCAAGGCTGCAGTGAGCCATGACGGTGCCACTGCACTCCAGCCTGGGTGACAGAGTGAGACCCTGTTTCCAAAAAAAAAAAAAGAAAGAAACAAAACCTGCTTTTGCCACACCTACTAGCATTTTCTTGGCTAAAACAAGCTTCATGGTCATGTCCAAAGTCAATGAGAAATGAGACTGAGATAAGTACACTACCTTTCCTATAGATATTGCAAAGTCATATGGCAAGGGGGTACGGATGTATAATACTATTATATGAGAAGGGAGTAAAGATATGGTACTATTCAGTATTCATAATGGATCAGTCTTTTAAGTCATTGATTTGCCACTCTGCTGGGCCCTGGGGGAAAGGAGGTTGGAGAAGCAATAGAGTGGACTGATGTCAGTCTCTGCGTTAAGCCAGAACACACCTGCAGCTGTTAAATAGAGAATAGGAGATCGCAGTGGAAAACGCACTGGAGAGAGTGGAGCAGGTTGCATGCCCTAGCCTTTGGAAGGCGGAGAACAGCCAGGCTTGGTGGTTCTGGGACTCACGGCCAGAGGCAGGTGTCAAACGTCAAAGAGCCAGCTCCTCTTACTACCAGAGACCAAGTCAAGGCTAATGAGGAGGAGGCCCAGGAACAGGCCCTGGTGGGCAAATGCAGCTGGCTCCACCAGAGGCAGTTCTCACTAATTGTGCTTCTTTGGCAGATGACTCACCAAACAGAGGACTCAATCCCAAGCCCAGTGAGGGTCCAGCAGCCTTCAGGCCAGGGCCTTGGAGGCAGGCTGAGCACTGGGCAGCCAGCCAGACCAGATTCTGCTTGAAAGTGCCTGAAAACCTCCAGCCTGAGTCGCTTAGGTTCTGAAAACTCTGCCTCAACTCACTTCAAGCCTAGGTTTCACTGGAGAAAAGTTATGTGATGAGAGGAAGGAGGAAAGGAAAGATAGTGACTGGAAAAGAATTTTTACAAGTTCACAGAGTGGTTCTTTGAAGGGGTGGAGTCCTTGCTGGATGTGGTTCTTCTGCACTACACAGGAGACCATCCTCCTTTCTACCCACTCCTACCCATGACTCTTTAGAAAAGCCTGGCAGAGGGTCCTTCATAATAGCATCCTTGGTTCCTCGGTGAAATTCACCAAAACAGTGACCTATGTCTCCATTAGCTGCCAAGACACATCCAGGTGCCTCACTTGGGGCTCTGGTGGCAAACCTGGGGTGGAGAAATAAGCTTCCACCCATTAAATTGGCCCATGCAACCAGGAAGTCTCACCCATGCCAGGCTTCAGGACTCAAATCAGCTTGAGCATATGCTTGGGAAGAAATGCATAATCAATTTCAAGGTTGTGCCCTCATCTCCTAGATTCGAAAATCACACAGATGATCCAAGTTCATGAGAATAGCAGACATGAACAAACCTACTTCCTACACTTTACAGATGGGGATACTGAGGCTTTGGGTTCAAGCAGGTCCTCAAATATTAATTTTGCTAATAAGAAAAGCAAACAAAATGAGGATTTATTTCTGGGCCAGATGCTATGCCAAGGATCAGGGCAGCTGCCAACACTTGCCCATTTGTAAGGGACCTGGGACAGTACACATGGCTTGGTGAGCAGAGTGTAGGCCGGATTTCAGCCCCCGTTTGCCGCCCAGCCAGGTTCTCTTAGGCAGTGTGTGACAGGCACAACTGTACATGGCAGCCCTACTCAGCACTCTCCTTATGAAGAAGACACTATTTGTAGCATCAATTTAGAGACAAGAAAAATGGGGATTAGAGAAAGTAATTTGCCCAACTTTATGTAACTATAACATACAAGTCTCTAGAGTTTGTGATCTTAGAAAACAGAATAACACAATCGTTATCTGCCTCACTCCATTTTGTTTTTGGAGCAGCCAAATATTTTATTGGTTTAGGGTTACTTGGCAAAAAAAAAAAAAAATTGGGTTTCTAGGAATGGTTAATAACATATTAACTAACACAATGTCAAAGATCTAGTTGTATGTTTAGAAGCACAAAATCATGATGGGCAGATCTAGGGGAGACATTTCATCCAGTTTCACAGCCTCCTACCCCACACCAAGAATTTGAGAAGTGATTTGCCCAAGGTCTCACCTGGAGTCAGGGGCTGAGCCAACGCTGGAACCCAGGCCCTGACACTGAGGCCAGTGGTTCCCATTCCACCTGGCCAAGTATGGATGCCCTTCCAGCTTTGTGCTGTGTCTGGAGACAGGGTAGGCAGAACAGGGAAAGGAAGGTCCAAGGCAGCCCCTCTAGAGTCCAAGTCCTTAACCAAAAGCTCAGGACCAGGGCTTGGAAGGAAAAAGGCTGAAACAAGAACCACTGTATGGGCCCTTGCCAACTTACTGCCCTGCTCCGTCCCTGAGATGAAAAGGCCACCTCATTCCACAACCGTATTCTAGGTTTTCATAGGCAAGAACCCAGCCACAGCTCTCTGCACAGCAATGCATTCTTACTGTTACATAAGGGAAGGAGTGCTCTACCAAGGGAAGCTCCCACATTGTCTTCTCCCATCAGCCCTTAAACAGACCCATTACCCCGATAAAAACCAAATGGCCTGTAATGCCCTACTGCACAATGCACCATGCCTCTAAGCCTTTGCCCGTGCTGTCACCTCTGCCTGTCCCCACTTCCTCCTGATGGCATTCTTGGCTTGCCTAGGTCCTAGGGATCCCCCAAGACTCAGCACGGGAAGTACCCCTTCTAGGAAGGCTACTCTAATACCTCCCACCTTGTGCTCTCAACACATGAACTCCTGAACTAAATGTCTTTCCTTATGGGCTCCCAAAATGCTTTCCTTTCTCTCTCATTGAATGAGATATTGTGACTGTTTCTTTCCCCTCATGGCTTGTAAAGGACAGGGACCATTTTATATTATATTAACACTAGGAATCATATAGCCCTTGTGCACTGCACACTGTATAATAGATGCTCAATAAACATGATGAACGAATGAATGAATGAATGGGGAATGAATGAGTAAATGAATGGGGAATGCTTATTAAGCACATGAAGAGTAGATGTGGTAAGTTGTAAAGTGCTGCCCCACTGCCAAGGATAGCCACAGCCAACAGTGGGTGCTTAATAAAACTTAGTTTGAATACAACTAAAAGGCCAGCCAGGACCCCCAGATGGCTGAGGGCATCCTGATGGTGCCTCCAGCCATCTGGACTGTGAACACCATTAAGCACATCCATCAATTCAGCAGCATCTCTGGGCCTCAGCCCAGAAGGAGTTCATGCACCCACAGCCTATGGTCCTGCAAGAATAATGATGAGGGAGGAAGAGTAATAAAGAGAGGACGGTGGAATAACTAAGCAGCCACCAGGACATTTACCGGAGCCAGGGGGAGCCCCTGGAACCTCAGACAGGACCTGGAGAAACGCATCTGCAGAAATCAGGAGGGCTTGTCAGAAACCAATGGCACACACAGAAGTCAAGGTTAGAAGGGACTGTTTTTCTCCCGATGACTTCCAGGTACTTCAGAGAGGGGCCATTACGATGATGCATAGCCAGAGAGCCCCTCAGGGAGACTGCCTCCTCTTGAGGACAAAATATTAAGCCATCGGTCAAATGTAAACACCCTCCCATCAGGAATCTTGTTGAGGATAAAGCACCGTGATTCTACATCATCCACAGCTTAAGACCTAGCAGAGGAGGGGAGGCACAAGGAAAGGTCATTGATGGAGGAGCTTAGGTTGGTGCTCAGGTGGAATGGCTGATTTTAGGAGGGCACAGCTGCTACACCATCATCAGGGGGCCACCAGGCTACAGTTCCACCCCAGGGAAAGGCACTGAAAGGGACAAGAATTTGCTCTGAATGCCCAGTGGCCACAAGGAGCTGATATGTATCTCACCCATACCAGACACTGCGTATTGAGTTCCACCCATGTGTTTAATTTTTGGGACCATGCTCCTCATCTTCACACAAAGAAGGGGCCAGCATACCCACTTTAGAAGCTTAGACTCTGAGGCACAGGGAGGATAAAACCCTGCCCTAAATGGCACATCTAGGAAATGTTGGGGGCCAAGATGTGAATCCTGCATGTGTTCCCAGTGTTCCTTGTCTGTCTTCTGCCCCACATCAGCTGTTTTCCCTGATCATTCTTTGTCCCTGGTGGTCAAGGCTAACCTATTCTGGCTCAGCATGGGTGGAGAGCCTCCAATGCACCAAGCACCCTATTCATTCTCTTGTTAGAACTTCATTGCTCTAGGCCAGGCACGTTGGCTCACACCTGTAATCCCAGCACTTAGGGAGGCCAAGGCAGGCAGACCACTTGAGGTAAGGAGTTCAAGACCAGCCTGGCCAACATGGTAAAACCCCATCTCTACTAAAAATCCAAAAAATTAGCCAGGCGTGATGGTATGCACCTGTAATCCCAGCTACTAGGGAGGCTGAGGCAGGAGAATCGCTTGAACCTGGGAGGCAGAGATTGCAGTGAGCCAAGATCATGCCATCGCACTCCAGCCTGGGCAACAGAGCAAAACTCTAAAAAACTTTATTGCTCCATCATTCCTTCAACACATATTTATTGTTCCTACTGTGTCCCAACTTCTGTGCTGGGCATGAGGTAGGGGAAGAGTGATGATAGCATCTCTGAGGCAACTCTAGCTTTTTAAATGTTCAGGAAACCTCGCTCTTCTGGTTGTTGGAGCAGTTCTGTGAAGTGAGAATGGCCATGTCCACTGGACAAGTGAGAAACTGAGGCTTAGAAGGGAGGGGGAAACAACTGTATGTTCTCTACATGCCTGATGCTGTGCACGGAACTCAGCCTTCTTCATTCTGTGGATGGAGGAACTGAGCCATGGAGGTGAAGCAGATGACACAGAGGTCATAACTTCCAGAACTGGGGACTCAAGCCCACTTTTCCTGCCTCCTCCATCCACCATCTCTCAAATATGGAATTTTTAATTTGCTGTCATGGACTGAACTGTGTCCCCTGAAGCCCTCATCCCCAAAAAGACTGCTTTTGAAGATAGGGTCTTTAAGGAGACAATTATAGTTTAATGCGATCATAAGGATGGGGCCCTATCCCATAGGACTGGAGTCCCTATGAGAAGAGGAAGGGACATCAGCGTGCTCTGTCTCTCCACGTACACAGAAGAAAGGCCACATGAGAACACAGTGAGAAGGTGGCTATCAACAAGCCAAGAAGGGAGACCTCACCAGAAACCAACCCTGCTAGCAACTTGAATTTGGACTTCCAGCCTCTAAAACTCGGAGAAAATAAATATCTGTTGTTTAAGCCACTCTGTGGGGGTATCTTGTTATGGCAACCACAGCCAATTGATACAGCCACTTTCAAGGACTGGATTTCTTTTTGCCTGCTGGGTTCTTTTACAGCCCTCTCGCCCCCTTGTTTTCCTCATATCATGGCCAGCTTATTTACTCCATCTTGATGACGAGGCTTTTACTACCATCCAGTCTGCATGTGCCACAGGGATCTGTCCCTATTCCTGGAGCCCAGAGAAGGAGACTGCCTGAAGCCTTTATCAGGCCTAGCCACTTACAGCAGCGATGGGCAAATCTCTCACGAAGAGTAGCGATGTTACCTAGGACTAAGGATGCTGAGAGCTGGAACAGTGGAGGGGGCTGGTCCCAGACCACAGTGTCACTGCCATCAAGGTGGGACCATTTCCCATTGCAGAAGCCAGCAGACTCAAGGTCCACAGGCCTTCTGCCACCTCCCAGGCCACACGGTCTACTGAAAACAGTTTGGACTTGAGAGCCTGACCTGAGTTTAAATTCTGTCTCTGCCACTGGCTGAGAGACCAGTAATCAATAGGGCTTTTGGCCAACATCCCAGCGCTGTCCTCTCAGGCATGTGGTAAGAATGATCTTCCCACCTCCTGGGAGCTGAGTGTGGCCATGAGACTTGCTTTGACCTAAGAAATGAAAACTTTAAGGACCAATGCATTTTTTTTTCCATTTGGCATGGCAAACAGCAAAGTTTCAGATTGTGTCTGCTCCATCATCCTGGGTTCCTAAATAAGGAAAATGAGAAGAAAAACGCATAGCTGTCCTGCAATGGGTACATCGAATGATCAAGAAATAAGTCTTTGCTTTCGGCCACTAAGATTCTGGGGTTATTTGTTACTATAGCATAACCTAGCTCATCTTGACTGCTACAGTGACACTGACTAAATCACAGCCTCCTTGAGACTCAATTTCTGCACCTGTAAAATGGGGACAACTGTATCTCATAGTTTTCAAAGTACCATGCTTGGTACACTGCGGGCCTTTGACACGTCAGCTTGCTCACTCTCTTCTCTGCACTGTTTTCCCACAAGTCCTTCTCATGATGGGATTAGACATTTTGAGACATAATTTCTTTAGGTCAGATGTTTAGGCACAGACATCTATGTGTTCCTAGCACCCTGTACTGGGCTGGCACCATGGCAGATAATCGGTAAATATTTATTATTAAGCAAATATACAATGATTAATCACTTACTGAGTGGTCGACTTTGTGCTGGCCACCAGAGACCAAAGTCTCTGATCATTTCTCTTGCCTTTCACCTTTCAGTGTAGGTATATTGTCTTTCTTCCCAGTCCAAGGTAGCACTTAATTCTAGCTCTCCTGGCTAGGTGGGCAAATCCCCTTCTCTCTTCTAGTAGTAGAATCCCCTCAGCGAGGCTCCTGCCTATCGATCTCTCAATCTCTGCCAAAACACTTTCAGCATTTGAGAGCTCACTACCTACAAAATGCGCTTCTAAAATTAGAATTACACGGCAGTAGGTTTGGCTCTGGACCAAGTCCATGAGCCCTTCCAGCAACCCTGCGAAGTATGTGTCATTGATGTCACCCCATCCTGTAAACAGGAAGCTAGGATACAGAAAGGAAATTGTCCAAGGTCACACAGCCTTGGTGAGGTATGACTGTAATTTTCTAGGCACACATGCATGGTATGCATGCGATAAATTTTATGGGTTGATTGACAGCTCCGTCCCTGGGAGGGGGTTTCTAGTGACTCCAAATCTCTATGGAACCCCAACCCCAGAATTTCCAGTTTGGCTTTTGGGAATCTTAACAATGCAAACAGCCCTTCATCTCTATTAGAATGTAAATCTCAATAAATGATTTCCAATAACACAGTCCTTGCCAGGAAAGGAAGCATTCACACTGTTGCTCGTGCATACTATAGGTTAATATTTCAGGATGCATTAAATGTATAAATGTTTAGAGAGTGGCAAAGTTCCAGTTGTGAGCCAAGTCACTTTACAGAAAAAAACGAGATGCTGAAGGAGAGTATTTTTAGACTTGGACCCAACCTGACACTACCCGTAAGTACTTTGTGTTCGTGGGCAGAGTATGCAATCCTGCTACTGATTTGCCAGGAAGGAAAATAACATGTTGGTTTCAAACAGATGTTCCTGAACCCTTGATGGAAGCTGATGACTTCAAGATGGGCTGACTACTTTGTGGCTTCTTTGGAGACAGTTGAAATTAAGATGGGATCTGGGGCATGACGGAGCACCACATTTGCCAAAGATGTGCTGGAATAACTAAGCAACAGACATGGGTCAGATTAGCCATGTGCTGAAGCCAAAGGCACATGCAGGAAACCGGAACATTTTCTTGGCCCTTGGAGGACACAGGAGGAATGCTGATGGGCAACATATTTTAAGTAAATATGAGATTGAACCATATAAAATTGCTGATATTTAATCTTTCTCGACCAAAAATATGGCACTTGGAGGTGTTTCAATCAGATATACACATAACCCCACATCCCCAGCAGCAGACACATAACTGTCTGCAATACAGACAATTGTCCACAATTTAGAACACCAGCCAAGTAAACTCTGGAGTTTCTGTGATGGAGTTAGACCCAGGTATTTTTGCCAAGATAGGAGAGGGAGGGGGGGGAAAGGCAGAAAAGCTATGAGTACACTCTGGGGGAACAGACCAGTTAAAATCCCAACCAAGCTGTCTGAGCCTGGCATCTGTCAGCAGCTGGCATCACCATAGTCCTAGCACCTGAGCTGTGGAGCAGGGAGCCCCAGACCTACAGACAAACTGACTGGGTTAAGTCCTGATTTTACTCCTTTCAAGCTTTAGTGGGTTGAATGCAGAGCCCCAAAAAGATATGTTCTTATCCTAATTCCCTGAACCTGTGAGTATTACCTTGTATGGTGTATTAGTCAGGGTTCTCTAGAGGAACAAAACAAATAGGAGATACATATATATATATAAAGGGGAGTTTATTAAGGAGTATTGACTCACACAATCACAAAGTGAGGTCCCACAACAGGCCATCTGCAAGCTGAGGAGCTAGGAAGCCAGTCCAAGTCCCAAAATCTCAAAAGTAGGGAAACTGACAGTACAGCCTTCAGTCTGTGGCCAAAGGTCCAAGAGTCCCAAAGCTGAAGAACTTGGAGTCTTGATGTTTGAGGGTAGTAAGCATCCAGCTTGGTAGAAAGATGGAGCCCAGAAAACTTAGCCATTCTAGTTTTTCCACATTCTTCTGCCTACTTTTTATTCTGGCCACACTGTCAGTTGATTAGACTGCCCACCCAGATTGAGGGTGGGTCTGCCTTTCCCAGTCCACTGACTCAAATGTTTATCTCCTTTGGCTACATCCCCACAGGCACACCCAGGAACAAAACTTTGCATCCTTTAATCCAATCAAGTTGACACTCGATATTAACCATCACATATGGGGCAAAAGATGTCCTTAAGTTAAGGACATTGAAGGAAAGGACTTAAATCCAATGACAAGTGTTTTCATATGAGACAGACACAGAGAAGAGAAGGCAGCACACAGGACAAGGAGGAAGCAATGCGACTGCACAGGCAGAGGTTAGAGAATTTGATGTGGCCACAAGCCAATGAGTGCCTGGAGCCACCAGAAGCTTGAAGAGGCAAGGAACAGATTCTCCCCTAGAACCTCCAGAAGGAGTACAGCCCCACCAATACCTTGATTTTATACTTCTGGTCTCCAGAATTGTAAATGAATCAATTTCTGTTGTTTTAAACCAATAAGTCATTTGTCACAGCAGCCACAGGAAACTTATACACGAGTCCTCTGCCTCAGTTTCCTTGTCTGTAAAATGGGATAAGAACTTCAGGAGATGGTGCACTGGAACACTTTAGCAAGGAATCTAGTATATACTAAGCACTCAATGAATGTAAGATGAAATAAGCTAACCACCACAGGGACAGAGAATTGCATCAGACCCAAGGAAACGAAGATAGTTGCTGCCGTGTGTGTGTTTGGAGCTTCAAAGATGTGAAAAGGTGCAGTGTTCTTGAGACCTGTCTACCTTGCCCCAGCAGTAGTTCCTCCAGTCACAAGTGGGAGCCAAGAGCCCTTCTCAGATAACTCAAACAACACCAGCAAAAACTACTTCTGTTAAAAAAAATTTTTTGAAAGTATTCAGGAAGAGTCCGTTTTCCTTACAGAACTGCATGTTGGACACAATTCAAGCAATCGGGAACCTGGCATTTTGAGCTTGTTCAACCATTGAAAAAGTATCAAAAATACAGTTTAAAAAAAAATAGCACACAGGGGAAGAAAATGGTTATTAAAAATGCTTAAGAGCCTTCCTGAACTTCAAATGGGCTCTTCACAACAATAATACTGATGATTTAAGGGAAAAAATGAATCAAGACTCTATTGATTAAATGTTCCTTAAATTATATGTGGGTTTTAAAATGTGTGGCAGTATGCAAAGCACGTTGGAGGTAAAATGTTTGAAAAATCACCCAAGACATTTAAAGAATTTGAATGTAGCTGCAGCTTCAGCCCCAGGAGGGAGTAGCCTGGGCTCCAGAGAAAAGAAGGACCATCAAGAGCATCTATGACCCAGGCCAGTAGTGCCTAATTCCAGAGCCCCGATGGCAAGGAGGGATGTCTGCTTCCTGCTGCCATGGCCCTGGTCTCCCTAACTCCCTTGTCATGGCTTCATATACACAACCTCAGCCCATCATTCATTCCAGAAACACGTCTTGAGCACCTCCTAGGTACCATGCCCTGTGCTCAGAGCCAGGGGAGATGCAGCACACAGGCTAATGTGGCCACAGATGTGAAAACACTCATTATGATTCAGGGGGTTGATAGCCACGAAATGAAGGACCCACTGGGATAGTCCCTCCCCCATCCAAGGAGATCAGGGGGCTTCCTGGAGGAAAGGAAATCGACGATGAGATCTGAAAGGTGAACCAGGATGCAGAGAGAATGCAAGGGAAGAGAGAAATTCACACAGCAGGCAGGGGAGTGGCACATGCAACATCCCAAGGTCAGAGGCACAGGGCATTTAAGAACAAAAGCAATGAAGCCAGGCCTGCTTCAGGGCCCTCCATCTGGGTCACCTGCTCAACCTCCCCTCAGTAGCCATGGACTCCACTTCCCACAAGACTCTGGGCTCTGCTTACCCAGTGGCTTAGTCTCTTAAATTCCTGAGTGAGAAACTCATCTTCCCTCCTCCCGCCAAGAATCCCACTGGCTCACCCCAGACCTCATGGTGGGGACACTCAGGCAGCACGCAGGGAGGCCTGAGGTACATATGGAAACGTCGCAGTTTGGAGGACAAAGCATCTCTCCAGCAACCTGGCCCTCTCTATGTGATGGGATTCCCTCTTCCTACTGCAAGTGGTGTCAGTTCACAAGTTCTGTCTACCCCTTCACACCTCCCCACCCCACCAGTGCAGGCAGAGCTGTGGTTTTCCTCTGCCTCCTCTAACCCAACCTATATGGAGCTTCAGAGGAAGAGAGCCTGAACGTAAAACCCTTGGGAACTGCTGAAGGAAAAGATGGAAGCCTGGGGGCCAGGATCCTTTCCTCCCCCATTAGTCCTCATTGTGAACAGGGACCATTCCCTCCTGGCCCTGGAAGTAGCCTCTGGAGGCCCAGCAATAGCCTGATGCAAAGGCAAGAGCAGCTCTCTCCCCTGGGCAACATTCTTCATGCACTATTAGGATCCCAATTCAACCCCTTCCACTATGAGCAGCACAAGAGCAGGGACCTCATCAATTTTGGCTTATCTTTGTTCCCCTCCAGGCGGCCCCATGCATGGCACAAGAAAGTGCTAGTTACATGCAGTGAAGGAATGCATGAATGCATAGACATCCTGGTTACCATGCACTGGACCATACATTATGGTCCTGAAGCTCACCATGACCTATGAGGCAGGAAGGACAGAGCCTCCTCAAAGACTCATTCAAAGCAGACTGGACCAAGATTTCACAGCAGTGAGAAGCAAAATTAGGAGAAGAGCCCAGGCCTCTGGGTCTCTGCATGCACACACCACCACAACCTGGGCCTCACTTTTCCTATCATGCTGCTGGCTCTCCTAATATAATCAACCTTTGGCTATATCAATCAGAGCACCCAGCAAGGCACCAAATGAGAGAAAGGGGAGGAGAAAGAGAAGGGAAAGAAGAAACAGCCTCAGCCCTTGAGAAGTTGGCTGGTGGTACTGAAGAATTACATATTTGATTTTAAGATATTATTCCCCCTTCTCTTCTCCTTCCACAAAGTAGTACATGGCCCATTTATATATTTAATTAGAGTGGATTAAAATTAATAACATCTTGAGTGGTTCCTGACCCT
The DNA here is from genome assembly GCF_000001405.40 of Homo sapiens. NCBI lineage: Eukaryota > Metazoa > Chordata > Mammalia > Primates > Hominidae > Homo > Homo sapiens. The sequence continues at coordinate 66,041,116 of NC_000016.10, forward strand.
TCTTGAGATAATTGGAGACACCCTGGGTTGATAAGAAACCAGGAGGAAGAATTGGTGATCTAACCGACAGAGGCTGAACTTTTTCATGTGCATGTAATCAGTGCATCCCCTAATCACCCTCTGTATATCTTTTAACTAAGATAGGTATCCTTATGATGTGGAGTCACGTCCTGTTCCCCAAGCTGCAGAGCTGAACGCTTGCCCTGGGCAGGCAGAGGGTTTAAAACCTATCCTGCCTGCATTCATCAACCAACATGCAGCTCTCATGGATATTTTAACAGATGTTTTAACAGATTTGTATTGCATTATTTGTTTCTATAGGTACAGATATTTTTAAACAAACATTTTGAACACTTACTAGGTGCCAAGGAATGTGCTACATCTACTCACATCCATTAACACATTCATTCTTCATCACAATGCCCTGCGGGAGTGAGGGGTGGTATTATTCTCTCCCACTTGACATTTGAAGGAACCAAGGTGGAAGATGGCACAGAGGGGGGAACTAGTTCCACCCAAGACATGGCTGTCATGAGCACCTTCATCTCAGGCTTTGATAGGACTTGTGTGATCTCCAATGCTCATTGCTCAAGCTCTGTTCTCAGCACAGCAGCTACAGGCATGAGTGACAGGTCTGAGAGGGGTCCCCCAGGTTGTCTGAATATGTCTCACTTTCTCAAACCAAAGAATGAATGAGCAAGAGCTGAAGAATAAGCCATGACCACCCTGAGAAATCAGAGTGACAGATCCAGCCCAGCCAGGACCCCCCCTACCTCCCAGGCCTCTGCCAGCCACATTGCACACGATGGCCTGGTGGATGGGGAGTCAGCAGTGAATCCAGATCCTGCCCTGCCACTTCCTGTGGAGGCAGATGTGTGATCTTGGATAAGCCACCAAGGTGCACCCAGTGGGCACTTCTGCACTGATAAATGAGCAGGTTAATACCTGTCCAGCAGAGCTTTAATAATAACAAAGGCGTCATTGAGTGCCTGACATGATATTCATTGTTCTGCTGATGAGGAAACAGGTTTGGAGTCACATAGTCATACGGAGAAACCCGTCTGTTTTCACACCTCCTGACTCCTCACAATGCAGGGCACCAGATTTCCTGGCCCACAGGGAGGACAATGAGTTTTAAATAGTAATTGAGAAAGGAATTTTTGTACTTTCCTTTGGGTCTTCCTTAGAGGCCAGTAACAACCCCTTCCCCACCACCCCTGCCAGTACATCTCCACTCCAAGTCCTGATGCTTCTCTCCTTTTTCATTTGAGCAAAATGGCCCCATCACCCCCAAACCTCCCTCTCCTCCCTGCCTTCTGTCCTCCGAATGACAGATTAAAAGCACACCTGTATTTTCTGCAGTGAGGACTACGCTCATGAGTGGGACAGCATTTTTGGGTCAAATTAGGTCAAGTCCGATCAGCAGCCTTGGAGCCGCTACAGCATTAGGTAACCAACTCAAGGCTGGTTCCGCCCGGAGCCATTTAATTTTGGGGAAGCAACATTTAGCTGACTTGAAAGAAGGGGGAAGCAAGCTTGCAGAAAGAGATTGATTTCCACAAAACACAAATTCATACTTACTAAATGCCTTAACACTTTGGAATCAATTAAAATGAGATAGAGAAAAAGACACAAAGAAATAGAGGATAACAGGAAAGAAAGAGGGCAGGGAGGAGAGAGGCTTACTGGGGAGCAGAACAGAAGGACCTCAATCCAAGGAGACGACTCCCTTGGGAAAGAGAGGAATCCTGGGGTGCTAGAAGATTTCATTTTGTAGATCTGGGGGACTGGTGGTCATGGACCAAGGGTCAAGGGCTCCCAGTTAGGGTCAGAATCAGCTTCAAGGGCATGAAGGTAAGGGGTTAAACAGTCTAGACCCCATATCCACAGGTTCTGATTCATTAGGTCTCTGGAAGACTGGGAATCTGCCCATCTAACCATCCACAGGATCCAGTGCAGGTGGTCTGGGACCACACTCTGCAAAGCAAGAACTAGACTAGAGAGATCATGCTGTGCCCCTGGTCACCATGGTAGCAGCAATGACCACAGGCATTGCTTATCCCTAGGATTACTGCAGGAAACCTGAAGACAAACAGCAAAAAGACCCTTGCATCAGCCCCTCCAGAGAAGATGAGGCCTTTTGGAGAAATCTTTAAGGGGAAGAAATCAGCAAAATTTGGGAGATGAGGTTGGTCAGAGAGATGGAGAAAGGGGTGGTCTTTGAAATCTCTCAGGCTCCTGGCTTGGGTAGCCTGCTTCCCAAGAAGCATGACTCAAAACAGGGCTGGACCACTTTGGAAGACAGTTTGGCAGTTTTTTACAAAAAACTAAACACACTTGCACCATATGATCCAGCCACTGTGCTCCTTGGTATTTACCCAAAAGGGTCAGAAACTAGCATACACACAGAAACCTGCACACAGGTTTACAGTGGCTTGAGTCATAATTGCCAAAACTTGCAAACAACCAAGATGTCCTTCAGTAGGTGAATAAAGAATCTGGGGTACATCCACAGGTGGAAGGAATATTACTCAGTGCTAAAAAGAAACTATCAAGCTATGAAAGGACATGAGGAAATGTAAACACATATTGCTAAGTGAAAGAAGCAAATCTGAAGATGTTACATACTGTGTGAATCCAACTTATGACATTCCAGAAAAGACACAATCATGGAGACTGTAAAAAGATCAGTGGCTCCCTGAGGCTAGCGGGGAGGGAAGAATGAATAGGTGGACACAGAGGATTTTTCGGGCAGTGAAACTACTTTGTTTGATACTGTAATGGTGGATACCCATCCTGATACATTTGTCCAAACCCATAGAATGTACAACATCAAGGGTAAACTCTAATGTAAATTATAGTCTTTGGGGGATAATGATGTGTGGATGTAGGTACATGTACCACTCTGGTGAGGATACTGATAGTCAGGGAGGCGTGCCTGTGTGCAGGCAGTGGGTATATGGGAACTTTGTACTCTCTGCTCAATTTTGCTATGAACCTAAAATTGCTCTTTAAAAAAATAAAGTCTATTGAAAAAAAATAAAAACCAGGGCTGGAGATTGCCTCAGGTCCCATGAAATAGGGGAGTACTAGGGAGTCTAAGTGGTGAAACATAGGCAGGGGGCTAAAACTATTAGGGACATGGCAGGAGTAAACCCAAGCCACTGGCCAGGTGCCAACTTCTTAATGAGTGAGTGAAGTATGGTGGGGTAGATGGGTTGGGAAATCAGAACAACAAGTTCAGGCTCCGTTTCTCTCCACCTCTCTGGCCAGTGCCGATGTTATTGCAAACAGAAGCAAGATCTTAACGAGAGAGCAGTCTCTCTGCACTGTTTGAAATTCTCAAAGATCCCTTAATCCCCCCAAAAGAAAACAGTTCAAACAGGTGCATAAACTAGCCAGTTAAACGGGAAGCCCCAAGCATCATTATTCTCTGGGTGAGGCCTCCTAATGCCCCCTTAATGCAGAATCTCCCTGCCTGCTCCTAATAAGGGCTTCTCTCCTTCATGAGAGTCCTATAAAATGCATAAATATTCCTCAAGGAACCAAGAGAGCTCCTAACAGTCTTTAATAGCTATCATAAAATGAAGGATAAACTGTATGAAAGGAGATTGGTCATGATAATAGTACAAGATACGTGAGCAATGAATTTCCTAACCCCTCCCTGGCTGAGTTTTTCTGTAGAAAGATATTGCCTGGAGTTGGGAGCCTGCCCGGAAGAGGCTGGGGAGGGGACAGCCAGTCTTTGGTCAGAGAATCCTGGACCAATTGAACTGGGAAAGCTGAGGTCTAGAGTTGGGAGAGGATGTGCCTAAAGTCATACAGCAAATGACAGACCCCAATCCAAAATGACCATGATTTCCTGTGGTCCAGATCAGGTGTATCCTAGGAATTTGCATTCTTCCTTTATTCCCTGGATGATCAAGATAAAAACTAGTGTATACTAACCAAGCCTGTGACCGAAACAGCTTTGGCCCTGGCTACACAGATTCCTCCAGCCCCTGTGTGGGCCAGACGCCAGCGTGTTGATGGGACCCACGGCCTGAGCACTGCTCAGAAACTGGAAAGGGACTAGAGAGCATGTTAATAAGGTAGGGATCAAAGACAGGACACAGAGCTGAACATCCACAGACCAGGAAAACAAGGGCAGGCTCTAGACAGCTGTTTTCCAGAATGGGTGCTATGATAGACTTGCTGTGAACACCCCAGGGACATGAAGCCTGGGGAGGATGACTGAGTTGGCAGAAGAGCCCACAGCAGACAGATAGCAAAGTACCTAGCCCATGTCCTAGTATGTAACGGGAGCTCAATAAACAGCAGGTCTTGACAGGTGTAGCACTGAAGGTCTACAGAGGTGCTGCTCTGGCCAGGAACTGCTGATTATTGAGCTCCTATTGTATGCCAGGACATGAGCTAGGGGCTTTGCATGTATAATGGCATTCAGTGCTAAAATTGAGTCTAACCACACTGACCCACAGATATAAGTATGCACTTAGGCTGATGAAATAATGTCCAAACAACACAGCCTGGATCCAAGCACTTGTTCCTGCTTCCTGCCTCTGCCCACTGGTCACCTAATTCTTAGGTTTTGCCTTATGGTCTACTGCCTCTTTTGTCTTGACTGTGGAATGGCTTCTTATGTTTGACCCTCAGTACCTTCAGGACATAAGACTCCCTGTTCCTCAGACTCAACCCACCCACTTGCCCAGCTATGACTCAGGGATTCCTATCCCAGGGTTTGCTTCACTTCCTGGGGTCCCAGCCCAGTCCATCCTGCTCATAGCACATGAGGTCCAAGAAGCCACATTTCATGTTCCTCTGCCCATCCAGGTTGACTAAAAGCTGGCTATGAGAGGCTTCACAGCTGCAAGTGAGCTGGAAAACTTCAGCTGAAGTCTTCGTTGCACAAAAGTCAAACCCAAACAGAGATGAGAGGTTGGGGCAAGTTGAGAAGAGTAAAGTTTTCTTAAAAGTTTTGCTTCCAGGCCAGATGAGGGAAACCTGACAATGTTTTCTGCAGATAACCTAAGATTCTGATGAGAACCAATGTCATCCTAAAGGTCCTCAACAGCAGACCAAGACACAAAAAATCAAATGTAGAAAGACTAGAATAGAAAAATAGAACCATCATTATTTCTAGAAGATGGGCTTCATGAAAAACCCAAAAGAATCTAGAATTATTAGGCCAAGTGCAGTGGGTCAAAGCCTCCCAAAGTGGTTGGCCTGTAATGCCAGCACTTTGAGAGGCCGAGGCAGGAGGATCATTTGAGCCCAGGATTTCAACATCAGCCTGGGCAACATAGACAGACCCCCATCTCTACTTTTTGTTTTTTTGTTTTTTTTAATTAGCAGGAGGTGGTGGCATGCACCTGTGGTCCCAGCTACCCAGGAGGCTGAGTTGAGAAGATAGCTTGAGCCTGGGAGTTCAAGCCTGTGGTGAGCCATGATTGCACACCACTGCATTCCAGCCTGGGCAACAGAGCAAGACCCCATCTCCAGAAAAAATAATAAATGAATCTAGAATTAGTAAAAAAAAAAAAAAAAAACTAACAAAATTATTTGACATAAAAGCAATGTACAAAAATCAATATTCATTTCACCATCAAATGGATATAAATGAAAATGTTTAATAATATACAGTTTTTGGTAACAACAAGATTCATCCTTAGCCTAATAAAAGATGCTAAAGACCTTTATGGAAGAGATTGGAATGACTTGTTGAAAGACACTGAAGAAGACCAAAATACATGAATAAATAGACCTACCTCATGGGCAGGAAAACTCAATATCATAAAAATATCAATTTGAGAAAAATTGACATACATTTTCTATATTATTCTAATAAAAATTCCCAACAAAGTAACTGTAGAACTTGACAAGTTGATTTATAAATAAATAAATGTATATGTATATGCATGTTCTGCCTGCTCAAATAAGAAAAATGTAAATTGAAACTACACTAAGATGCCAATTCTCATCCAAAAGTTTCCTAAAAATACATGGGTTAAAAAGCAATTTTATACAGTTAGTAAGAACTCAAAATGGCATTAGTGCCATATAGGGGAAATTTACAGAAGTAAGATTGGTGAAGTTAAATGAAACCACGTAATCACAAATTTAAGTTGGAAGTATAAGAACTCATGATATATCTTTAATATGGATGTGCAATATACATATTCTCTATCTCTATCCACTGAAATGGTCCAGAAACAATTACTAAGCAATAGCAAGAAGCCCTCTTAATGCCGAGATTGTAGTTTTTCTAAGTAGAATTTCAAACTAATAGGAACCAGGACTTCTTGGACAAATAGCTGATTCTAAGTCTGGGGTAGGAAATGTCCAATACGAACCTGGAACACCTTGTAATTTCAGATTTCAAGAAAAGTAACAAAGACTACTGGGTCATGTAAAAAGATTTCAGGTGCTAACTTAAAGTTCCCACTCGCCATAGATGGGAAAATTTGGACATCAATGAAGATAATGACTATAATGTATTAAAACACAACTAATAGATTTAGCCCTTGAATTCATAATATTTTAATAAACCTATTTGTTACTTTTGGAGGATGCTGATGCCCTAAGTCATTGTCCTGAAACCCGGTAAAAGGAAAAGAATCAAGCATTTGTCTTGCTTTTCCTCTACAAATTCTACCTCAAAGTAACCGAATAGTTAATTAGAGGAAATTTCTCTCTACAAATTATTCTAGCTAACAAGTGAGAAAGAGTGTTAGAATGCTGCCATTTTTGCATTCCTAATGAATTAATGGATCTAGGCTATGATGACCAATGGCTGCTATTAACACAAAAGAGAGACAGATAAATATCATGTGCCTCCTGATGGAAATGCATTCCACCACCTGTGAAGTAGTCTTGCCTATCCTCCTCCCAAAAATGAACTTGAATCTGATCAAGTCTCAAACTATCTTATTTACAAAAAATATAGTGAATGGAGGAACATGTTAACACTACGGTGATATAGTACAATCCAGACTATGAACAACTCTTGAGATGGATGTTACTTGGATCTTGATTCAAACAGCTTTTTAAATATGAAAGAGTTTGAGAAATTTGCTTTGTTGACTGGATATGTGAAGTTATTAAGTTCTAGACATGGTAACAGTGTAATGCACATTTTTAAGGGTTCTTAAGTGCACACATGGAAACAAAAATAGTCAAGACACCACAGAAGCTAATGGTAGGGAAACTTGCCCCACCAGTCATCAAGAATAATTAGAAAGCTATATTAACTAAGTGGACAGTACGATATTGGTGCAGGGATGGACAAATTGGCTAATGGAGCAGAGAGCTGAAAAACAGATCCATTATATGTACACAATCAATTTTTTTGACAGAGCTAATTTTCCAGGTGAGTGGGAGACAGTAAGACTAATCAATAATTGGTACTGCAACAATTGAATTGATTATCCACATGGAAAAATAAAGCCATTCAAGAAAAGAAGAAAAGATTGATGAATTCAACTATACTGAAATTAAGAATTTCTGTTCATCAAGATACCTGAGAGAAAGTGAGAAGATGGCTCAAACTGAGAATGAAATTTGCCAAATACATAAAAGACCAAACGATTTGAGTCCAGAATATGTATTTGACTCCTAAAAATCATGGAGACACACAATCCAAATAAAAACTATGGAAAAGACTTGAACAGGTATTCTCAACAATAAAAACTAGAATAGCTGATACGTTTTTTAAAAAGATACCTCATTATGTAATGAAGAAAATGTAAATTTAAAACTAGGGAGAATATATATAATATACCCAATTCAAGAATCTGACAGTATAAAGTGCTGACAAAGATGTACATTAATGAAAAATCACGTACACTACCAGGGAAGAGTATAAATTGACTCAAGCACTTTGAAAAGCAATTTGGCATTAGCTAGGAGAGTTCGGTTTGAGTATTACATATGGCCCAGTAATCCTAATCTTAGGTAGATGCTACATGTTCACCCAGATATGTTTAAAATAATGTTTGTAGCATACTTGTTCTAGAAAAAGATTGGAAACCATCCAAATATTAATAGAATAGTGAAATAAAGTGTGGTATAGTTAAACAATGCAATAGTATACAACAGTGAAAATTAGTGAAGTACATAGTACAGTACATAGACCATCATGAACGAACTTCACAAACTTAATGATAAGAGTTGTATGCAAGCTGCATGAAAATTCAGAGTATGCATAAGAATCTCATAGCATGATACCATTTTTATATAGTTGAACAAAAAATACCTACCAATATCTTGTTTAGGGGTATATGCATATACATATAGGAAATTTTCCAAAAAAAAGTAGGTGAATGATGAATATAAAATCCAGAAAATCTATATACAATTATGTATGTGGAAGAGAGGCAAACTTCAATGGTGATAGCCTTGTAATCTTTTTATATCAAGTTTTGAGCTCATGGGTGTTCCTTTCATTACTACTTTTAACAACTTAGATAACTATATATTTGGTTTTGCAGCTAAGAAATGGTCTTTAACGATGGGGTTGACTCACTAGGGCTGGCACAGGTCTGGTTTCTGCATGGAAGAATGAGACTTGATGCTGGGAGGGGAAAAGGATGCTGTCCTCAGAATTGACAGTATAGCTGGAAGGCCCTGCATGCCAAGTGGATCTTACTGAGGCAAACAGACATTCCCAAATGTGTGAGGTTAAGGAGAAAGAACTGTTCCTGGGCTGGAAGGAATATCTGAAGTTAAGTTTGCATTCATCCCTAAAACTTGGCACCACCTTTGCGAGGGAAACAGACTCCCTGCTCTAGTGGGCAAGTGCAGGTTCACAGCTGGATGACCTAGTTCAGATTGATGAGCAATGTGTGCTTTTACAGACCCTCCATCTGCTTGCTTCAAAGGTTGATGCCTCCAGGTACACAAATTCCCAGGTGAGGGGTGGGTGGCATGGACGGTAGATGTCTAAGAGGCTTCCAGTCGTCTATTCCACAAATATTTTGGACACCTAACCAATGCCAAGCACTTCTCTGGGTGCCAGTGCCACTGAGATAAGCAAGATAAGGTCTTTGCCCTTTATCACACCAAGTGGGAAAAGGGAGAAGAGGAGAGGGAGCCCACATGGGAGAATGGCAGGCATTTCCTCTGGCAAAGGTCCCGTTCATTGGTCCTAATGTCAAAATGAGGTGAGAAATGTGGCTCAGGGAAACTGAAGGTACTCACGGCCATCAGCTGCATGTCTGCACTAGGTGGTTTTTAAATCTCAAAAACAAGATTGATATCCAGAGTATTTTCTCTCCAGATCTTCCTAGTTTCCTTATGATTTCCTGAGAAATTAAAATAAATAAATTATCCTTAAGTTGCCAATGTTTACACTGATATATCAAATGAAAGAATGACGACGGAAGGACTTCTTGTAGAACCAGAGAAAGGATGGAGTACTGGGGGCATGAGGAGGACCTGGACTGAGTGTCCTCAATTTGCTGCCCGTCTGACATTCTGCAGTGGATTCATTTTCTACTCACACAACCAGGCAGATGAAGTCTGGAGAAAATCAATGTAATTTTTGTGTGTACTGAAACCCATTTCTTTCTCCTGGAAGAAGATCCCCCATGAGGCCAGCTGGGGGGGACCAGAAACCCATTTATGTGGCAAAGTTATGGGAGGAGGTTGTCCCTGATCAACCTCTGGTGGCTGAACTGCCCAGGACCAACAGGGTAGGTTGCTATCATGTAGCTAGAGTCGATTAAGTGGCCAAGGGTCCAAGAGACAGGTGAGACCATGAGGAGGCACATTCGATGTGATGTGACCACAGAACCCTGGGTAGTCTCAAGGGTAGAAGCCCTGATGATGGGCTGTGCAGATGAGAATGGAAACAGGATGATTCCTTGAAAATTTGTTCAAGGAGTTGCTGTGGTTCTGGCTTCCCCCTCCCCATACAATCAGGCATCTAGGTGGCAGCTCTTTCCCCAGCCTGGCAGAACATACAATCAGGCATCTAGGTGGTAGCTCTTTCCCCAGCCTGGCAGAAGACTCAGGTATTGTTGCTCTCTAGGGACAGGGAACTAGAGAAGCTCCACACTCACAGTCAACAGAGACAATTTGGGGCTGCGATGAGGTAAGGTACTAAAAATAGGAGGAATAAGCAAAGTTGGCAAAAGTTGAACAGGGAGACGCTAGGACCACACACAGCCCAGCTTGAATTGTCACTCAGGAGATTAGAAAATTCCTCCTTGGGCAAACTGAACCACCCAAGGGAAAAGACCTACTGATACTAACATTTGGGCTGGAGGGAGGGAGGCAGAGAAATTATCAGGTCATGGCTCCATTTCTGGACAACAAAGCCCCCAACTAACAAGCTCTGCCTGACCACACTAATATTCCCAATCATCAGTTTGACATTTCCCCCAAACATATGTGTGGACAGCCAAGAATCATTGAGTATTTGAGGAGTCTCTCAGAGCAAAGCAAATAGAAATAATAAAGGAACTAAGACACAGATACAAGAAGAAAAAACAGTCACAATCTTAGTATCTTAAAGAGAGTATGTTAGTCAGGGTTCTCTAGAGGGACAGAACAAATGGAATAGCTATATATATAAAGGAGAATTTATTGAGTATTAACTCACATGATCACAAGGTCCCACAATAGTCCCTCAGCAGGCTGAGGAGCAAGGAGAGCCAGTCCGAGTTCCAAAACTGAAGAACTTGAAGTCCAACTTTGGAGGGCAGGAAGCATCCAGCACAGGAGAAAGATGTAGGCTGGGAGGCGAGGCCAGTCTCTCTTTTCACATTTTTCTGCCTGCTTATACTCTAGCCACACTGGCAGCTATTAGATTGTGCCCACTCAGATTAATAGCGGGTCTGCCTTGCCCAGCCCACTGACTCAAATGTTAATCTCCTTTGGCAACATCCTCACAGACACGCCCAGGATCAATACTTTGTATCCTTCAATCCAATCAAGTTGACACTCAGCATTAACCATCACAGAGGATAAGAAAATATTTTATCTACAAAACAGAAATTTTACTTTGCTAAAAATAAATAAATAACAAGTAGATTTGTGAATTTGTGAAGTAGAACAAAAAGACGGAAAAACAGAAGAGAAAAAGAAAGAAAATTAGAAGATCTATGGAGGAAAACAATAGACAAATGCTAGAAGCTCTAGAGAATAAAGAGAAAAACAGAGAAGAGGAAAAAAAATGAAGAAATAGAAGAATTCCCCAGAGGACATGCATTTCCAGATTGAAAAAGTTCATTGAGAGTTTAGCTCAGTGATAAGGCGAAGATCAACACAAACACGTATCGTTGTAAAATATCACAACACCAGGGAGAGAAATAAAAAATATACTAAAAGCTTCCATGAAAGAAAACACAGGTCATGTATGAAAGTTCGGTAATTAAAGTGTCATCAACAGTAATGTTGAAACCTAGAAGCCAATTCAAAATTCTAAACAACAAAAATTTGCAGTCTAGAATTCTGTATTCAGCATATACCCACAATCCAGTGTTCAGGTATGAAAAAAAGATATTCCTAAAACTTGGCCCATCAAATGAGAAATAAACCAGAGAAAAGGAAGAGGATGGGATTCAAGAAACAGAAGATTCAATACAGTGGATTGGTGAGTACTCCTGGGCTGATGTTTAAAAGAATTTCTAGAACCATGCAACAAGCCTATAGAACAATCCCTGTAGACTGGGCCAATAGGGCAGCAAGCGGCAAGAGCTGCAAGATGACCTTGTGGTTTTGATCTCATTGACAGGCATGGAGGGACTGTGAATGAATCCAGGATAGGCACAAAGTAACCCAGCAAATGACTACGCAAAACAATTACTTTAGCTCTTGACTCAATAAACAGTTGCATAAGAAAGAACATGTGATCTTGAGACATAACATGTCTCAACTGTGAACAATATTTACATGGTCATAACAAAAGCACTGAATATATATTTAACCAAGATGGGTGAGAAATAATTGTAGGAGGGGGAGAAAGGATGTATATTTGGGGACTGGGGAGCAGGGGCTGGTAGAAGAGAGCTATACCCTCATCTTCCACAGCAGGAAGACAATAGATCACGTCTAATACAGGAAAAATTAAAATAGCAGTATACATGTCATTAGAGATATAAAGGTGAATATAAAAAAAGAAATAGGAGTTGAAAGCTATTGCCTTTGGGGAACAGAAATCAGGAGTGAGAAGGAATTGATCAGGGGTCTGCTGTTTCTCATTATGATCCTACTAGAACTACTTGACATTTTAATCTGTTCCTTTGATAAAAATTGAAATTATATTTAAGTTTTAGACACACATACCTACCTACATACACACATACCAATATACACACACACACACACATACACCTATCTACATAAATACACACTTATCTACAAATACATACAAACCTACCTACCTATATACATACATCTACATAAACACATGGACACACACACACATAGCTATTTAAACATACAAACACAAACCTATTTACCTACCTACACACACACCCACACACCCCTAGCTACATACATAGACACATACTACATATATACATACACACACACACTTACGTATATGATACACACACACCATGTATATACATACACACTGTAGGGAGTGAAGAAGTCTTTTCTCATGGCTGAGGCCCCTACAACAAAAACCAGATTAACAACAACAACAAAGCATACAAATTTATTTTTTATGTGATACCTGAGCCTTCGGAAACAAAGACCCAAAGAAACAGGGAAGCCTGTGTGTTGTTAAATTTAACAAGTGGACAGGTGCAGAGGAGAATGATTGGACAAAGCATGTATGATCTAATAGTAATGTGAAAGGAAAATAAGTCTCAGGACCCCAAAATCCCTGAGCCAAAGGGAAAAGTCAAGCTGAGAACTGCATCAGGCAAACCTGCCTCCCATTTTCTTCCCAAATAAGACAGCTACAGATATTAAAGAAAAAAAAAAAAAAGCTACATACCTCCCTCACAATTTGCCCTCAAGGAAATTCCTTGTGGGCCTCAAGATTTACCCTAAACAGTTCTGTTGAATTTCACCGTGGCAGTGGACATTGATAGCTGATCTTCACAGGTGCTCATCCTGCCGCTCACCTGAGACAAATGCATAGCTGATTGCTTCCTCTGCCCTATTGTTTATGTAAAAATGCAGATTCACGGAGCCAGACTAGGGCATAAGTGACTATTCCTCTACCCCCTTTCACATGTAAATTGTGCATTTAATGAAAGTCTGATCAAAGACCCAAAAGAATGTAACCTTATCTACCTGTGACCTGAGAGCCACCCCACTCTTTGAGTTGTCCCGCCTTTTTAGACCAAACCAATGTACATCTTATACATATTGATGTCTCATGTCTTCCTAAAATGTATAAAACCAAGCTCTGTCCCAGTCACCTTGGGCACAGGTCGTCAGGACTTCCTGAGACTGTGTCACGGGATGCGTCCTTAACCTTGGCAAAATAAACTTTCTAAATTGATTCAGATCTGGGTTTACAGTAATAAACTTGGTGAAACTTAGCAAGGCCTGATTGTTCAGATTCTCTGCGTCCCTGTGTTGCTAGAGATAAGAACATTCCTTTCCTCTGGGAATAGAGTATAGGATGGGTACACCCCACATGAGAGTCTTACTTTAGGACAAGGGAGAAGGTCAGGTAATTCTTTCTAGGTTTTATGACCCACTTCAGGGTTTTCTCTAGGTGAGAGAGTGTCAGAGATACATTTCTGCTTCTGCTAATTTCTCAGATGCTAAGGTGCCCTATTTTGGGATAGCGTATTCTGAGTTCCATCTATACACACACAAACACACTTACCTACACACGTATGTACACAGCTGTGTTAAAGTGCTGAGTGCAGTGAAGAATCAAGGAAGGAGTTCTGTGAAATTCAGAGGGACAAATTTCAGAAGAAGTAAAAATGAAGTCCACAGGTCGCTAGAAATGCAAAAGCTTAACTTGGTCCAAACTGCACTGAAGTTGAATGTGTTTGCCTATGATACGGCTGGAGAGCACTTGGGACATTTTGAGCCGTGTCTGCTTCAGCATCTCATCAGGGGCCTCCAAGTGCCACCGTGGGTCTCACTGTTGTCATTTCTGAATATCTCTCTTAATATCTGAAGGCTTTAGACCATAAAATCCAGCATTCTTTTATAATACAGAACATCAGTCTCACCCAAGTGGAGTGTATAAAATCTGGTAATGAGGTACAATAAATCTACTTTCTATGAAGATTTGGGGCATATAATCTCGCATTTAATTAACATTTGTGAAACAGTGCGAAGATGCTCAGTTTCAACCCAGTTCTCTCTTGAGTCCACATCATCCCTCACTCTGCTCAATGCTCCGAGAGCATATACAGGATCAGGGCTGGCTCAGATGGAGAAACAACTTTCCTCTCCCTGCTCTACATCTGGGGCTGCTGGAAGGTCTCAGGACTTCTTAGCCTCTGGACTGAGAAACAAAAACCTGGAAACCATGCTCAGGAGCTGGCATGAACCAAAATCAGAGTGATTTCCTGGTTGTCCTGATGTAGTGACCCTCCCCTGCCTCTCCCCGGGAAGAAGGTGCTACACAGGGCAGGAACAACAAGACCTTCCCTAGGGTTGGCTGGATACCAGTCCTGGCTCTCTGACCCCTTGCTCTTCTCACTCAGTTCTTTCTCTATCTCTGATTCAGCCCCCATCGCTCTGGCTGGATCTCTTTTTCTCTTTTTTTGAGATGGAGTCGCGCTCTGTCGCCCAGGCTAGAGTGCAGTGGCGCGATCTCAGCTCACTGCAACCTCTTCCTCCCAGGTTCAAGCAATACTCCTGCCTCAGCCTGCCGAGTAGCTGGGACTACAGGCACACACCACCACGCCCGGTGAATTTTTTGTATTTTTAGTAGAGACGGGGTTTCACCGTGTTAGCCAGGATGGTCTTCATCTCCTGACCTCGTGATCTGCCCACCTCAACCTCCCAAAGTGCTGGGATTACAGGCATGAGCCACCCTTTTTCTCTTAATGATGTATTGTCTTGGACAGAAAGTTCATGCTACCCATTGTGTATGTCTGATGGGTTGGAAAACGGGAGGTCAGTGATCAGCCAGGGGGACATCGCTACAAAAGCTGGCCAGGTTGTGGCGGGGAGAAGTGAAAAAAAGCAAGGAAAGCTGGAAGCAGCAGTGAAAGCCAGCAAGGCAGGCTGTACTTCCTTCCCCTTAATGACACTCACCAGCCCTGCCCACAGCTCTGTACATCATAAGGTAGAGAAACATATTCAGCATTTGTTTGGGGTTTTTAGGGGGTAGGGTAAAGGGGCTGGTTCTTTTTCTTTGTTTTTAAGCAGAATGCCACTTACATTTTTAAAAGGAGAAATTATACCCCGGTTCCTGTTGTGACTTTAATCTGGGCTTCTCTGTACCTTCTCCTAGTTCCACAAAGTATGGGGGCTTTCGTCTATATCCATCTATTGACAAGAATGGAAAAATGGATTCATTCTGGGGGCTCCTGCCAGGCTGAGAGGAACATGTCAAGTCTTTTCCAGGGTGACAAGAGGAGGGAAAGGCAGTGATCCAACCATTCGATCCAGCACAGAGACAGAGAATCTGAGCACAGAGACAGATCCCAGTGCAGAGACAGGGCCCCAGTGCAGAGACAGGAGGCCCATGGACCTCCAAACTCATGTGCTGTGGTCTCAAAGTTTGTGTCACCCCCAAAATTCACACATTGAAATCCTAACCCCCAAGGCGATGGTATCATGAGGTAGGGGTCTTTGCAGGGTGATTAGATCATAAGGATGAAACACTCATGAATGGCATTCATGCCCTTTTGAAAGGGGGCCCAGAGAGCTCCCTCACCCCTTCCACCATGTGAGGACACAGTGAGAAATCTGCTGTCATGAACCAGGAAGGCAGCCCTTGCGAGAACCCAACCATGCTGCCACTCTGATCTTGGACCTCCAGCCTCCAGATCTGTGAGAAATAAGTATCTGCTGTTTCTCCAGTCTCCAGTATCTGCTGTTTATAAGCCATACAGTCTATTGCGTTCTGTTATAGCAGCCAGAACAAAGACACCACAGTGGCTAAGCACAGGCCAAATTCACGTCACAGGATGAGCAAAGGTTTAGAGCCACCAGCTGGGCCACATGCAGGAGCCACGTCACATCTCTAATCCTCAGTTGCTTCTTCTCTCAAATGTTTTGTATTTTTGTGATGGAAGAATAAGCAACACAGCCCAAGAGCAGTGCTGGCTCAGAACTCAGGGTGTGGTTTGTTCCCTTTTCCATTGGCTTACCCCCTCCTGAAGGGCATGCTCTTGAACATCTTCTGTGTTGGGAAATCTTCATACTATGCAGACACATTTTACTTTTGTAAACAAAAGTCATGTGGGGGCTCACACTGCTGATGAATTGAGCAGATTCTGGTGTTGGTCCTGATGCTGAGAACTGTGTGGTCATAGACAGGCCAATTCTAGTCTCTGGGCCTCAGTTTTCTCATCTTTGAAATGGGAATGCTGGACTTCACTTTGAAGGCTTCTTCCGTCCGAAATTGCAACCTTATATCTTTTATTGGGGAAGTTTTTTTGTGTGTGGGGGGGTCGGGGTGGGGGGCAACAATCCACCAGTCAGTGCTAAAAGTTAGATAAACCAATTGTGAGGTTGTCTTGAGGAGAACCATTCTGCATACGTTCACACACAAATGTCTCAAGTAAGGGGCCATTGTCTAAAGCCACCAGGCATGGACTTTCAAGATGACTTTGAGAGGTTGCCGACGTGCATGTGTGTTTCTAATACAGGTTTGTTCATAACCGGAACCAGAACTTGACAATAATGGCTCAAACATGGTTTGTCCCATTTTATCTTAATCCCAGATCAAGGGTCTTGCTCAGCTCTCCCAGCCAGTTAGGAGCAGAGCCATCCACGCCGGAAGCCTAAGCCCCTCTGGCCCCGTCCCATGGACCCGATACACTCCGGTCCATGTTTCAACCCTTTGATTCCCAATTTCAAATAATTAAGGAGGTTTCTGTGGCATCGTCGTAAACAGCTTAGTGTCTCAGATCAGAAATGATGCTCCGAGGCATGCTGGGAGCTATGCCAGTTTGGGGAAGGGGTGGATAATTAAGGAAATCATGGTGAATTAAGCTTTCTGCAATGAGGCACAAACATCTTTTCACGAACAGCAACATCGCGTTAGCTTATGTTTTGCCAAAGAGAAAGGCAGGCCTATCCTCAGGGTTTTCAGCCTGGTAAAACACATCTGGCTACCGAGCCAAATATTTAAGGGTCATTAAAATCCCAAACTCCCTTTGCCAAGAACTTTTCTCCTCTGTTATTCAAGTGTGGAGCAGTTATGGAAAATGCGTTCCATATGGTTTGTGCTGCATTCCTATTTACTTCATCAAATCACTGCTTTGAAAGAGCTATTTGATGTCAAAGATGCGTTAAGATTTTATAGACGCTCCCAATGCAGCTTTTAAAGATTCTCCCTTTGAACCCAAAACACTTGCCAAGAGTAAACAGAATGGAAACCACAAGGGGTCAAGGGCTTTGTTGGAAACAAAGACCCCAACCCAATCAAGGACATTCAGAAGTTTGGGGCAAACACGCATTTTCACCCACTTGCCAAAAAGCTTCACAAAATATGTTTCCCACATAAGTTATATTAAAATAAATGTTTTAATGTATTCATATTTTATTAATGTGACACCCTGACCCACCGCTTCCCACCAAGGAGGACACAAGATAGTCATGCATTTAAAATATTAACAACTTTAGAAAGCTAGAAAATTTATCTTTAAACCAAACATTGAAATTCTTTCTAGTGAAGCTTTCTCAGGCTTAAAGAAAAGGCAATAAAACACGACATTGGAAGAACTTGCAGGGCCAGAGTCAACAGACCCTCCAGGACACCCAGGGCTAGGAGGACCTTGGAGGGTTGCTCCCACTTTACAGATGGGGAAACTGGGAACCAGGGCCCAGGGCCAGTCAACAAAAGGACTAGAAGCTCCACACTGGTCCCTTTTTTTCCCCTCTCCACTGCCTTCCTCCTTTCTCCAGCTGATCATCTCTTCCTGGATTTCCACACAGCCCCCTCCCAATCTCTCTTCTCATCCTATTTCTTGTCCTCAGGGAAAGAGGATGATTTCTGTAAAACTTCAATCAGGCCACATCATTTCTCTGCTCAAAGCCTACCATGCAAGTTCACCCAGTATGGCTTCCCCTGCTAACCTACCTGCTCACTTAACAACCCCCTGCTCGCTCTGCCACCTTCCTTCCCAAGTACACAAAGTCCGTTTCTGCTCCAGGACCTTTGCACTTGCAGTCCCTTCTGCCAGGGGTGCTCTTCCCCGCTCTGCACAGCTCATCTTACAGCTCTTAAGCCATACCTCCTCAAAGAACTCCTTCCTGGCTACTCAATGTCAAGCACCTCCATGACCTCCACTGACTGGTGTCTCCACGTTTATCAGAACTCCCCACTGGGTGGAGAATTTCATGAGGCCATGCAAGAGGGACTGCGCACTATTTTCTGCTGTAACCCCAGTGCCCAGCACAGTGCCTGGAATGTGACAGGCACTCAGTAAGCATATTTTAATAAGATACCTATCTCCCAGCCCTGGGCTCCTTCCATTAATGGAAAAAGACCTCCCAAAAGGTCAGCTTGTATCTTTAGAACCCAACTGTGTCCCCTCTCTCTTTTTTAATCTCTCCCTAATGGGGCCTTCTCCTTACCCATTCAGGGACCCCACCACCCTCGTACACCTGTCCTGGTTCACTACTCACCTGTCCTCAGCCCCCCCAGTTATTCAGATTTCAGGGTCTCCCAACAGTGTAGAAAACAGCCCCCTCAGAGTAAGTCTGGAAATTTAACTGGGATCAGAAAATCTCAACTAAAACATATCGATAATTTTTAATGGTGGAAATCCAGGCAGCCATTGACAGGGGAGCTGCCCGGGGAAGGAGACCAGGTCTTTTCCTGAGATCCCACATCCCTGCCTTCCGCATGCCTGGTTGGGGACTCAAGCTGAGATGAAATTGGCTTCTAATGGCAGATGCACTATCACTCGCTGCAGCTTTAAGTGGCTTCTTCATTTCCCCTGTATCTTCCTTGAAGTTCACATAAATATTTTTCATTTGTATTTTTGTGTTGAGTAAAATAAAACTGGCTTGTGATCAAATGTGTATGAATCGCAGTGATTGCACAGTCTGTCTCTTTGCCAGGAAGTCCTAATATAGGTAGATGAATATCTTGGGCCAAAAGCTTGTAAAGAGGAACAAAAATCCACAGACTGAGGATTTATTCCTTCAGCCATTCCACAAACATTTCTGAGAATCTAATTTGTTCCAGGCATTTTACTGGGGACCCCATAGTAAACAAGACCAGCCTGGCTTCCAAGGGAAAGGCAGACATTAGGCAAATAATCACACCAGCATTTACGGGTTATCATCTGTCTAGCGAAGGGCATGTGAGAACGTACAGCAGGGAAACCTGTTTTAAGCTGGTGAATTGGAAAAGGCTTCCTCTGGGGAAGCAGTATTTGAGGAGAGGTTGGTGGCTGGGAGACAAGTCAGGGAAGCTGACTGAGCACCACCAAATGGTCAGGGGGCCCAGCTCAGGCAGTCTCTAGCTGTGTGTTCCGGTACACACACCTCTTTCCTCTCTGTTATACCCTACTAACTCCCAATCCTTCTAGCTGCTCTACTCCCACCACCACTGCCCCAGTTTGATTCTCTGGTGCCTGTCTAGGATTGATGCTCTAACATCTCCACCTAGGCCCTTCTGTTCTCTATACCAGACCCTTTCCCAGGAGCATAGTCCTAGGCTAATGGGCACCAGGAGTTGCTGGAGGTGAACAATACCAAAAGGAACTCATTCATAACTGAGTACAGTGGCTCACACCTGTAATCCCAGCACCTTGGGAGGCCAAGGCGGGAGGACTGCTTGAGCCCAGGAGTTGAGGACCAGCCTGGGCAACATAGTGAGGCTCCATTTCTACTAAAAATAAAAATTAGCCGGGTGTGGCAATGTGCACCTGTAGTCCTATCCACGCAGGAGGCTGAGGTGGGAGGATTGCTTGAGCCCAGGAGTTCGAGGCTGCGGTGAGCCATGATCGCACCCCTGCATTCTAGCCTGGGTGACAGAGCAATACTTCGTCTCTAAAAAAAAAAAATCAAAATAGCAAAGGAACCCTTTCATGGAATGAAAGAGCTTACGGAGAAGTTCAACGTGGTGCCATGAGGCTCAGGTGCAAAAGGAGGCAGTGGAACAGGAAGAAGGGTAGGATAGAGGAACTCCAGCCATGTGTGATGGCAGGAGGGTGGGAGGCAGTTCCTGTGGGGGTCAGCTGGCAGCTTGAGGAAGGTGAGCAGACACAATAGCCATGCTCTGTGCAGGCATCAAGGCCCTCATGCCTGTGATCAGTGAGTGCAGCCTTCCTCGGGAGCTATCATCAGGACCTGCAAGTGAGTTTAAATGCCAGTGAGCAGAGACAATGTATTCAAAAAAGACTCCAGTTTCAGCTCAAACATTCCCCTAGGAATAATTTTGGCAAGAGATCTATTCTGAATTCGTGGTAGGCTGGGGGCAAAGATGAGAGAAAGAAGAAAAGGGAAGTCTCTCTGAAAGGAGCTTTGACCCCAGGGCTTAGAAACGGAGTCTGTCTTCAAGCTTTTGGATGCTCTCGTAAAAAGGGTTTGTAAATAATTTAGCACCCCCAAGTAGTAGATTCTAAGTGGCAAACAGCCTGCTGAGAGGAGGGCTGTAGAGGCCCCAGGGAAAAGAGAACTCAGGACAACCAGCTTCACAAGAGCAGGGACCATGGCTGCTGGTCACCACCATACCCCCAGCACCTGCACAGTTCTTGGACCATGGCAGATGCTGCTCAGGGGCTACTTGCGTGGGTCAACATCTAAGGGAATAAACAAATAAATGATTTATCATTAGGGAAAAAAGCATGCCAAAAACAACAGCACATACCCATAATCATTCCCCAGTTTTGACACCACTGACTCCTCCCCTGTCAGTCTCTCCCAGGGAAAGAAAATCACTTCCTAGACACTGGGCTTCTGCAAACATATGCTAGGAAGCATATTGTATTAGTCTATTACAAATGACAGAGACAAGACTCAAAATTAAAAAAAAAAAAGGTGGGAATGGGGAGTGATTTCTTGGCACACCTAACTGAAAGGTCGTATTTTCAAAGTGGTATTTCTAAGCTGTCTTACTCCTCAGTGTCCCCCTGCAGGTCATTCCCATTCTCTCTGGCTTCCCCCAATTCCACCTGTCCAGATGGCAGAATGGCTGCAACCAGTATGCTGATTTAACATCCTAGAGGTAGAAAATAAAGTCTCTTCCTTCTTCAGTGTAGATTAGACTTAGGGAAGAAACTGATTGGCTGATTTAGGTCATATGCCTACCTCTTAGACCACTAAGCTGTTGTGGTCAGGGAAAGATCTGATTGGCCAGGTTTGGATCAGAGGTAAACCTCTATGGCCAGAGGAGCTGTTCCGTAACTGACAATACTACAAGACTTACATGGAATGGGCCAATAACGTGTGCCTCCCAAAGGGAGGAGTCTGCCATTATTATCATCATCATCATTATTATTACTATTATTAGGAGGAGGAGGAGGAGCAGGAAGAGAGGGAGGAGAAAGGCATGCTAGACAGATAAAACCAATAAATATCCCCACCCACCCATATCTTCCATGCTAATGGAAACTTCCATTACTGCTACTTCAGACACTTTGATAAAAGAAAGGGACAATAACTCTCTAGTCTTAGGCAAAATATGCTTTCAATTGTTCTTCCTCTGGCAGGCAGGCCAAATCCCACAGCAAAGAAAACATAGGCATTGGAGTCAGAGAGATCCAAGTTCAAATCTCAGCCTACCCACATGCTAGCTATATAACCTGGGGCAAGTTGGTTAAATTCTGTAAGTCCCATTTCTTCATTTGCAAAGCAAGCAGTGAGACCCAATACCTGATATGTACTGAGGATTAAATGAGAAAAATATGTGAAAGACTTAGCACACATTTTCTGACAGAAAGACATCAATAAACACTTGCTCAATGAGTGAATTAATTAATTTGAATTTCACAGGTCAAAGGGGACCTGGCTTGATTGTCCTAGTTCCATGACTCAGGAGCAGAAAGAGTTTTGCCTTTCTAGTAAAAACAGATAGTGGTACAATTTAAAGTTCTAGGATAGAAAAAGTCCAACTGGCCAAGTGTGAGCCATAAACTGGGCAAGACAAGGTTCTAGGAACACACCCACCTTGACTACTCGCCACATTGGTCTTGGGCACAGCCAACAAGGAGCCGGGCATTGTCCTAAGAGCTTTATACATTCAGTTTTTATCAATCCTACGTGATCTTAGGTGCTACAAATGTACTCATTTTATAGAAGAAAACGAAGCTCACAAGAGAAGAAAAGTAATTCCTCAAAAGGAAATCAGGATACTCTTTACCAAGAGAGGGGAGATGACCGCCAGAATGGGGCCCAAATGTCAGATGCTCACCTCATCTCATTCTGATCTATGGTTGAGCTGTCAGAAATTACCTGATTATTGCTCTCCAATACAACAGTCAGATGACAAAATTGTCTTTTGCATGGAGAGGCACATCTCTTCCAGACATCGCTGACATGAGCCTCACCTCAACATTTTAGGGGAGGATTCAGAAACTAGTAGCTCGTCTTTCACAGATGGGAAAATAAGCTCAGGAAGTTTAAATAACTCGATTATGACCACGTAACTATCAAATGGTCAGAGCCAAGGGTCAAACAGCACAGCCTGACAGAGGGAAGGTGTAACTGACATGACTACAATACTCTATTATATATATTGAAGTTAACTGTGGGTTTTAATACAAGCACAGCCTCTGAGTATGGGAGGGATCTTAACAGTCAGTAGCCAAACTCCTTGCCCAACTTGAGAAACTTACTTCAGCCTCTCTGATGTGTAAGGGAAGGGCAGAACCGGGATTAGAGACATACAAGGAAACCATTCCCCAACATGGCAAAAAGTGCCAAATAGCAAATATATTAACTCGGGTGTAATTCTTCAAAATGAGAAATTCTTAATAATCTACAATATGCCTAACACGGTGGTAAGAAAATTTAAAACTCTAATGTAGCAAGACATATAAATTGTGATAAATATCTCTGTCATTGAGGAAATGTTCCATCATTCGAGGTCTCAAAGACTAAGTATTGAACCATCATATGTGGAAGGGATTTGTCTATAATATCATCTCCTGCATCTTCTGGGAAATTAGAATTTTCTCAGCATGGATGTAGAGTGATCATATCTTTTATTGTCCAGATTTGGACACTTTTAAGACTAAAGGATGATATGACTAAGCATCATGCCATGACCACGGCTATAAACCAGGACAGTCACCCTAGCTAGAAGGAACAATTAAAAATCATTCATTCACACAGAGCTCACATCAAATGCTTGATGTCTTGCTAGAGACATCTCTGCTCTTCATCAATCCTTTTTGACCTCAATTTTTCATGCCATTCCTTGACAGAAAGTGTTTGGGGGGGCAGAAAGTGCAGATAAACATATATTCTGAATGAAGGTTTTACGTGGTTGCTAATTTAGTTAAAATGGCTTTTAAACATTGTCTTTGGATCATCTAAGTTGGCTACAGAACAACAGCACAGTGGGAGGTTAATCGAGATTCAGCAACCTGCGGCTAATTGTAATTTCTTTTGGTTTCCTCTCTAAATCATTTTCTTTTTTTGTCTTTGAATCCCTGTCTCCATTTATGTCAGGTTTGGCTCAGTCAAAGCTCCATCCCAGCTCTGTGGAACATCTGCCCATCTCCCTCTGAGGCCAAGAAGGATCCAGGTGGACAATGGAACAGTGGGATTTGGCTACAGTTGGGACTGCTAAATCTGTCAGTCATCCAGACTGAAGAAGAGCCTGTTAACACAGAATCCTAAAAAAAGAAGTTCATATGTGGCAAGGATTTGAGATATTCACATACAACACTCAGAAGTCTGACTGTATAACATTCTCCCACTGATTTCTCACAGAAAACCTTTCCACATCCAAATTGTTCTGTCCCCAAACTCCCTTCCACTGACAGACTGAACTCTATTTTCTTCCCCAGAACATTCTTACCTGGTGATGTTGGGGGGCTGGGTTGGGGGGCAGAAACTGTAACAACAGGGAAAAAGAAACCTAGGAAAATGAGCTCAGTAATATTGTAGCCACCTCCTCAAAGGGCAAGCTCAGCTGTTCAACAGGTGCAAGACATATTTCAGGCACTGGAAATGAGCTAAATATGGTTCCTCCAGAGACAGCCCTGCCAGAACAACGTTGGAATTTGGATCCTCCTAAAATCTAAGATGTAAGAATGGCTCATTGAAACAAAGATAACTGAAAGCTGTGACTTGAGATTCTTCTGGAAACAATGGTTTATTGCAAAGTTTTCTATAAGAAACCAATCAGCTAGATAAACCCAGAAGTGGGTACTTTGAATAGGGTTGCACAGGATAAGTAGGAGTCTTGGAGGTAAGAATGAAGATTGAAAAGAGTGGAACACCAATCAGGAAAGGGCATGAGTGAGTATATGAGAACAAATTTATGCAAAGTCTCTGCCATTTTGAAGGAACATAAAAAATTTGGGGAGTTTCTAGAATACCAGGTGGGTGGCTAAAGATGGGACAGGAAACCAAAGAATCATAGTTTAGCAATCTTTCCCCTATGCTGCCTAGAGCCCACGAATTCCAGCAGAGATATTTTAGGGTCCCCCTTGGGGAGGAGTAAGATTGAGTGTCAGGACAGAGTTGTCATTCTCCAGCCCGACTTCATCCCATACATTTCTGAGCTCCAGGTAAGATTTCATTTAAATAAGTATCAAGCACTAAAAATGTGGTGACCAAAGATTCTAGTTTAATACTTGACAGACCTAAACCCGGGAATGAACAAACTTGCAAGGTCAAACACAAGAGTAGTAAGACAACCAAAATAGCAATCAGATCCCCTGGCTCTAGTCCAGTACTTTTTCCATTATACAATTTGATGTGAGGATCTTCCCAGAATCAAATGAGAAAGTGAAAGAAGCCAAAAAAAATAGAGGCTTAGCTTTTTCCATTATTGGCCAAGAGAACTTTGGTCCCAGACATGACACGCACACGTGCGTGTGCACACACAGACACACACACATCACCTGGGGAAACCTGTCACACTAAGCCCCAGAGCTGTGTTGTACCTGGGCTTTGTCCTACCTGACACAAGTGTCTTACAGGCAGCATAAGCAAAGAATTGTTCTGACCTGTATCATCAACATTGGATGGAGAAAATATTAATGGTTATCTAAAACACCCCACTTAATTTCCTGGGCCTCTCAAGATAGGTACATCCACAACAGAATCTTCAGTTTTGCTGAGCGGGGTGATAGAAAAACTATCAGCTGAAGTTTCATCACGTGAAGATAGATTCATAAGTTGCTTCAAATCAGGAGTCAACAAATTACAACCCAAAGGCCAAACCCTGTCCATTTCTTGTTTTTGTAAATAGTTTTATTAGAACACAGCCACACCCATTCATTTGCTTATTGTCTACAGCTGCTTTCTTGTTACAAGAGCAGAGTTGAATAGCTGTGACAGAGAACATAGAGCCCCAAAAGCCTAAAGTATTTGCTACCTGGCCATTTTCAGAAAAAGCTTGATGATCCCTTCTCTAAATAAAGGTCTACAGAAATTGGAAGAGCCCAAGAGAGGGGAGGAAGCTGAAAGAAGATAGCCTGAGAGGGGAAGAAGAAGATATTTGATGGAAAGAGAGTGAAATAGGACTGCAGTGATTTGACAGTGGCATGAAGAGAAACTTTGGAAAATCAGGTGTTTAACATGGATTTTTATAGTTTTGCTCTGTAGCATGCAATTCAGTGTATTCCCTTGGTCACCCTGAGAAGAAGTCTTCCATTATTTTTTTAAAACTTCCATCCCTTATTAAAAATTTCGGATTATATTTGTGATTTTTACTAATGCCAAGTTCATAAGATTTGCCTACAGACAGGAGGTACTGGACAAATGCAGGGATGACTGAAAGAGGTCCAGTTATGTTTGGGTTTGAAGAAAACTTCCAAGGTTTTGGCATAGTAAATCGGGGTCAATTTTTTTTTTAAAGGAAACTTTCAAGAAAGGCCTAATGGTAAATGTGGAGAAATTGAGACTTTCTCCTTCTTTTCTATGCTACTCTAGCCTAGCCATGAGATGACAGAAGATGAGACAGAAATCTAGAAAGCTCAATGCAATAATAACAATAACTACCATTTGAGCACTGGAAATGTTATCATTACCTCTTATTCATTACCTCATTGAGCCTCCAAGAGAACCTTAGCAGAAGGCACTATTATTAGCCCCGCTTTACAGATAAAAAACTGAGGCTCAACAAAAGCAAGTGGCAGCTCATAGTACCAAAGTGGAGATGTAAACGTGGCTCCAGAGAATATCCTCATGGTTTTGCCTCCTTCTCCATCTTCAGAGAGTTCCAAGCCACAAGTTGACCCAGAGGTGCTAGCCACATGCCCACGGCATTATCAAAGCCTAATGGGCCCTCAAAGACCACCTCCTGAGATGTCCTAAGACCTGGAGGAGATCCCAGCTCAATCTCATATCCCTCATGTCCTATTGTCTTCCTCCCTTTCCAGTGAATTCCTTCTGTTTTCTTCACCCCACCCTCATTCTCTTGCCATTCACTTCTTTAATTCCTACTCCCTTTCTATGGCATTGTCTTCATTTATTCACTCCCTGGAACTTGCTTTCAAGAACACTTACAATACAGCACGATCGCCAAACCTCAGGAGTCTATGAGAAAAGTATGCTTCTAAGGGAAAACAAAGGATCCCACTGAGTCTCATGTAATTCAAAGAGGCTGATCAAACACATATTTTGAGTTTCCTAGTAGCCAGCCCGAAGAGGAAATCTATGTCCACATAATTTAAGTGATTTATTTTTCCAGGAGAGGCGCAATTATTCTTCATTCTAAAATAAAGTTCATTCTCCCAAGAGTTCTTCTTGAAAATACCATGAGAGAATACCATGATATACAGGCAATGTGACATTCAGCAACATTTTAGATCAAAGTCTCTGAAAATTCTCACAGGGCTCATCCTTATTTATTCAACATGTTCAGCAAAATTTATACAACATTTAACAAATATCTACTGAGGGCCTACTGTGAGCCAGGTACTGTTCTAAGCATACAGGACACATTGATAAACAATACAGGCATTGACCTTGCACCCCTAAGGTGGATGGTGATACAGTCAGATGACATCAAACCCTGCACCTAGGAAATGCATTCAAACTAGCTGGTCCCCAAACAGGAATAGGTTCAGAGACACTGGCATCGCTGCATGGTCAAAGAAGACTGATTGACAGAAAAAGGAAAGTGACTGCAGAAAACAGAAGTGCAGTCAACAAGCAGCTGGATTTGTTACAGCCGGCATTTGCTTTATCTGAACAGGATTTGAACAGTTGGCCACCTTTGACTGGCCGAAACTCAAGAGTTTTGTACTCTAGGTACCAAGAGTAGGTTACAGCCTGTTTCCATATCCATTTACGTTACAGTTCCCTATGTATGGAGAAATCTTTAGGCCTGACTTAAAATATGTAAGGAGGCAGCTTTAGGCTAAACTTAATTCAACAGGGGTAAATGTCACTCCCCAGATGTATAGCTTTTAGATCTAATGATGTTTGGAGTGAGGTGCTAGAAAGAAGTCACTGGGCTCAGGGTGGCTTGCAGACTCAATTTTTAAATATACACAAATATGTGTCAGTATATATACACTGTGATATATACATACAAATATACATAATATATGCATATATCAAAAATCTGTTCCCTCCCTGTGGCCTTTCCCCAAGCTTCTTACACATCTAAAGCTGGCTGACCTCTGCAGGTTTCTGAGTGCTGCCTTAGGGGAATGAATGGGTGGATGGACCATAACCTTCAAGCAATTCCCTTCCAGAATGTAATATATTCTTGAACCTTGATCATGTTATATAAAGAATATATATTACATATATTATATATATTTATATATAATATATTAATATATAGATATACATAGATAGATAGATATAGATATAGATATTTTAAGACAGTTTCACTCTCATTGCCCAGGCTGGAGTGCAATGGCATAATCTCGGCTCACCGCAAGCTCTGCCTCCCGGGTTCAAACGATTTTCCTGCCTCAGCCTCCCAAGTAGCTGGGATTCCAGGCATGCACCACCACACCCGGCTAATATTGTCTTTTTAGTAGAGACAGGGTTTTTCCATGTTGGTCAGGCTGGTCTCAAACTCCCAGCCTCCAGTGATCCATCCCCCTTGGCCTCTCAAAGTGCTGGGATTACAAGTGTGAGCCACAACGCCTGGACAAGAATATTTTTTAAAGAATCAAATTGCTCCTCGCCCACTCTGAAACAGATACCAAGCGCTGGCAAATACCTAACAGAGATTTTTCCCCCAAATCTGAGATTCAAAAAAAAAAAAAAAAAGAGAGAGAGAGGCCTTTTCTGGAATTTCAAGGTTTCAAAACAAAGTAGGGGACCAGTCCTCAGTAATCTCCCTTTAGATCTAAGACTTTGATTTTCTTCAATTCTCAGGGAGATCAAATGAAATTCATCCCAGCAGGCAAACCCCAGAAATTCCACAAGCATCTGCATCACCGAGGGATGGACATTTCTTCAAATGAACAATACCCTGGAGACTTCAGGCTTCTCAGTTTTCAAGCTGTCGATTCCTAACTTGGAAAAAGGGATGCGGGAGCTGAAAGCTGAGAACCTATAGAAGAGATAAAAGTTCAACATGATCCTATGGGAAGAGACTTAACTTTAGTCAGCCAGAGAATGTAAAAAAGAAGGAAAAGAAAGGAAGAAACAAACCTCACAAAGCACACACATTCCAAATGTGCCTGCACAGGAAACGATGTAAGATCATCTTCATGTGGTGGAGCCATGTTGTACCTGCTTTAAGTGTCTAGTACATCTAGAGCTTTTATAAAAGGTGTCCTATGAGAGGAACTGCAATTTCCGTATCTCCAGCTGTATGCACATCTAATTATGTGTTACGACTCTCGGCTCTGATAGCAATTAGGATATAAGTTGTACTTCTCACCACACCCAAATGCGATCCTTACCAAAAAGGAAAGGAGAACTTGGAGAACTTGCAACAGAGAATTCTTCTTCTGTTGGGTCAGAGTCCAAAGTGAGCACCATCTCTGCAGAGGAGCAGAGTCAGGGTGCTGCAAGCCACCATTCCCTGGGGATGGAATAGGAGGAAAGCAGGGAGAAGGGAGATATTATTATTAACAGAGCATCAGCTCTGTGCCAGACACTATTTGTACGCATTGTCTTTGCAAATAACAAATTATTCCAAAATTTAACAGCTTGATAACATTTATTTTTCAGCTTCTGAGGTCAGGAAACCAAGCATGGCCTAGCTGGGTGCTCTGGCTCGAGGACTCTCACAAGGCTGCAATCAAGGTATACTGGCAGGAGCTGAATGCATTGCAAGGCTCAACTGGGGGAAGATCTGCTTCCAAGTTCACAAACATGGCTATTGGCAGGCCTCCAGTCCTTGCTGGCTGTTGGCTGGAGACATCCTTTCCTTGCCATATGAGCCTCTTCAGAGGGCAGCTCTTGACAGAGCAGCTGGCTTCCTTCAGAGCAAGTGAGGGAGAGAGCAAGAGAGGGCACTCAAGATAGAAGCCACAGTTTTTCATAGCCTAATCCTGGAAGTGACACCTCATCACCATTGCTGTATTATCCTCATTAGAGGCAAGTCCCTAGGTCCAGTCCAGGCTTAGGAAGAGGGGGTCGCACAAGGGTACCAACAGCGGAAGGCAGGGATCACTGAGGACCTTTTTAAATGGTTTTTACATATGTTTATTGAAAACAAGATGTTGTAGAGAGGATTTTTTTCCTAATTGTGCAGACTGTATAGCTGAGTCCATGAAAGTGTGAGTAAACTAAAGACAACTTTATAGCTTTATGGTAGAGCCGGGATCCTAACTGAAGAACCCATATGCTTTCTGCAGCATCACACAATAGGGAAAGGAAACTACAGAGACTTTTCTCTTCCTTAGCAGTTTCTTGCTCCTCTTGGAGAAAACCAATATTTTAAAAGGGCAAATTAATGCCTCATGTGGCACAATAGTGTCCCACAAATTTGTTTTGTTTGCTGCAGAAAGGCTTTTAATATATTTTGCATGGAACTCTAATAAGTTAAACATTAAAAAGCATATTTGCTCTAGTGCAAACAGCATATAGGGTGGGCTGGGATAAGAGTATACACTCAATTTCTCTCTCTTACTCTTTGAGGCCCGAGGCTCTGGGAAGTTGGTTTGAAAATTTACAAGGACAGTAGAAACTATGGTAAAATCTACAAGTACAGAGGTTTTAGAGTCAGAAAACCATCACCTACCAGCTGAGAGGTGTTAAGCAAATTACTTCTCCAAACTGAACCTTCCTTTCCTCGTCTGGAATAGTTGAATAATGGTAATTTTTATTCCACTGGGATAAAGATGCCAGCGATAGCCCTGGGTAGTGCTAGTTAATGCTAATTAACAAATGCTAGTTAGTATTGTTAAACTGAAGCATTACTAAATACCAAGATATTATCAGACTTGTCTCCTAGAAAGAGGGGAAAAAGGCAAGAGCCTCAGATACCAAATAAGATTGATGCTGTGAAACACGAAATTCATGAAATGAAAGTTAAATGTGACACAAAGAATGAGTGGGATGTTTACTTTTGGCCATGAAGGGATAACTGATATCAGAGTTTTCTTCCTATATTAAATAACTAGAATACTGGACAAAATACATGAGATAACTGATTTCAGTTGTAGGGAACAGTCAGTGCAAGTCTGCTATGAGATGAGGCCCATGTTGGTTCTGACTTTCTGCCTGGGTGATTCATTATGGCCTGATACCTCCATGGGAAGAGGCAACAAAAACTGGACTTGAAAGAGGTTGAGGTGGCCGCAATTTGTAGGGCATGGTACTAGAAAGAAGGTGTCTAAGGGGAGAAACTCCAGAAATGTACATAGGAGTTCTCTTGAATCTTTTGTTGAATTCTAAGCTCTGAATGCACAAGGCAAGACTCCAGGAGACAAAGGACAGCTAGTAGGGGAAAGAAACTACTGAGGAACTGTGATCTGAATTGCCTGTGCTCACATAGGCTGAGAGGCTCCAGCTAGTGAGAATCAAAGGATAGTTCAACACCCCAGGCATCTGGTAGAGACAGTAAAAGGGCCATGCCTTAGACATAGAGCTAAGCTAGTCCTAGAACCACCCACACAGAGCTATTTTAAAAATCCTTGAATGAATTAAGAGATCCACAAGTAAATGTTACTTTCTGCTGGAACAAAACAGAACCAAACTGTGGAATGAAGAAGACATCAAAATCTCAACAACTAAGAACTGAGCATCCACAAAGTTCAGCACACAATTTAACAAAAACAAAAGCCTTACTAGACATGTGTGTTAGTCCATTCTTGCATTGCTGTAAAGAAATACCTGACACTGGGTAATTTATAAGGAAAAGAGGTTTAATGAGCTCACAGTTCTGCCAGCTTTACAGAAAGCACAGTGCTGGCATCTGCTCGGCTTCTAGGGAGGCCTCAGGAAGCTTAAGATCATGGTGCAAGGCAAAGACAGAGCAGGCACATCACATGGCCAGAGCAGAAGCAACAGAAGGTAAGAGGGAGGAGAAGCTACACACTTTTAAACAAACAGATCTTGTGTGAATTCAGAACAACAGCTCACTTACCACCAAGGATATGGCCCAAGCCATTTATAAAGGATCTGCCGTCATGATCCAAACACCTCCCACCAGGTCCCACCTCCAGCACTGGGGATTATAATTCAACATGAGATTTGAGTGGGGACGAATATCCAAACTATATCAACATGCACAGTAGATAAAATGAGATGCATATCTGTATCTATTGAAAAAAATCAGTCAATAGATACAGACTCAGAAGGGTCAGAGAGGATAGAATTAAGAGACAAGAACTTAAAACAGCTGGTATTTCAAAGACTTAAAGAAAATAAGAATATAAAGAGGGAACAAATAGAAATTCTCAATTGAGAAATGAAGACTATAAAAATAACTACACTTATTAGAATGGCTAAAATTCAAAACAATGGCAATACCAAATATTGATCAGGATGTGAAGCAGCAGGAACTCTCATTCATTGCTGGTGGGAATGCAAAATGGTACAGTCACTTTGGAAGATAGTTGGACAGTTTCTTACATAGCTGAACATAGGCTTATCATACCATCCAGCAATCATGCTCCTAAGTACTTTCTCAAATGAAATGAAAACGTATGCCCACACAAAAACCTGCACATGAATGTTTATAGAAGCTTTATTCATAATTGACAAATATTGGACTTAGCCAAGATATATTTCAATATATAAACAAACTATGCTACATTCCCACAATGGAATATTACTTAGCAATTAAGAAGAAATCAGCTATTAACCCACAAAAAGACATGAAGAAATCTTAAGTGTATATTTCTAAGTGAAAAGAAGCCAGTCTGAAAAGACTGAATACTGTATGTTTTCAATGACATGATGTTCTGGAAAAGGCAAAACTAGAGACAGAGTAAAAATATCACTGGTTACCAGGGGTTTGAGGGAGTGGAAAAAAGAAGGGATGAATATGAGGGGGCTGTGGATTTTAGGTCCAGTGAAACTATTCTATATGATACTGTAATACGGACACATGACATTAGGCATGTGTCAAAACTCATCAAACTATACAGTAGAGAAAACTGCATGAGAGAGAGATGAGACAGGGTATATGGGAACTCTGCATTTTTTGTGCAATTCTGTTAATTTTAAAATGCTTTAAAAATAAATCTATTAATTTAAAAAGAGCCAAATGAAGTTTCTAAAACTGAAAAATAGACTATCTGACACTTAAAAATCCACTGAATGAGCTAAGTTGCAGATTAGACCTTACAAAAGAAATCAGTAGCTTTGTAGATACAAAAAAAAAAGCATCTGGATAGGAACACAGAGGGATAAAAAGGCTAAATAAAATGAACAATCTCAACTATGAGACAGTATCAAGTAGCGTAATACACATGAAATTAGAGTCTCAAAATGAAGGGACAAAGATTGTGGTAGAAAAAGAATATTCACTGATGACTGAAAAATTTCCAAATTTGCCAACAAATATCAACTTGCAGATTCAAGAAGTTCTATGCACCTCAAAAATAATAAAGAAAACTACACTGAGACTTATAACAAAATTCTGAGAAACCAAAGTTTAAAATCTTAAATACAGTCAGAGAAAAGACATCTACAGAAAAAAAAAGTGAAAAAAAAAATCACCACTGACTTTTCACCAGAAATAATGCAATCCAAAAAATATTAGAACACCTCTAAAAGGCTAAAATAAGATTGTTATTCTAAAATTCTGTATCCAGAAAAAAATACCCTTCAAAATGATGGCAAATTTAGAAATTCTTAGACAAACCCGAAAAAAATTTATAGCTAAAAAGCCGACATTATAAAAAATGTTGAAGGAAGTTCTTCAGGGAATAGGAAAATGTGTAAATCTGAATTTCTATCTTGTATCAAAGGGATGATGCATACCACACACAGAAAACAGATGGGTAAACATAAAAGACTTTTTCTGTCATTTCTTCATTTTTTTAAAGATGATTAAATATTTAAAGCAAAATAGTGACAATATATTTTGGGATTATAACATCTGTAGAAGTAAAATGCAAGAATATAACAGCACAAAGGCATAGAATAAAATAGCACTATACTGCTATATGCCTTTTTTTTTTTTTTAAGACAGGGTCTTGCTCTGTCACCCAGGCTGGAGTGCAATGGTGTGATCTTGGCTCACTGCAACCTCTGCCTCCCGGGTTCAAGCGATTCTCCCACCTCAGCCTCCCGAGTAGCTGGGACTACCTGTGCACACCACCACACCCTGCTAATTTTTGTATTTTTAGTAGAAATGGGGTTTCACCAAGTTGGCCAGGCTGGTCTTGAACTCCTGACTTCGTGATCTGCCCGCCTCAGCCTCCCAAAGTGCTGGGATTACAGGCGTGAGCCACTGCACCCGGCCTATATGCTTCTTATATTAAATGTGAAGTGGTATAATATTACTTAAAGGTACATTGTTGTAAGTTAAGGATGTATCGTGTAAAACTTAGTCTAGAGATTTATCTGCTACGTCAATAGAGGAGATACAATGAATAGATTGCTGGAAAATGTTCAATTAATCCAAAAAGAGGCAGAAAAACAAAAAAGAACAAAGTCATAAATCCAACTACATCAATAATTAAATTAAAAATGTCTTGATAGGAAGATCTATGCATTTTGCTGTATTTAAGTTAAACCTCAGTTTTATAAACTCTATTTGTAGATTTATCCCAGGAATGCAGTTTAGTTCAATACTCAAATATTAATTAATGATATTTGACACATTAATAGAAGGAGGAGGGGAACTATGATAATCTCAACAGGTAGAGAAAACGCATTTGACAAATTCAACATCTATTCATGGTTTGGGGGGGAAATGCACAAACTAGGAAGAGAGTTAACTTCCTTACACTTACTAAATATTATCTATGAAAAAGGTACAACTAATATTCTACTTAATGCTTTCCTACTTAGACTGGGAAAAGGGCTGGGATGTCTACTCTTCTATTGCCACTTCTATTTAGAATTGAACTGGAGGCTCTAGGCAGTTTAATAAGAAAAGAAAAAGAAATGAAGTGCACAGAGAATGAATTTAAAGTAGTGATACTGCCTTTATTTGCCAACAACATCATAGTCTACAGAGCAAATTCTAATAAATCTAAAACAAACTGCAGCACTAGTAAGTGAATGTATCAGTGTTGTAGAATACATAGACCTAACTATAAAAGCTAAAACTATAAAACTTTTAGGGAAAAAAAACTAAAATATTTTAGGAGAATTTTTTTTGAATATTTTTTGTGAATCTGCCCTAAATAATGTTGCTTATGATACAGAAAGACATAACCATAAAAAATTAGTTGAATTTATCAATTTTTTTAATGGCTTATGCTTATCAAAAGACACTGTTAAGAAAATAGGTAAGCCATAGATACGGAAAACTATTCATAACACACCCCTGACAAAAGATATGTAGAAGTTAGGTAATGTTCTACATATATATGCATATATACATTATATGGAAAAGACAGATGTTTTCTAAGTATATATGTGTATTAGTCCATTTTCATACCACTGCAAAGAATACCTGAGACTGGGAAATTTATAAAGAAGAGGTTTAATTGACTCACAGTTCCACATGGCTGGGGAGACCTCGGGAAATTTACAATCATGGCAGAAGGCAAAGGAGAAGCAAGTACCTTCTAAACAAGGTGGTGAGAAAGAGACAGTGAGGGGGGAACTGCCACACTTTTAAACCATCAGATGTCCAGAGACATCCCTCACTATCACAAGAACTGCATAGGGGAAATCCGCCCCCATGATCCAATCACCTCCCACCAGGTGCCTCCCCCTGACATGTGGGGATTACAATTCAACATGAGATTTCGGTGGGGACACAGAGCCAAACCATATTAATATATATCTCTACACGATATATATGTAATAGATACATAATACATATATACATACATATATAATCTTCTGCAATCAAATAATAAAAACAAATACAATAAAGCTAATAAAGAACAGGCAAAAGATTTGAACAGACATTTACAAAAGAAAGCATACATGTTTAAAACTTTGCTCAACAACTTTAGTCACCAAGGAATAGCAAATTAAAACTACAATGACACACCCATAGGATGGCTAAAATGAACCCCCAAAATTTGTGAAGATGTGAAACATTCAAAACTCTTGTGCCTTGCTAGTAATTGTAAAATATCATAACCACTCAGGAAAAAGTTCTGGTAGTTTCTTTAAAAGTTTAACATATATTTAGTCCACAACCAGCAATTCCACACCAAGGTATTCGCCTACAAAAAATGAAAGCAAATATCCACAAAAAAAGCATTACATATCCATAGAAGCTTTATTCACAACAACCAAAAACTGGCAGCAGCCCAGGTGCCCATCAGAGATGAAAGGAAAAACAAACTATGGAATATTCATACAATGGAATAATACTCAGCAATGAAAATGAACAAACCACTGACAAGACAAAAATATGATGCTAAGCAAAAGCCATTCCCACAAGAGTACACACTTCTTGGTGCCCTTTACAGGAATTTCTAGAACAGGAAACTAAACTACTGTTCTGATTTCTATCACTGAAGATATTTTTGTGGAGGTGGAGGGATGACTAGAAAGACACACAAGGAAGCTTTTGGGTTAGTGAAATGCCTTGATAGGAGTGTTGTTTACATGAGTACGTATGCCTGTCAAACAGGTTGACCTATACACTTAAGATCTGTGTATTTCACTGGATTTGAGTTAAACCACAGTTTTGCAAAATCTTACCTTCTATTTGTAGAAACTGATGTCATTTTAAAGTGGAAAAAGAAATGCAGAGAAGCTAGAAAAGCTAAGCAATCTTAAAGAGTGAAATTGATAAG